>NC_000011.10:109293636-109596667 GCF_000001405.40 Homo sapiens
AACTAGACCCCTACTTCTTACCATATGTAAAAATGAATTAAAGGCTTAAATGTAAGACCTGAACCTGTAAGTCTACTAGAAGAAAATATAGGGGAAACACTTCTGGACATTGGTCTAGGCAAAAATTTTATGGCTAAAACTTCAAAAACACAGACAACAAAAACAAAAATAGACAAATGGGATTATATTACACTAAAATTTATCTGCAAAGCAAAGGAAACAATCAACAGAATAAAGTCTGTAGAACGGCAGGAAAATATTTGTAAACTATTCATCTGACAAGGGACTAATATCTAAATACACAAGGAACTTAACCCAACAACAAAAACAAAAAGTCCCTTTAAAAAAAGTGGGCAAAATATCTGAAATTTTGTGTATACCTGTTTTTCATATACCTGTTGTCCATTTTTATGTCTTCTTTTGATATTTCTCAGCTTACTCAACATCACTAAACATCAGGGTAATTCAAATCAAAACTACAATGAGACATCATCCTACATCAGTTAGAATGACTGGTGTCAAAAAGATTTTTTAAAATAACATGGTGGTGAGGATGTGGAAAAAATGGAACTCTTAAACACTGTTGGTGGGAATGTAAATTAATATAGCTATTATGGAAAACTGCATGGAGATGTACCAAAAAAAACTAAAAAAAAAAAAAAAAATGGAACTACTATAGAATCCAGCAATCACACTATTGAGTTTTTAATCCTAAGGAAAGGAAAATCAATATATCAAAGGCATACGTCCGTGTGTATTGCAGCACCATTCATGATAGCAAAGATATGGAATCAAGCTAAGTGTCCATTAGCAGACGAATAGATAAGGAAAATGTGGTACATATACACAATGGAATACTATTCAGCCATATAAAGACTAAAATAATGTAATTTGCAGCATGTAGATGGAATTGGAAGTCATTACATTTGGTGATATAAGCCAGACATGGAAAGACAAATACTGCATTTTCTCACTCACGTGGGAGCTAAAAAAAGTTAATCTCATGGAGGCAGAGAGTAGACTGGTAGTTACCAGTGGCTGGGAAAGGTGTGGGTATGTGTGTGAGAGGGAATGAAGGAAGGTTGATTAATATGTATAAGCATACAGTTAGATAGGGGGAATAAGTTCTAATGTTCTATAACAGAGTAGGAAGACTATAGTTAACAATAATAACTTGCATATTCCAAAATAGCTGGAATAAAAGACCTTGAAATGTACCCAATACATAGACATGATAAATGCTCAAGAAGTTGGATATACTAAATCCTCTGACTTGACCATCACACATTCTATGCATGTAACAAAATATCACATGTGCCCCATAAATATGCACAAATATTACATATCAATTAAAAATAAATAAAAGGTAAGGCTTAAAAAGAATGTTCATATTAGCATTGTGCAAACAACCCCATGTCTATCATCAATAGAATGTTTAATAAATTGTGGCACATTTATAAAATGGAATGTATGTAGCCATGAACATGAATAAATTACATCTACATGCAACAACATGAAGCTTTTAAATGTAATGTTGAGTAAAATAACCTGACACAAAAATACACACTCTATAGTTCCATGTGTACAATGTATAAAAATCAAGCAAAACTAAACCATAGTGTGGTAGCAGTCAGGGGACAGGTTACTTTCCGGGGGCAAGGAAGTGACTGAGGTAATGATTAAGAGGGGCCATAGGGAAGGTAGGGGACTTCGAGGCTTCATTGATATTCTGTGTAACCTGCGTGGTAGTAATTACATGGGAATTTGCTTTATATGATGTATTTTTATTTTTATGCACTTTATACATGTATGTTTCTCCCCCCAATAAAAATGTAAAAACAACATATTTAGAAGAGATGTTTTTGTTTTCATATCTGTTCATGCCTACATTTTTAGAAGAGGGAGGGAAGAATTCCCTTGGAATGATGAATATTATTGCTCTGGAGCCAGCGTACCTTCATTTGTATCCTAGCTTCTTCATTTTTGAACTTTGTGATCTTAGAGGGCTAATTATCTTTTTTTGTGTAGCTCAGTTTCCTTATTTCCATAATGGAAACAATAACAGCACTGCCTCAGTGTTGTGAGGATCAAATGAGTTAATACACAGGCATACCTCAGAGATATTGTGGGTTCAGTTCTAGACCATTGCAATAAAGTGAATATTGCAATAAAGCGAGTCACACACATTTTTTGCTTTCCCTGTGCATAGAAAAATTATGTTTGCACTATAGTCTATTAAGTGTGCAATAACATGTCTAAAAATGTACACATCTTAATTAAATCTTTATTGCTAAAAAATGTTAACGGTCATCTGAGCTTTCAGTGAGTCATAATCTTTTGGCTGATGTAGTGTCTTGCCGCAATGTTGATGGCTGTTGGTTGATCAGGATGGTAGTTGCTGAAGGTCGGGGTGATTATAGCAATTTCTTAAAATAAGCTAACTATGAAGTCTGCCGCATCAATTCATTCTTCTTTTCATGAAAGATTTCTCTGTAGCATGAGATGTTGTTTACCATTTTATGAACAGTAGAACTTCTTTCAAAATCATAATCAATCCTCTCAAACCCTGCTGCTATTCTATCAACTAAGTTTATGTAATATTCTAAATCCTTTGTTGCCATTTCAACAATGTTCACGGGATCTTAGCCAGGGGCAGATTTCATCTCAAGAAACCATTTTCTTTGCTCATCCATAAGAAGCAACATTTTATCTGTTGAAGTTTGGTCATGATATTGCATCAGTTCAGTCACATCTTCAGGCTTCACTTCTAACTTTGGTTATCTTGCTATTTCTACCCTATCCACAGTGAATTCTTCCACTGAAGTCTTAAAACCCTCAAAGTCATCCATGAGGATTGGAATCAACTTGTTCCAAACTCCTGATAATGTTGTATTTTGACTATGAATCATGAGTGTTTTTAATGGTATCTAGGATGGTGAATCCTTTCCAGAAGATTTTCAATTTACCTTTCCCAGATCCATCTGAGGAATCACCATCTACAACAACTATAGCCTTGTAAAATGTATTTCTTAAATAAGACATAAAAGTCAAAATTACTCTTTGGCCCATGGGCTGCAGAATGGGTGTTATGTTAGCAGGCATGAAATAACAATCTCCTTGTATATGTTCATCAAAACTTTTGGATGATTAGGTGAATTGTCAATGAGCAGCAATATTTTGAAAGGAATTTTTTTTTTCTGATTAGTTAGTATCAACAGTGAGCTTAAAATACTCAGTAAACCATGGTTTAAACAGGCAAGCTTAAGAGTCGACTTAGCAATTCTTAAGGTCCTTAGGATTTTCAGAATGGTCAATGAGCATTGGCCTCAATTTAAAGTCACCAGTGGCATTAGTCCCTAATACGAGGGTCAGCCTGTACTTGGAAGCTTTGAAGCCAGGCATTGACTTCTCCTCTAGCTATAGAAGTCCTGCGTAGCATCTTCTTACAATAGAAGGCTGTTTCATCTACATTGAAAACGTCCTGTTTGTAGCTGGTTTCGTCAGTTATCTTAGTTAGCTCTTGTGAATAAATTGTTCCAGGCCGGGTGCAGTGGTTCACACCTGTAATCCCAGCACTTTGGGAGGCAGAGGTGGGCGGATCACTTGAGGTCAGGAGTTCAAGACCAGCCTGGCCAACATGGTGAAACCCCATCTGTATGAAAAAATACAAAAATTAGCTGGGTGTGGTGGCATGTGCCTGTAGTCCCAGCTACTCTAGAGGCTGAGGCAGGAGAATCTCTTGAACCCGGGAAGCGGAGGTTGCAGTGAGCTGAGATCACGCCACTGCACTCACGCCTAGGTGACAGAGTGAGACCCTATCTCAAAAACAAAAACAAACAAAAAACAAAACAAAACAAAACAAAGACATGCTCCAGCTTCTACATAAGCACTTGCTGCTTCACCTTGCACTTTTGTGTGATGGAGATAGTTTCTTTCCATAAACCTCATAAAGCAACCTCTGCTAGCTTTGAACTTTTATTCTGCAGATTTGTCACCTCTCTGACTTCATAGAACTGAACAAAGTTAAGACATTGCTCTGGATTAGGCTTTGGCTTAAGGGAATGTTGTGGCTAGATTGATCTTCTATCCAGACCAATAAAACAAACTTCCTGGCCGGGCGCGGTGGCTCACGCCTGTAATCCCAGCACTTTGGGAGGCCGAGGCGGGCGGATCACGAGGTCAGGAGATCGAGACCATCCTGGCTAACACGGTGAAACCCCGTCTCTACTAAAAATACAAAAAATTAGCCGGGCGTGGTAGCGGGCGCCTGTAGTCCCAGCTACTCGGGAGGCTGAGGCAGGAGAATGGCGTGAACCCGGGAGGCGGAGCTTGCAGTGAGCCGAGATCGCGCCACTGCACTCCAGCCTGGGCGACAGAGCGAGACTCCGTCTCACAAAAAAAAAAACAAAAAAAAAAAAACAACTTCCTCCACGTTAGCAATAAGGTTTTTTTTTTCTCTTATTCATATGTGCACTGCAGTAGCACTTTTAATTTCCTTAAGAATTTTTCCTTTCCATTCACAACGTGGCTAACTGGTGCAAGAGTCCTAGCTGTTGGTCTGTCTTGGCTTTCAATGTGCCTTCCTCACTAAACTTACTGATTTCTAGCTTTTGATTTAAAGTGAGAAACATGTAACCTTTCCTTTTATTTGAACACTTAGAGGCCATCATAAGGCTATTCATTGACCTAATTTCAAAGTTGTTGAGTCTCAGGGAATAGGGAGGCCTGAGCAGAGAGAGAGAGGTGGGGAAATGGCTGGTCAAGGGGGCAATCGGAACACACACAACATTTATTGATTAAGTCACCATCTTACATGGGCATGGTTGGTGGCACCCCAGAAGAATTTTAATAGTAACATCAAAGATTAATGATCACAGATTACCATAATGGATATAATAATAATAATAATAAAAGTTAAAATGTTGTGAGAATTAGGAAAATGTGATACAGGGACATGATGTGAGCATAGCTGTTGGCAAAATGCTACCAGTAGACTTGCTTGACACAGGGTTGCCACAAACCTTCAATGTGTAAAAACTGCAGTATCTGTGAAGTGCAATAAAACAAGGTATGCCTGTATTAAGTGTGCTTAGAACAGTGCTCAGGACACAGTAGGATCTCAGTATACATTATCCATTATTCTCCTTTTTCTCTCTTCTTCTTTCTCCTCATCCTCTTCATCATTGTTCTCTCAGGCTGCTGTTAATGCAGAGGCCCTAAACGATCTTTTAAAGTAAGAAAGATTAGGCCTTCCCCTCTCTTAGGGCTTCAAACCCATACATATAGGAAGTTCTCATAGGGAGAACACAGTTTTTCTGTACAGAACCCTTATCAGAGCAACAGCCTGAGGGCAAAATCTGTTCTGCCAGATGTTCTGTATATGTGGGTGATGGGGAGGGGCGTAACAGGCCCAGCTGTTCCAATTGTAGTTCTTAAATTAATTATCCTGATGATTTCCGCATTAGCCTCTGACTCATGTACTTACTTGATTTGATCTTGAGGCTTCTCCAGGGTGCTCCTTAAGAAGAACTGTACACCCCTCTGGTATGTTGGGCAGATGTTTTCTCTGTGATGGCTTGCTTCTCTATCTGATCATGGGGGTTTTCAGATAGTATAAATCTGTTAACACTTTAGTCTATTGATGGCATTCTGTATTTTTTGTTTGTTTTTTTGTTTTTTTTTTTTCAGATGGAGTCTCACTCTGTCGCCAGGTTGGAGTGCAGTGACATGATCTTGGCCCACTGCACCCTCTACCTCCCGGGTTCAAGTGATTCTCCTGCCTCAGCCTCCTACGTAGCTGGGACTATAGGTGCGTGCCACCACACCCAGCTAGTTTTTGTACTTTTAGTAGACACAAGGTTTTACTATGTTGGCCAGGATGGTCTCGATCTCTTGACCTCACGATCCACCTGCCTTGGCCTCCCAAAGTGCTGGGATTACAGTCATGAGCCCCCGCGCCTGGCCTCTGTGTTGTTTTTTAGTGCTGTTATGGTTGTGTTCTTTAAAAATATGTCTATTTTTGTCATTTCACTGGAAACTTCGTCTAGAGGAAAGGTAGGCATATGTGCTCATTTTGCTACTTTGAATAGACAGTACTCTTGTTCAGTCTTGTTATTTGTCAGAATTAGACTGCATTTGATTCTTGTTATTTACATGTGTTGTTTGATTGTCAGTTCCCCTGTGATGTTACATCTTCTGTTCTTGAGTTTAGTTCAATTTGTGTTAGCTTTCCCTCCATTTCCTAACTAGTTTTCCCCCTTTTTTCCTGGGTACCACACGACCTAAACCCTAGAATGGTGTCCAGTTGGACACCCAGTAAATTTTTGAATAATTTAAATAAAATATGGTATCTTCTTCTTCCTTTATGTATTTTCATCAAAGTTATTTTCTTCAAAATTTGTCACATAATTTTTCCTGTGAGCTGTCAGTTGATACAAATGCTTGGTCACTGGGAATATACTGGCCTCTTGTTCAGCCTTGACTTCCAACCCGCAACTGCTGAGTCTCTTCCAATTTCCAGCAATGGCCGAGAATAACTTATTGGCTCACAGATCCCTTCTATAGTAATTCAATGGAGGTGATGAAGTGGTGGGAAAAATGTTTCATTCAAATCACAGGTTTCCAGAGGGCATAGTGAACTCAGGTTTAATTCAATCTTGATTCAGTGTCCAATATTTCTGACATTTGATGGGGGGCATGGCAGTAAAAGCCTCTATTCAGGGATGATGGTATCAAGGGAATGGATAAACCTTCCTTCTGGTTGGTTTGTCTGATTTGGATGACTGACTGCCAAGAAGGATTTGACAAGTGCTAAACAGCCGCCTATAGCTCAGGCCAAATCGGCTGGGGTTTGAGACATAAATCTTGCTTCTACAGGGGATGAAAGTGCAAGACAGAAAACCGTAGCAACCATCTTTTCCCAAGATAAGGAAAACATAGAGGTATAGAGAAACACAGACTGTGACCCCCAGTCCAGGCTGGCCAGGACTCACACAGACTCCACTCATCAATGTAAATAGGGCTCTGAATATACCTCAAAGCTTTGTGAGGACTGTCTCAGGCCATGCTGGAAACCATTCTGTGAAATGAGGCTGGAGAAGGCAGGAATTAGTATGTTAACTTTGTTCCTTCAAATTGCTCCTCTGGATTTTCAATGTAGTTTTCATCTGTAAGACCTATTGCTCTTGCTCTTTGCAGCGGGGCCTCTTTATTTGCCAATCAAAAGGGTCTTCATTTTTAAAGATGGGTGATGGGTAAAATGAGCTCATCTAAGCTACTCTGTCCCAACTTCTGATCCCATGAGAGGAGAATCCAGTCTGAAGCAGATTCTTGAATCAAGCAGGCCCCAGGGATTGCAGCTGGTAGCACCAGCACTTCCTCTGCCTCTACTTTTTTTTTTTTTTTTTTTTTTTTTTTTTTTTTTTTTACAAGTTAGACTGATAGTGATACTACTGGGTGCTGACAGACCTTGCAAGTTCGTCTTGCCAACTGCTCCTGCCAAAGCTGGAAGGTGAAAGAGCAGCAACAGATGCCACCATAGCAGCTGCAGCCATCTGCTAGAAGATAAAATGTGTTGCCAAGAACAGTGCTGGGGAGAGGAGAGGGGGAAAAAGAGGACATACTTGAACTGAGCCAGCAGTTCCAGCTTAGAATCCAGAGCATGGCAGAGCTAATAGGTGGTTTCTTGTTTACCTTTCCTAAGGTAATGCTCCCCACCTCACCATCTGCCATTCTGCCTTCTCCAACTCTGCTGTTTCCTGATGGTGAGCAATGCCCACTCCTCATTCACCATTTTTGAGAGTGCTTTACAGAAGAAGCAGCAGACCATTTGGCCCTGCCTTTGAAGCCCAGATTACATCAATATTGACCTTCTGGTTCTCTGAGCTCTTGTCAATTAAAATCAGTTTTCCTCTTTCTTGGATCCTTTTCAATTCCAACACAGAAGCTAATGCTGTGCAGATTTAGGTCTCCCAGATATAGAATTAACCATGATTTTGCTATTAATTTGCAGGAGGCCTAGAAAAAATTCTAGGGTACTGGATAAAAAATTTTAAAAGTTTGGATGAGCCAACTTCTCTAGACCTTAGTGTTCTCATTTCTAAAGTGGGAGACAGAATTATTAAATTCTAAAATTTATTGAACACTCAATAGGCACTAATCGAAGCATTTCATGTTTATTAACTTGTTTAAGCCTCACAACAGCTCTGAGAGGTAGGTATTATTATTATCCCTATTTTACAGATGAGAAAGTTGAAGCACAGAGTTTATATAACTTTACTGTGCAGCTAGAGGTGGTAGGATTCAATTCTACACAGCTGGGCTCCGGATTTTGTACTTTTCTCCATCGTGTTATACCGCCTCTACAGAATCCCTTCCAGTTTTAAGATTCTCTAACTTTTTCAGGACTCTAGCTTTTTCTTTTCATTGTGGTGGACGCCATTATTAGAGTTCAGGACTTTGAATAATTTTGCATTTTTATCTTGGTGGAAATGTAGCAAGTCATAGCTGGATTCTTCGGACTGTTTATATGCTAGCTTTCAACTTCTCTACTCTCAGATGCCCAGAACTGCCCATTATCTATACTGTGCCAGTCCCTCAACCTCCTTCAGAAGCATCCATTGACTTTTCAGTTCAAATGTCAAAACTTCTGCTACCTTCAAAGCTTTTCAACTAAATGATCTTATGCTGCATGTGTGATCTCATTGTTTTCTAGCATATTCTTCCTTTTAGGAAAACTTGTGTTCTTGTGTTGCTCTCTTCCCACTTCGCTTTGCACTTCAATGTTATCTGTTTACATAAGAAAAATACTGTTTTGTGTTGGTTTGCTTTACAGCTTACAATCTGCTTTCACGCACATTATTTCATTGGCTCCCACAACAAATCTATGAGGCATCTACCTGGGTTATCACAACCAGACATTGGACTACTTCCATTCGTGTCCACCTCAGATTCTTCCTCCTTATTGCTGCCAGAGGAATCTTTCAGGAAGGACAAATCTGTCCATATCACTCCCTGGTTTAAAATATGTCAGTGAGTTCTTATGCTGATAGGATCTTGCTGTTTTCTACCTTTCCAGCTCTTTTATCCTCACTCTTCTCTTCTCATCATATGACTCAGCAATGCCAAACCAAACACAGTTCCCAGAACCCACTGCAATATCTCACACTGCTGAGGTTTTGCTCTTGCTCCGTCTTGATCAGGACTTGCCCTCCCCTTTTGTTGCTTATCTAATTCCTACTGTCCTTTAGAAGTCTGGGCCAGCTCCTCCAGGCAGTTTCCCTGCCCCCTCCCCTGCTGCAAGATTACGCAGTCTAAGTGTGCCCATCCACATCCTAACATTTATTTTGTATTAAAATTATCTATTTGTTATGTGTCTTGTCTCCTCCTATTCCTGGAAAGCATAAGCTATATCAAATACACCTTTGAAGCTTTTGAATCCTAGGTCTTAGTGCTGCAGCATTCTGCTAATTAAAGTATGTTGACCTGCACTGAAGCCCCACTACATAGATCAGTAAACTGAGTCCGAAAAAGTTTCAATCAACTTCTGTAGGTATCGTGGCTAGAAAATGACAGAGCAGGCAGTAAACCTCTTGACTATCAATGCCTTAGGAATTTGGCCCAAACTGTTTTAAATGCATGGAATAATCTTTCTCCTATTTTACATGACAAGTCCTTTACCTCTATTTTCAAATAGTGTCTCGGATCTACCCTCTTCATCTATGTTCTCCCTCAAATCAAACTCTATTTACTAGATTAACTATTTTATACAATGTTTTCTCCATTTGTCTATAATCTTCTTCGGATCAGGAATTGCTGCTTCTTTCTTCTCTGACTCATTATCTAATAAAATGCACCCAATGGGACTCAGTCAGTGCTTGCCTTCTGACTGAAATACTTCAAAGCAAACCTCAGTACACATAAAAAGAAAGCACACTTGTACAGCTTGTGCAAATAGTGATTAAGCCCCATTGTGTCTAGGGCTAGGTCTGCTCTGGCTTTCCCCAATTTCCCCCAGTGTAAGCATGCTATGCCTGCTTTCCACTGCACCCCATTTCTCTGAGGCATCTTCACTTGGCTGGACAGTTCTAGCATTTGAAAGAGCATTAGCAGAGTTGACTTCCTTTTACTGTATAATGGAAAAAGCAAGGGCCTTGGAGTTAAAAGACCTTGGTTTGTTTTCCGGCTCTCTAGGCCCACAGTCTCTTATTTCAGTGTTGGGAATCAAAATAGTAGATGTTCTATTTAAGTTCCAGAGTTATTGTGTGATCAAGTAAGGTAATGAGATAATGCATGTGCAAACTATTTTTGTAATCCATCCTCACTATATAATCAGTCCTCATTATTTGTGAATTCTGTGTTTGCAAATTTGCCCAGTGCCTAAAATTTATGTGTAACCCCCAAATCAATACTCATGGCATTTCCACAGCCGTTGTCAGACATGTACCAGGCTGTGAAAAATTTGAGTTACTCCTCAACATTCGTGTTCCCAGCTGAGGGAGAAAAGGGTGACACTCCTTCTTGTTTTAGCTCTCATGCTATTAAGTATCCTTTTTTTTTTTTTTTTGCCAGATTTTGTTGCATTTTTGTGCTTTTTTATTGATGATTTTACTGTTTAAAATGGGCCCTGAGCTTACTTCTGAAGTGCTGTCTAGTATTCTAAGCACAAGAAGGCTGCAATGCCCCTTACAGAGAAAACACATATGTTAGAGAAGCTTCATTCAGGCATGAGTCATAGCACTGTGGGCCATGAGCACAATGTTAATGAATCAATTGTATATGTTACATAAGATGTCTTCAAACAGAAACACACATAAAACAAGGTTATGTTTTTATTCGTTGATTAAAATGTTATGAGCAGAGGCTTGCAGTAACCTAACCCTGTATTTTACCTAGGAGCCATGGCTCAGTGTTTGCTAATTCATTGTCCATAGTGACTTGGTGGAACATAATCAGCCCTAATAATTGGAATACATTGCATTCATTTGTAAGGGAATCTTCCCATTTGAGGTCACTTCTGTCTTGTCTCTAACCACTCCTAATCCTTAGCACCGTGTCTCTCAAACTATTTTTGCTCCTTAAGAATCATTGAGGAACTTATTAAAATGTAGAGAAGATTTGACATGTTCTCAATACAAAGAAATGACAAATGTTCAAAGTGATGGATATCCTAAGTACCCTGATTTGATTATTATACATTGTATGCATGAATCAAAATCTCACATGTACAAATATTATGTATTAGTAAAAAAAATATATAGAGTCCCAAGTCAACAACCCTGATTTTTTTTTTCTTTTTCTTTTTTTGGATGGAGTCTTGCTTTGTCACCCAGGCTAGAATGCGGTGGAGTGATCTTGGCTTACTGCAACCTCTGCCTCCCAGGTCAGGTTCAAGCGATTCTCCTGCCTCAACCTCCTGAATAGCTGGGATTATAGGCACTTGCCACCATGCCTGGCTAATTTTTGTATTTTTAGTAGAGACGGCAGTTTGCCATGTTGGCCAGGCTGGTTTCGAACTCCTGACCTGAAGCTATCCACCGGCCTCGGCCTCCTGCAGTGATGGGATTACATGTGTGAGCCACCGCTCCCAGCCCTGAACAGCTTTTGTTGCGAGTTCAGAAGCACATGTCAGGAGGCCCTGATGCATACAAGGCCTTGGGGAGTAGTGGGGTGAAGCTGCCAGAGTGTGGGTAGTGATGGGCTGATCAGGCTGGGGTCATTCAGTTTTCTGGAGTCTCTGTCCAACCTGATGCTCTGGGGGCCTTTCCTGATATAGGCCTGACCCAGATCCCTGCAGATGCCTTTTTCATATCTCACTGTAACTGCAGGAACCAGACATGGGGAAAGCCCTAAGAAAGAGGAGGGCGGGAAAAGCCACACTTTGTACCAGTCACTCAAGCCTTTTTTGTTTTGGAAGAACATGGGAATGTCATATTCTTCAACTTTTTACTAAATGGTCTCCTGAGACATGGGTGAGGAGGAACCAAATTGTAACCCTCTTGGCCTGCAGACTTCAGACTCAGCAGCAGTGTGGTCATTGCAATCACATTAATTCTTCATACCAGGATAAGAGCTAACACTGACCAATGCTTGAATCCATTACATTTTGTCAAGGGAATGCCAATTAGTTTTCTACAAGTATTTACTTTTCCAATTAATCTCTGCTCCCAAACACTAGAATATTTAGAGACTTTTTTTTTTTTTTAATGACAAGAACTTCAAGTTGTATTCAATGGGAAAACAAAATACTTTTTGAGAACCCTGGGACCCAGAGAGCAGTTAACCTCAGGCTTAGGGAAGAACAGTAAAGGATAGTTAGTCTTCATCGAATGGTGATGAAGGTGGTTGCAGTGGAAGAAGACGGGCTGTTGACATCAGACAGCGTGGGTTCAAATTCTGGCTTTGCTATTTTCTAGCAGTGGGGTCCTGCGAAAATAATCCCCAATCTCTTCAGTACTCCTCTTCTAGAAAAAATGAAGACAATGGCCTTGATAAAGATGAGGAAAGATACTGCAAAGTTTTCTAGCTGGGTACATCTGGAACATGATAAATGCTCCGTAAATGATAGTTATCCTCTCCTTCCTTCTTTCAACTTCCTGTACATGGAGGTTGCACAGGTTATATCATCTCTGTGGCCCTGGGCTGTGCTACAAGTTCTAGATGAAGTGCCTACTCTCTCTCTCCTCCCTTTCCCCATTCTTTCATAACTTCTTCCATTTCTCTAGAGCCTTAGTGTAAATAGTCTTACATGATGAACTGATTCTGTGCTAATGTGATCATAGTATGACTCCTCAAGGCAACAGTTTCGTTTTACCAGGGAGTTTTTGGAAATAAATGTCGGGAATTTCTGGGTGTCTTGGGTTGAGAATGGGGGCATCTCCTAAATCAGCAGATGCTTAGCATGTGTTGGTGAAGACTGGCCTTGACTGGGATACCTCATTTATCTCACTTGCATTGCTGAAAGATGATTCAGCCTTGAAGAGAGAAGGCTGGGATTCCTGATTCTGGAACATGACTGTCCTAATTATAAATCTTGGCTTTATCAAGTACTGTGTCAACTTAGGCAAATGGTCTTTCTGAGCCTCAGGTTTCTCACCTGTAAAATAGGGATAACAATACTTATCTTTTAGAGTTTTTGTGAGGGTAGGAAATATTTTATGGAAATGTCTGTCTCACAGTATGAGATCAGCAAATGGCCACCTCTATTATAGATCAGTGAAAGGGTGAGGTAGATGCGGCTGACAGCTGGTAGGCTCAGAGGGCATGAGCTAGGTCTATAGTTTTCAACTAGTAATTCTGTAATTAGTTGTGGTAATCTGGTGGCATGGTAATTTCAGGATGACTGAAAGCCAATTTTTCTCTACTAACAGTTAAAGAACCAATATTTGGAAAACTTTTTGAACATCATTCTCATTTATGTGTCTTCTGATAAGCTTTCTTGAGTGAGAGAGAAAGGTATGGATTAATAGTCATTTACCTGGAAAGTATGAATATGAGAATATACCTTGTATGTGAACATCCTTTATTGGCAAAAATCAGTATGTTTGATTACATCAATGCTAAGAGTTTCTGTTAAAGGAAGTGCACCATAGACAGAGTTAACAGAGAAATAATAGACTGGGAAGAGATGTTTGTGATGTCTAGAATCAAAAGGCAATTAATATCTAAAATAAAGAGTTTCTTTATGTCACTGGAAAAAGACAGGTGCCACAACAGCAAGTGGGAAAAAAACCAAACAAACCCAAATGTTTCAAAAATAGATGCAATGACTTAAACCCATGAATAATCAGAGATGTAAAAATTAAAACAACCACTTCACTCTTTTTTAAATCTGTGTGTAAATTGGATGGCATCAAGTGTTAGGAAAGAGGTGGGGAAGCGGGACCCTTATTCGTGACTGGTAGGATTGTGAACTGCTAGAGGCATTGTGTGAAGCCATCTGGCAGTCTTTGGTGAAGTCAAGTCGGCCTCTACCCAGCAATCCCATCCTCAAGAAAATATGCCAGAAAAATCTTCATGCAAATCTACAAGGAGGCATGGCTGAGAAGATTGAACATTTGTAGTAGTGAGGAGTTCAGGCTATGAACTTCTTTGATGGATGCTTTCTATGGACTATTCTGTAGCAGTTGGGAGCAAGAAGCACACATCCCAACATAGATAAACCTTAAAACTGAGATATCAATTAAAAAAGGTAAAAGGAATGAGGTTTGTTATGCTATAATATTTAGGTAACTTAAAGATAAAAGTATATGAGTTTGCAAGAAAAAAAATTTTTAAGGAAGCAAATGGATGTGGTCCTTGATTTCTTGGCATATCCAGCTTTTGAAGTTTAATTTCTAAAAATGCATATGGAAATATTACATAAACTTTCCTTAATAGATGTGTAACTTTTTTAATCAGATGTGTTTTTAATGTGTAAAAACTATTAATGTTTCTAAAAATCTAAATGCATTAAAAGTTTAAGTGAAGTATATGGGAGAAGCCCATCTTTTTTAAAACAGCAGAAAATTATGGTGTGAATTATATTAATAATTATTACCATGTTTGTTTATTAATTTTTTTGGATCTAGAATTTATTAATACAAAACACATGGACATTACCTGAATAACAGAGGGAATGACCGTTCATTCAATGAAGCTCTTCATGTCCTCTCAAAGATTTTATCTTATGCCTCATTTTTCTTGGAGGATTATCGAGGGATGATGAAGTTACAGGGAACAAAATAAAGGTGAGCTGTAATGGGCTCATTCAAAGTGGATGCTGTCCTCTTCACATAGATTTCCTAAAGATGGATTAGGAGAAGTAAATGAATGTATGTTTATGTGATCAAAATTCACCCTTATCCTGAATGAAATAAATAGGCATGTTCAGAGGAGTGTGCAGGGAGGCGACTGGTTACAAGTATGTTGCCTGAGAACTGGCAGAGATGAAGGCTGGGCTGACATGGGGCAGGATCATCTCAGATGGAAGCCAGAGAGGCAGAACATTTTCATGCAGGTCACTACACATGTTTGACACTAAATTCAAAGTAATGACTGAAGCAACTGGCACCATTTAAAATAACGAGCCAGAGTCATCCACCAAGAAGCTGAAATGATGGCAGCACCATTTTTGTGGTAAGAAGACACGAATCTCAAGGTCAGCGATTCCTATTAAAGGGTGACATCTGCCTGTCATTTCAGGGTGATCTAGCATCTGTGTATCATTCAAGAGTAAAGGAATAGCACTTGATAGTGCAGTGTTGAGTGCCTTACATGTTTACAGCTACAGACTTCTGTTGCACTCAGCTCAGTTCCTCAGTGGCACCAGGGGCTGGCAACTG
Source organism: Homo sapiens (assembly GCF_000001405.40). Taxonomy (NCBI): domain Eukaryota; kingdom Metazoa; phylum Chordata; class Mammalia; order Primates; family Hominidae; genus Homo; species Homo sapiens. Next base: position 109,308,957 of record NC_000011.10, read on the forward strand.
GCAGCAATTATGGAATCTATGAGATTATATGTCATTCATTATGTAATGGATATTTATCAGTTACTTTGGTAGCCCAGCATCTTCTTTTGCTTGGGACTATATTAACCTGTGTTCTTCTGTAAAAGCTTGAAATGCAAGTTGTTTAGCTATTGAATTTCCCAGATTCTCTTGTGTATAACTTAGGCTCCAATAACCAGATGCAGCTGCCTTGAATTTTGAAATTAAGAATTAGAAGTGCAAAAAAGGCTGGGATGGAGGAACATGAGGATTAGTAATAAGAGTTTTCAGAGGCACAAGAGGAATAACAGTGCAGTGGCTGTAACTGACTAGTGCCTATGGTGGTGGTGGTTGCAGCTGAGGTTTGTAGAGTTTAGAGGTGACAGTGTTGACAGTGGTCTGGTTTTATGGTATGAGAATTTTGGCGGTGGTCCAGGTTAATGCACTAGCTTCCCTTGCTCTTGAATGTTACCCAAGCCTGAATTTCCTGGCAATTATACATTACCTAATACTGTTTCAATAGATTTATTTTCTGCTTATGTCAGCCAGAGTTGGTTTCTGCTGCAACCAATAAAGCTGACTGATACAGGATGCATATCCAGGTTTCAGATGCAAATTGCTTTCTGGAATCAAGTGTGTGACCTATGGTTTGTCATGATGTGTCTCTGAAAGGGTCTAAAACCATTTTATAAATAGTTTATCATCATTGACTTTTAGATTCCATGATGTCAACATCACACCTATAAATCACTGACTAAATTCATATTTAATGTGTACCCACTATGTGCCAGAAATTGTGCCAGACAATAGGGATACGATGAGAGATGGTTCTTTGTTTCATGGTGCTCACTCTTTGAGAAGGGAGATGGGCAAGAAAATGGACAGTTGCAATATACTTACTATGAAAGGACAGCAGCTATAAGAGCATCTAGGAGGATCATCTAACCCAGCCTTGTGCGGGCGGGATAACTATATATAGCATATCTTTGCATGAATGTTCTGCTGTTGTCTTAAATTCATCTTTATTTTCTTCCTTCTTTCCCATTACTTTATTTGCTTGTTTTCGTATTTCCATCATGACTCCATTATTCTCCAAGTCACCTAGACCCATGCCTGGAGGATAATTCTTTTGCCTTCTGTGTTCATTTAGTTACCAAAATTGCAAGTGTGTACATGTGTGTACCAAAATTCCATGTGTGTACATGCAAACCACACCTGAAATAATAGTTTCTTGAAACAATATTTTACTCTATGTAATGGTTTCTATTTTCTATCCCATTCTATTTCATGTTTTTAAAAATGCTACTTTTAACCTATAAATTAATTTCATGACCCACTAGTGTTCTATTACCCATTCTTAAAAATACTCTAATCTCTTCTATATGTTCAAACTGTTACTTCAAACTAGGTCCTTTATTTTTATTTATGCATGACTCCCCCATAGCAAAAGCAGCAGTATCAATAACAAACCCACCTTCCTTCAACACACTTTACCTTAATGTCTAGCCTTCTCATCCCAGGCCAGAGGATCTTTATTTTCTTTTTCTTCATTCACTTAAATTTAGTTTCGTCACTGATATGCCACAGAAACTGCTTTTGCTAAGCTCACAGCTCACAAGCTGCCTCCATATCTCTAAATCCAGTGGATAGAGTCTTTCTCTTGCTGGGCATCTCCCTTCTTCAGAAATCCTTGTTAACACGGTTACATTGATCCCTATCTATTGGGTTTCCTTTTATTTCTCTGTTCTCTCCTTCTTACAAGATCTTTTTAGGCTCATCTGCCTTCATCTGGCTATTCAAAATTTCTCAAGACTCAAATCTGGGTTTTTAAAATCATTCACTAGACTTATGCTCACAGCTTTAATTTCCATGTATATGCTGATATCTCTCAAATGGACATCATCTGCCCCAGAGTTTCTCAACCTTGACACTTGGAGCTAGATGATTCTTTGTTTTGGGGGGCTATCCCATGCATTGTAGGATGTTTAGCAACATCCCTGGCCTCTACCTACTAGACACAAGTAACAACTGCTCCCTCCTCCAGTTGAGATTACCAAAATGTCTCCAAACATTGTCAGTTGTCCTCTGGGGGGCAAAATCATTCCAATTGAGAATCACAGTGCTTCCCTGACCTCTTTATTTTTCAACTACCTAATCAACATTTCCACTTGGATGTTTCAAATACACCTCCAATTTACCCATCAATCCTTGTCCTTTTCTGAGAATCCCTTCATCTAATGTCTTAAGACAGAAAACTAAAAGTTAAGCTTCACAGCTTCCTCTCCTTCTCCCTCACCACCCCAGTATCTATTATCGAGTTCAGTCTATTTAGTCTGCTAAATATCTCTCTTGAATTTGTTCACCTTCTTCCTCTCATCTTTTAACTCTTTCCAAATGATCTTGTTTTTATTAATGTCATCACTATTCTTTCCTTCCAAGCTCGAAATTCTTGGAAATCATTAGAAATTAAAAAACTCTTGGCTCTTTCCTTTCTATGTTCCCCTCTAACTGCTCTGTGCAAGTTTTATTATTTTTCTCCTTAAAAAAAAATCTTCCAAATTTTCACTTTCTTGGTACTGACCCTTGCCACTTCAAACTTGAATATCAATAGCCTTCTCACTACTTTCCCTGGCTCCAGTCTCTCCCCTCCCCTTCTAATACAGCTATAAACCCCAAGATATCTTGCTGAAATTCTCTCCATTATTTTAAAGTTCCATGTTCTTATTCATTCCTCTACTCAATAACCAAAGCATGGATCCTGAATTTTTCTTTGTTTAGATTCTTCAGCTTGATTTTTTATAGTTGTTCCTAATTTGATACCTCCCTATCAGAACCTATTACTAACCCCCACCCAAATATGTCCTCTGCTACTGACATACTGATTTGTTCACCAATATCTTGTCTGGATATTTGCACTTGTTGTTCTCTCCACCTGCAACTCTACCTTCTGTTCCAACTACTGAAGTCATTTTCTCTGAGGCAAGCTCAATAAATCTTTCATCAGCTAATCTAGCCCACAGAGTACCCTTTCCTCACTAATCTCCCATTTAAACTTTTAATCAATACCAAATTGGTTCTCAAATGCTTACTTTTTAAAAAATTTCATGCACCCTAGGTTTTCTACTCCCAACTTGATTGCAAGTTTATTGGAACCAAGGTTCTCATCTTATATGTCATCTGCATTTCCCATTACATTGATCAGAATGGCCAGCACATAGTACATGTTTAGTAAGTATTTTAATAAATGTTGCTAGGTTTCAAAAGCCTTCTAAAGAAGACATAGAGTCTTTTTCAGTTAATTTTTTCACAGGAAATTCTTTTTCACACTTTCCCAGACTTCTTTCTTTTATGGCTTAAACCTCATTGTTTTATTTTGAATTCAAATAAATAAAAACAAAATGCTAGATTTTTATGAACAGAAAAACCTATGTCCTTCTTTCACCTTCTTGCAGTGATGGGTTGTTTTTTTCTAATCTCATTGCAGTGAAGATTTAAATGCCTTTATTTAAAAAATTTACTTTCTTGTTGCAAAGTTTGGGACTGTTCTCTTGAACTTGCTTCTGGAATCCATTTTTTTTCTTTATAAATGAGAAATAAGGAACCAAAGTATCATTGGAAGCCAATTACTCTTGGGGTCAATGTCTTCCGAACAAATATGATCTCAGGAGAATGAGCCTATCTCAGAATAGAAGGCGAAGATTCTGATTAGGCTCCCAGATTCATTTTCTATGGGGTGAGTTTTAATATTTGAAGGTGAGAAAGGTGAACTCAAGCTGAGCACAGTGTATGAAAAAAGACTACTTTTGCTAAGCAAATTACCTTGGAGATGATTCAGCCTTGAATTCAGGAAGAGTTGTGCTGGCTCTCAGAGGAGAAGGCCGAGGGGAAACTGCAGTTTCTGCCAGTGAGATGTCAGTTATCCATTCATGCTCATCAATCAATATTGGATGTCAGAAGTGAAACTGAATGTCCTGATTACCCTGATGATGGCTAGGAAAATAAAGATATCCTGGAGAATGGCTAGAAGCAGAGAAGGCTTTAGTTTAAACACTCTCCCGTAGAGATGAATTCTGCAATACTTTTCCTAGGATCATGGTTAATATTCGTTCTCCAACATTTGTAAAGGAACTCAAATAATTTTGCAAATATCATCCCATTTACTGCATTTTTTTTTTTTGCAAAAGAAATACATGTGCTGGGCTCTTTTACTGATTTTGGATGTAAGTGCACAACTTTCATCTTCAGACTTAAATAACATTTATCCAGTACTTAACATGTGCCAGACACTGTGCTGGTTTTGCAGTTGCAGCTTTCATTCCGTTTCTCAGCAACTTTGTGAAGTAGATATTAGAATTCCCATTTTACAGATAAGATAATTAAGGCTCAGAAAAGTTATGCAGCTTTTCAAAGACATCTCTTAAGAATCAGGTTCTGTTTTTTGTTTTTTTTTTTTTAAGGAATTTACTGTATTTCAAATGCAATACAACAAAACATTCCATTATGGGAAAGATCACAGCTCTGATGGTCTTTACACTTATTTTATAATTTAGTATTTTAAAAAAATCTTGAGTTGCATGTGGAGAGACACCATAATATTTCAGTGCATTTTAGAAACAGTTTGTTATTTTAGTTTATTTTTAAATTAATTTTTTTATTATACTTTAAGTTCTAGGGTACATGTGCACAACGTGCAGGTTTGTTACGTATGTATACATGTGCCATGTTGGTGTGCTGCACCCATTAACTCATCATTTACATTAGGTATATCTCCTAATGCTATCCCTCCCCCCTCCCTCAACCCCATGACAGGCCCCGGTGTGTGATGTTTCCCACCCTGTGTCCAAGTGTTCTCATTGTTCAATTCCCACCTATGAGTGAGAACATGCGGTGTTTGGTTTTCTGTCGTTGCGATACTTTGTTCAGAATGATGGTTTCCGGCTTCATCCATGTCCCTATGAAGGACATGAACTCATCGTTTTTTATGGCTGCATAGTATTCCATGGTGTATATGTGCCACATTTTCTTAATCCAGTCTGTCATTGATGGGCACTTGGGTTGGTTCCAAGTCTTCGCTATTGTGAATAGTGCCGCAATAAACACACATGTGCATGTGTCTTTATAGCAGCATGATTTATAATCCTTTGGGTATATACCCAGTAATGGGATGGCAGGGTTAAAGGGTATTTCTAGTTCTAGATCCTTGAGGAATCACCACGCTGTCTTCCACAATGGTTGAACTAGTTTACAGTCCCACCAACAGTGTAAAAGTGTTCCTATTTCTCCACATCCTCTCCAGCACCTGTTGTTTCCCGACTTTTTAATGATCCCCATTCTAACTGGTGTGAGATGATATCTCATTGTGGTTTTGATGAACATCGATGCAAAAATCCTCAATAAAATACTGGCAAACCGAATACAGAAGCACGCCAAAAAGCTTATCCACCATGATCAAGTTGGCTTCATCCCTGGGATGCAAAGCTGGTTCAACAGATGCAAATCGATAAACATAATCCAGCATATAAACTGAACCAAAGACAAAAACCACACGATTATCTCAATAGATGCAGAAAACGCCTTTGACAAAATTCAACAACCCTTCATGCTAAAAACTCTCAATAAACTAGGTATTGATGGAACATATCTCAAAATAATAACAGCTATTTATGACAAACCCATAGCCAGTATCATACTGAATGGGCAAAAAATGGAAGCATTCCCTTTGAAAACTGACACAAGAGAGGGATGCCCTCTCTCACCACTCCTATTCAACATAGTGTTGGAAGTTCTGGCCAGGGCAATCAGGCAGGAGAAGGAAATAAAGGGCATTCAATTAGGAAAAGAGGAAGTCACATTGTCCCTGTTTGCAGATGACATGATTGTATATTTAGAAAACCCCATCATCTCAGCCCAAAATCTCCTTAAGCTGATAAGCAACTTCAGCAAAGTCTCAGGATACAAAATCAATGTGCAAAAATCACAAGCATTCCTATACACCAATAACAGACAAACAGAGAGCCAAATCATGAATGAACTCCCATTCACAATTGCTTCAAAGAGAATAAAATACCTAGGAATCCAACTTACAAGGGATGTGAGGGACCTCTTCAAGGAGAACTACAAACCACTCCTTAACGAAATAAAAGAGGACACAAACAAATGGAATAACATTCCATGCTCATGGATAGGAAGAATCAATATTGTGAAAATGGCCATACTGCCCAAGGCAATTTATAGATTCAGTGCCATCCCCATCAAGCTACCAATGACTTTCTTCACAGAATTGGAAAAAACTACTTTAAAGTTCATATGGAACCAAAAAAGAGCCCGCATTTCGAAGACAATCCTAAGCCAAAAGAACAAAGCTGGAGGCATCACGCTACCTGACTTCAAAGTACACCACAAGGCTACAGTAACCAAAACAGCATGGTACTGGTACCAAAACAGAGATATAGACCAATGGAACAGAACAGAGCCCTTAGAAATAATACCACACACCTACAACCATCTGATCTTTGACAAACCTGACAAAAACAAGCAATGGGGAAAGGATTCCCTATTTAATAAATGGTGCTGAGAAAACTGGCTAGCCATATGTAGAAAGCTGAAACTGGATCCCTTCCTTACACCTTATACAAAAATTAATTCAAGAGATGGATTAAAGACTTAAATGTTAAACCTAAAACCATAAAAACTCTAGAAGAAAACCTAGGCAATACCATTCAGGACACAGGCATGGGCAAGGACTTCATGACTAAAACAGCAAAAGCAATGGCAACAAAAGCCAAAATTGACATATGGGATCTAATTAAACTAAAGAGCTTCTGCACAGCAAAAGAAACTACCATCAGAGTGAATAGGCAACCTACAGAATGGGAGAAAATTTTTACAATCTATTTATCTGTTTTTTTTTTTTTTTTTTTTTTTGAGACGGAGTCTCGCTCTGTCGCCCAGGCCAGACTGCGGACTGCAGTGGCGCAATCTCGGCTCACTGCCAGCTCCGCTTCCCGGGTTCACGCCATTCTCCTGCCTCAGCCTCCCGAGTAGCTGGGACTACAGGCGCCCGCCACCGCGCCCGGCTAATTTTTTGTATTTTTACTAGAGACGGGGTTTCACCTTGTTAGCCAGGATGGTCTCGATCTCCTGACCTCATGATCCACCCGCCTCGGCCTCCCAAAGTGCTGGGATTACAGGCGTGAGCCACCGCGCCCGGCCCTTTTTTTTTTTTTTTTTTTTTTTGTATTTATCTGATAAAGGGCTAATATCCAGAATCTACAAATAACTTAAACAAATATACAAGAAAAAAATCAAACAACCCCATCAAAAAGAGGGTGAAGAATATGAACAGACACTTCTCAAAAGAAGACATTTATGCAGCCAACAGACACATGAAAAAATGCTCATCATCACTGGCCATCAGAGAAAGGTTCTGGTTTTAAATTCATGTTCTTTGAATCCCAGTTTCATATTTGTTCCTTCCTGCCCTGGACAAAGTCCTGTAAATGTGCCAAATCCTGGTCAGGTGCAGTGGCTCACACCCATAATCCCAGCATTTTGAGAGGCCAAGGAAGGAGGATTGCTTAAGGTCAGGATTTTGAGACCAGCCTGGGCAACATAACAAGACCTCATCTCAAAAAAAAATAAAAATAAAAAAAGCCAGATGTGGTGGTGTGTGCCTGTAGTCCTAGCTACTCAGGAGGCCAAGGGGGGAAGATTGCTTGAGCTTAGCAGTTTGAGGCTGCAGTGAGCTAAGATCAGGCCACTGTACTCCAGCCTGGGCAACAGAGTGAGATCCTGTCTCTCAAAAAAAGTGCCAAATCCCATGAAGCTGGGGGTTCTTTCTAGCTTAAAACTGACAACCACTTCAGGTAAAGTGAGTATGGTCTTCTATGTTTCTCTGTTTCTTGTATGTGAACTAAGTAGGGTATAAACCATGTAATTTCAGGTCATACTAACTGACTGGAGACCTCATCCTGGAATTTGATTTAAAAATTTTCAGAGTATGTGAACTCACACACTTGTCTGTAACTTCATGTGGTAAAATAGTCCTAGCCAATTGTAGACCAGGGCTCTAACATTTGAGGACCTCAAGACACATGAAAGGCTGTAGATGAGTTTGATTGATCAATACTGATATTGTTTGGCTGTTTTCCCACCCAAATCTTATCTTGAATTCACACGAGTTGTGGGAGAGATCTGGTAAGAGCTAATTGAATCATGGGGGCAGGTCTTTCCTGTGCTGTTCTCGTGACAGTGAATTTCACAAGATCTGATGGTTAATATAAGGGGGAGTTTTCCTGCACAAGCTCTCTTTGCCTGCTGCCATCCATGTAAGATGTGCTTGCTTGCTCCTCCTTGCTTTCTGGCATGATTGTGAGGCCTCCCTGTCATGTGGAACTGTAAGTCTAATTAAACCTCTTTCTTTTGTAAATTGCCTAGTTTCTGGTATGTCTTCGTTGGCAGCATGAAAACAGACTAATACAAATACAGTGTGCTTTTATTTGTTTTAAATAGTTTTGAGATCACTGTTAAGTAGGGAAGATATTCCCATAAGTTTGTTGCTGCCCTCATTACTCCCTAATCATTAGCTATAGCCAATTTATACCACTTCGTGACCTACCTGATCCCTGAATTTATGATTAAAGTCTTCAGAATCTGTTACAATTTCCCTTTGGGACCCAGTCATTTCATTGCCTGACAATGCCAGAATTTATCTCTTTAAAGGACAGTATAACCATCCAATTGATTACTTTTGCTATAGGCTAGACTCTGCTAAAAGCAGGGGGTAGAGTTATATATAAGGCATAGTTCTTAGTCCCCAGGAGCTAACAGTGCAGTGAGGGAGATGATTTATGATATAAAAATATATGATGCAACACAAGAGGTACACACAGGTAAATAGCTACACTACTCAAGAGGTATGCACAGGTAAAGAGTGAAGGCTTTAACAACGCATATGTTTTGAAATGTGTCTTGAAATTAGAGTAGTTGTTTTCCAAAGAGGTAGGCAAGAAAGGACATGCTTGACAAATGCCAAAGCATAAATGTATCAAAGGACATGGCCTGATGGAGTAAGAGCAAACTATCTTGTTGTAGTTGTGATGTCATGTGCATGAGAATAATGGTGAAAGTTGAAATAAGAAAGGGGAATATTATACAGAATACAAAGGACCTTGTATGTTGTGTTAAGTTTAGACTTTACAGGTAATGGGGAATTATGACATGATTTTAACTGAGGAGTGCTATGGTTGAAATGTTTATTCCCTCCAACACTCACGTTGAAATGTAATTGTCATTGTAAGAGTATTAAGGAATGGGACCCTTAAGAAGTGATGAGGCCATGAAGGCTCCATCCTTATGGGTGAGATTGGTGCTTTTATGAAAGGGTGAGTTTGGCCGCCCTTGGTCTCCCTTCCTTACCCTTTCACTTTCCACCATGTGATGATGCAGCAAGAAGGCCATTTCAAAATGCTGACACCTTGATAGTGAACTTCCCAGCCTCCAGAACTGTGACTCAATAAACTGCTGTTCATTATAAATTACCCAGTTTCAGATATTCTATTATAGAAGCACAAAATGAACTAAGACAAACAAGTAACATGACCAAATTTGTGTTTTTGGAAGAAACTCATTGCAGTTAAAAGTAGAACGGAGAAAGAATCAAGGAATGGATAATGTTAGGAGCTTATTCAATAGCCTAGATGAAGAAATGAGGGCTTGAACTAAGGAAGTGGCAAAGGGTAAGAAGGGGTATAGTTTCAAGGAATTAATAAGCAGTAGAAGGAACCATATTGAGTAAATGATAGAGAAGAAAGCCTAGGTACAGTGATCCAATCCAAAAATGGACTGCTGCTGCACAATGGTCTCGCCTGGGGTGACCATAAGAAGCAGCGGTAAGGGAAATGTTCTCCCAGTGGATAGAGCTTTGGGTAGTATACTTGACAATCCACTTTGTAGAGAGAAACAGCCCAAGAGAAGGCTATACACAAACTCACAGGCAGTAGCCAATGGTTTGGTTGGTTTATCAGAGCTCTGGAATGAGCAGTATAGGAAGATTGGAGACAAGAAATTCTCGGGAAGATAAATGCAGAGTGACTTATTGGAGTGGATACAAAGTATAATAATCTTTGTATCATATGTCCAGAAGATATCTCCTGTGGAAGACCACAAAACAACAAACAGACAAGATGATATAGAGAAGATATCAATCAGACCCTGTTCTTGGCCCTCCTTGTATTAGCACCATAGGTTCCTGAAGAAAGTAGATAAAGTTCTAGAGAAGAAAGCCCTACATGGGCCTAACAGCATGGGCTTCTTCTCACTAAAGCTGATTTAACTACTGTGGCTGCTGAGAATCTGACCTGCCAGCCACAGAGACCAATGCTGGATTGCTTGATACAATATAAAACCCTGAGGATATCCACTAGTCATTTGGAGGCAACTTTGATTAATTTAACCCATTCTACCTTAGGGAGAAAAACCATTTCATTCTGACTGGGATTGACACACATTTCAGGCATGGATTTACCTTCCTGCCTGCAGTGCCTCAGCTTAGTGCCACTGGCTGAGGTCTCACAAAATGTCAGATTTTCTTGTATTGGAGGCCATATCACATTGTCCAGGACCAAGAGATAATTTCACAGCAAAGGGTTATGGCAGTAGACACACGGCCAGAAAATCTGTTGGTCCTTCCACTTACCACACTATCCAAAACTCTCCAGTGTGCCAAGTGGAAGGCACAGCTGAGACATCTTCTTAGGGTGATAACTTTTGAGGATGGGTGTTATCCTTCTAGATGTGGTTTACACTTTAAATCTGAGGTCATTTTGTCGTGGTGTGACTGTAGTACCTGGATCCAAGAATCAAGGAATGAAAGTGGGAGTGATGCCACTCACTCTCATTCCCAGAAAAATATTTGTGAATTTTGTGTTTCTTAACATTTTAAGTTGGTGTGATTGTAAGTTTGACTTTTAAGTTTGTGTGCTTAGAGGTCCTGTATTTCAGAGGAGGTGCACATCCTCCAGGAGACAGAGTGAGAATCCCACAAAATTTAAAACTACAGCTGCCACTTGGTCACCTTGGGATCCTGGTGTTAGAAAACCGTTAAACTAGGGTAATTTAATCTGATCATCATGAAGAGGCTGGACTACTGCTGCATAATGAGAGCATAGAATAATATGTTTAGGACTTAAGTGTTCCACTGGGGTGTCTTTTAAGTTAATGGAAAGCACAGCAACTATGGTCTGATAAAGACAAGATCTCCAGAGGGCTCAGAACCCTCAGGAAGAGGCTCTGGATCATCCCACCAGGAAAACCACCTGGACCAGCAGAAGTGCCAGTGAAGTGGAAGGGAATCTAATATGGGTAGTGAAGGAGGGAGATGATGAGTTTCAGTTCTCAAGACCAACTATAGCAGTGGGGGTAGTAGTTCCTGCCACTAATTCTTCTTTCAGAAGCTTTCTAGAATTTGTGAGCAGCTAGAGTCCTAGAGAAGCTATGCCTAGATAGTGTGAACTTAATGTGAGAAGCAAGTAGATCTGAGTGTACAAATATTGGATTAGATACCTTACCCTGCCTCGATCCCTTTCACTGGTGCATCAACCCCACAGTTGCTGTAAGTTCTGGTTGCTAAAAGCTTACAGTTGCCCTTTCTCCAGACAATTGTCCCCTGCTGGACAGAAGCCATGTTGCCCGGGAGGTATCTCCCCAACCCCTGTCCAGGAGAAGCCAGCAACCAATGACTGAATCACATGGGAATGTAAGAGGCTGGTCACCTTGACTCAAGGTGCCACCACTAGTCTCTAGGAAAGAACACATTCTTGCTTAGGATTTTCTCCTATCTGGCTTTCCTCACTTCCTTTCTCATGAAAGCTGGCTACTAATAAATCACTTGAACAAGAACCCTAATCTGTCTCTGACTCATAGGAACCTGGCTTGAGTCAGAAGATCTGGCATAAGGGATAAATGTGGAGTAAGAAGCCCATAAGTAATAACAGATAATGTAAATGGAGGAGAAAGCTCAGGGGGAGCAGGTGAAATAAGAAGAGTAGTAAAGATGAGCTTTAAGGAGCACTTGTTTTGGATGGTAGTTAAGAAAAAGAAATTAAAATAGAAGACAGTGAAAGAGAGGAAGAAGGAAACAGCAAGTAGTGGAAAAGGGTGAGTGTATTTCAGGTCTCATCAACATCCCTGAATAATAGCAATAGACTCCTGTTGCTATTATTTATTTACTCCTGTCTTCTTTGTTTTTTCTCTTTCTTTCTCTCTCTCTTTCTCTCTCTTTTTTTTTTTTTTCAGACAGAGTCTAGCTCTGTTGCCCAGGCTGGAGTGCAGTGGCATGATCTTGGCTTTACTGCAACCTCCATTTCCTGGGTTCAAGCGATTCTTGTGTCTCAGCCTCCCAAATAGCTGGGATCACAGCATGCACCACCGTGCCTGGCTAATTTTTGTACTTTTAGTAGAGACAGGGTTTCGCCATGTTGGCCAGGCTGGTCTCAAACTTCTGGCCTCATGTGATCTGCCTGCCTCTGCCTCCCTAGGTTCTGGGATTATAGGTGTGAGCCACCATGACTGGCCTTATTTATTTATTTTTCTGAGGTAGGGTCTCACTATGTCACCCAGGCTGGAGTGGAGTGGTGCAATCATGGCTCACTGGAACCTCAAACTCCTGGGATTATGGGATCCTCCCACTTCAGCCTCTCAAGTAGCTGGGACTGTAGGTGTATGCTACTGCACCTGGTTAATTTTTTTTTTAGTAGAGACATTAAATATGTTGGCCAGGTTGTTCTTGGATTCTTGGCCTCAAGCAATTCTCTCACCTCAGCTTCCCAAAGTGCTAGGATTACAGGCATGAGCCACCACACAGAGCCTTTTTTTTTTTTTATGGGCGGGGTGGGGGGTTGGGTACAAATGGGGTCTTGCTTTGTTGCCCAGGCTGGTCTCAAACTAAACTCCTGGGCTCAAGCGATCCCACCCACCTTGGCCTCCCAAAATGCTGTGGTTACAGACATGAGCCACTGCACCCAGCCCAACTCCTGTTTCAGATGCAGAAGCCAAAGGGGAGAGTTTTTACAAAAAGATTGACAAGCATCTTTGTGAGGGGTGAGAACTGTCAGATGTGATAATTGGAAATTCACTGGTATTCTCTGAGGGAATAGTTTATATTTACTCAAGAAACTCTATGTCTTTATGGATCAGTTGATATTTATGACACCCTTCATGGGGTTCTATGCTGTGCTTCACCTGATTCTCAACTCTGTTTAATATGCGGAGTTTTCCCTAAACTCAGGTTGTAGGTGTAGGGGTCAAGCAGAAGAAGGTGAAAGATTTCTAGTGTCTGCTGCCCATGAAAATTGGTCCATGAAAACAAGATGGATTATTTAATAAGTGATGTTGCAAAAATGTCTGGCCATCTTTAAAAAGAAGAAGAAAAAGCAAGAAAAAGAAAAAGTGAGCTTTAAGCTCACTTCTTACATTTAAATGAATTCCACATGGACCAAAGATTTAAACAGGAAAAATGAACTATAAAAGTCTCAGGGGAAAAAAATAGACAAACTTTTTATAGCTTTAGAGTGGGGAATGTCTATCTAAGTAAAGCAAACTCAGAAACTGTAGATGAAAACAGCACATTAAAACAAAATTTTCCGTAGGACAAAAATAACAATATTTAATATTAGCTAAGGTTTGAATACTGTATAGTCTGTGTTTTTCAATTATTATTTATTCCGCTGCACAAATGTTTGAGGTTAATATTCTTGCTATCTTCATTCTATTTTAAGGCAACAGAGGTCCAGAAAGATTAGCTAAATTTCATAACCGTACAAAATTATAAGTGATAGATTCAGAATTCCACTCACGTGATATGCTTCCAGAGCCTGCTGTACTTTTAAGTTATTTTGAAAAGTTTTAGATGTACAGAAAATTAAGAAAATTGTACAGTGAACTATATATCCTTCACTCAGCTTCTTCTAATGTTGACATTTTACATAACCATAGTACTATTGTTAAAACTAAGAAGCTAGTATTGGTATAATACTATTGACTGAGCTACGAACTTTACTCAGATTTCCTTAGTTTTTCATAACATCCATTTTCTGTTCCAAGATTTAATCCCAAATCTGACATTGCATTGAGCTGTGATGTCTTCATTGTCTCCTGCAAGTTGCAACATTTTCTCTGTCTTTTCTTGTCTTTCATGACCTTGACACTTTCGAACATTACTGGCCAGGTATTTTGTAAAATTTTCCCCAATTAGTATTTATCTGATATTTTCTGATGATTAGATTGTGGTTATGCCCTTTTGGCAAAAACATAAATGAATATATACAGTTTTACTGTACTCACATCTGGAGTATGTGATGTCAATATGTCTTATTGCTGGTGAGGTTAATCTTTATTACTCAGTTAGGATGACACCTGCCAGGTTTCTCCAGTGTAAAGTTACTATTTTCCCCTTTTGAACTAATAAATATTTTAGAGGCAATATCTTGACTCTATGCAAGTATCTTGTTTCTCTTTCAGTTTTTTTCCACTAGTTTAGCATTCATCTGTGAGTCTTGCTTGCGGCAATTATTGCTGTAGTTTTCTAATGGTGATATCTTTACTCCTTCTACACTAACTAATTTGAATTCTTCTATAAGAAGGAGTTTCCCTTATTTATTCAGTAATTTATTTATATTAGTGTTAACTCATGGATATTTTATTCTTTGGGTTATAAATACAATAATGTAATGATTTAGTTCCAGCTTTGGACACTGAGAGCTCTTTTAGGTTGATTTTTGTGCTTTTACAGAACACAACACCTCCCTCCCTCCCTCCCACCTCCCCCACCCCCTCCCCCTTCCTTCCTTCCTTCCTTCCTTCCTTCCTTCCTTCCCTCCCCTGTCCTGTCCCATCCCATCCCTACACTTCTCCCTTCCCAACACTTCTTCCGTCCCTACACTTCTCCCTTCCCTTCTCCCTTCCCTTCCTTTCTTCCTCGTTCTTGCCTTATTTTCTTTCTCCCTCCCTCTTCCTTACTTCTCTGGCACCACAGGACACAGGAGGATAATCATGTATTTTCCCTGCTACATGGGTGGAACAAACCACATCTCTAGGGACTTCTTTTGATTAGGAAAGAGGATTTGGAAAACAAGATCTTGGTGCCTCCCTTCATTTTTGAAGTATATTTTTCATATAATGTAAAATGTTAGGCTGACAGGTGTTTTCCTCTTCTTTTAGAGTGTTATAGATATTGTTCCATTGTCTTCTGTCTTTTTTCTTCTTTTTTGCTTTAATTACTTTTAAAATTATCTACTAATCTTTGGTTTTCGATAATTTGATTATGATGTGTTTCGATGTGGGTTTTTGATATTTATTCTTCCAGAGGCTTATTAAGAGTTTTGGATCCCTGACGTAATAGTTTCCATTGTTTTTTGTCTTTGATGGTCTGTTGTAAGTGTCACCCATAGTTTCTTGGCTCAGTTATCTTCACTCTCTAGTCTCTCTGCCATTGTCAATAAAAGTGCCTGCCACTTCTGTCTGAGATCTGATTTAGGTGAGATAGAGACAAGTCCTTCAGGCATCCCTAAGGTAGGTTAGTTAAAATATTGCAGGTACGGTCTACTCCACTCCCTTTGGTTTGAGAGAGGGAATTGGGAACTGGATTACCACCCTCTAGACTGAGACCACACTGTACCAGAAAGTGGATGGGACATGGGCAAGTAAACATGTGATAAAATTTCCTCCTGGTTTGAAAGTGGTTCTTTCTTGATTGGGTGTTCACTTAGTTCTTGCAGAACTTTGACTGTCTTTCAGGGCTCCTATAAGGTTTTTAATTCAGTTTTTAGTTGTTTTTTAATGTTTCCACGGGCAAATGAGGGCTTGGGGTTTCCTAGTTCACCATTTTGTCTGTGTAACTTGCAGATTTTTGACAATCGTGTTAAAGCTTCATTTTGATAGGTTGTTTGGCCCCTACTTTCTAGTTGTCATTCTTGTGGGGATCTTTTTTGAATCCCTGTGTGATTAAATGAACAACAGCAACAACAACAAAAAACAACAGCAACAAAAACCAAAACTTTATCCCCTCAAACTGGATAAAACTATAGTGTTTCTTATCCTAATGTGAGCTGTAGAAATTGTTCAGCTTATGATTCCCTGGTAGATCTTTGCCCAATCTTTTGAGTTTTACTGTACAGATTTTCACCCTAGCTTTCAGCAGTAGATTCAAGGGGAATCCTATACAGGTTTCTGGAAATTTTTCTCTGCATACCTCTGTCTTTGCCAATACTCTACCCTGCAAATTCCAGCTATCTCCCTAAACTCTGATCTTTGTCTCCTCAACTCAGTGATAGTATTATGGGCTCTTTCTTGTACCATGGTTCAGGTAATACCTCCAAATAAAAATTCAGGGCTCACCTTGATTTCTGCTCCTTCTTTCATTGCTTGCATTCCTGAACTGATTGCCTATTGTCCAAAAACAGCCACTTCATATATATTGTCCTGTTTGCTGGTTAAACACAATAGAAAGGCAATTTCAGTACCATTTAATTGGTTATGACTAGAGGTGGAAAAAGACTTTTTAATCTTTTGAACCTATGCTCACCCTCACTCACAATTAATGAAAATTACAATGTACTTTTTTTTTTTTTTTACATTTTAATACTTCTGAAATAAGAATGTTTATGTATGGGGTAGAAGCAGAGTCCAGTTTGACAGTCTTCCCTATCTACAGTGCCCAAAACTGAGACTCATGTAGACTAAGTGTTTAATATGTGTTTGTTGAAAAATCCTCTAAGCAATCAGGAAATACATTTATGCAGAACATAGTTTTAGGGAAAGTAGAATTTAAGTCCAAATCCAAATCTTGAGTCACCTCAGCATGGTAGTCAGTTTGCTTTTGTTTCTAATTCCATCATAGCAGCTCCTGGATTGTGATTTGTTCTCTACTTGGCCTTCCTTTAAGGCCTTTGCTCCCAAGTTTCCTTGGGGTAGTCTAGGAAAATTACGGCTACTACTGCTGTAGTTAATATGTCAGAAAAGGGGATATAATTACTTCCTGCAGAAGCTAGACTGTAAGTATAAAATTTTAAGAAAGACTGGAGTGCATCTGGGGTTTGCCATTGCCATATCTTCAAGTAATATAATGTCATTAGAGTCTTAGGATGTATGTGTCAGCATTTTAATCACTACTGTGGATATTACAAAGCCCTGAGATGATACAAACATTGGTCTTTTGAGAAATATGGTTGTTTTATTTTTAAATCATTTACATGGAGAAAAAGTTGTTTATATAGGAGAGCCCTGGTGTTGAATTCCTGTAAGTCTCTTTTCTTTTCTGCTACTAATATACTCAGAAAGACCTTTTCACATTTTTAGTATTAGCTTTGGCCTCAGCACCTGAGGATCCCTCTGCCTCCTTGATTGGGTGTGTTTACCTTTTTGGAGATGATGGGTGCAGAAAACACTTGTGGTTAAGGGCATGAAATTTGGATACCATTAGAGAAGATTTCAAAACTTGGTTCAATCACGTTTTAATTCTGTGACCTTGAAAAATTTATAAATCCTTTCTGGGACTGTTTCTTCATTGGTAAAATGAGGGTAATAATTCCTTCTTTGTAGAGCTGCTATGAGGATTAAATGGGATAATTTATGTAAAGCTCTTAGCACAATGTTTGGAATTTTATTACAAATGAAATAAACTGAAATTACTATTAGTTGTGAAGATGTATTGCTAACTTCCAAATAACAGTACATCACATATTTTAGTCATAGTTTTTGGTTTATTTTTGTTCTGTCCTTCACCTTAAAGCCCATGATATATATTTAGCTTCAGAGTTACTTTTTTAAGGCAACAAATTTCCAGCTATTTTCTATTCAGAAGACCCCATGTCACCATTTGGCACGGAAAAAAGAAACCCATAGTGAGAGTGACAGTGACAGCAGAAGTCTGTTGTCATTCTTTCTTCCTCTTTTTTCTACTGTCTCCACCCCACAACACAGGTTATACTGACACAGCACAAGCTCATCCTAAGGCTAAATTTAGGATTTCAGGGGTGGAACTGCTGGAACACAGTTCTGAATAGTTGGCACTGTCCATCCAAGTAGATTGCCATTCCAATAATAAACCCATCTGGGTCTCTCCTGTGCAGACAGATGGTAATTGATTGTTTTTACTAAAAATTACAGTAGAATTATTCTCTAAAGATATTGCTACTGAGCATGTGGCCACAACCTAAACATAGGTTATCCACAGACTCCAAAGTTCCTGGGTGGGGAAGGGTTTATAGAAGCACCTCAACTCTACCTCCCATGTGTGTTCAGGGCTGGAGATTGAGATATCTGTCCTTCAGTTTCTCTGGTAGATTATAGAAATTACAGAGGTTTGTTCCATTTAAAGAAAGTGTTTTCCTTAATTATAAAAGCAATACATGGTTGTTGTAGAAAATTTATAAATATATAACACAAGAAAAAGAAAAATTACCCTTCTCTCCCCTTAACACACACAAAACATCCTGTCATCCAAAGACAATCATGATTTGAATTTGGAGTTTTCCTTCTAGGCTTTTTTCTTGCCCCACTTTAACCAGGTGTTTATGGTGGATGCAGTTGGTTGCCTACTCAATAGCTTTTAGCCTTCCTTTCTTGAAGTCAGAACCCTGACAGTGTTTGAGAGACAAGGTGCCTGATTTAGTTGGTGAATCATAAATCATAATAGATCTAAGCAAATCATGATAATTATTTCCACATCACCAGTGATTGAACTAAGGGCGACCATGTATCTCCGGACAGTGAGAGGCATGGAAAGTCTACTAGGTTGGAGAGGGGGTGGGATATGGGGAGCTGGGGAAAATTTTTTAAATCTCTGATTAAAAAATTGAATCAAATAAAAATAGTTTTGAATGCTGACGTTTAAAGATACTCTGTCTGGAAGATTAGCAGCCACTTGTAACCATGAACCTGCAATGCCTTGGGATGCAAATCAGTACCCCGAGGATGATGGAGTGGGAGATTGAAAGGAGCATGGGTCTTTGATGATGCTATAGAGCTTGCTAGCCAACCCAACTCCTTGTTGATAAATAACAAATATGAGAATGGTGCCAACAGGGGTAGTGATTTGTTGTTGTTGTTACTTAATGCTGAACACGTACTCACTGATACACAGGTTTGTTTTTGTTTTTGTTTTTTAAACTGCTGAACAAGACGTCAGCTGTGAGACTGAGGGAGAAACTCTTGTTATTGGAATTAAGGGAACAATTAGAAATCTTCAGGACCACGAAGGTGTCATCATCCATGATTTGTGACCTTCAGCTATTGTATCTTGATTAAATGTTACTTGAGTGAAGGAAAATGCAATTGAGCTGAGACTGCTCTTTCCTCATGTGCATATGTGTTTTTGGAGCATGGATCCTTCATAAATAATTTGCATTACTGAGCTGCTTAGAATTTATTTTGCAAAAGGTTTGAAGGCTGGAAAATATGATGGTAGAGACTATACTGGCTGCACCCCAGGCTGGACTCAGTGAATTGCCATTTGTCTGTTCCTGGAATGGGAGCACACAGTTCATCTGCTTTTAAACATCCTCTACAGGTGTTGTAACATCCTGTAGAGAATGTTGTTCTGGTTACTGGTCAAGTCTCATCTGATTCTATAGGGCATGGTTAATTGGTTAATGTAAGCTAGACAACAGAAATGATGAGTTTTATTTTTTTTGTAGAAAAAGGAAGAAGTGAAATATGTTCTAGTGAAATGAGAATGTGATAATATACAATATTCTGAACCAACTATGTGTTGGGGCTGATCCTAGCCCCAGAATAATATGAATAGCTACCATTTATTGAGCTCCCAGAATGTGTTATCACTTTATGTTTATCTCTTTCAGTTTAGTCCCTACAAGTAAGGGTCTTCAATTGATTTACAAGAGACTGTTGAGATTCCTGATTAAACAAGAGAATGA
Source organism: Homo sapiens (assembly GCF_000001405.40). NCBI lineage: Eukaryota > Metazoa > Chordata > Mammalia > Primates > Hominidae > Homo > Homo sapiens. The sequence continues at coordinate 109,328,885 of NC_000011.10, forward strand.
GTCTCAAGTAGAATCTGCTCTAATTAATATTTTTCCCCACAATTCTCTCAAACTCTTATAGTGCCTTAGGCATTTATAAGAGTCACCTGGCTTCCTTCTGGTTGACTATGATACCAATTCTATTCTACTTATCTGATGTATCAATGCTGAGAAGAGTTAGAAATCACTGTGGACAAAATGAACCCCAACTCATACTATGCACAAAAGGTTTATTTTTAAATACATTGTATATCTGGATGTGAAAAAAACCATGGGAGAATATTTTCATAAATTTGAGTAAGGGGAGATTTTAAAATAGGAAACAAAATGCACTGGAGATAAAGGAAGTGACCACTTAATTTTAAGTCCACTTAATTTTAGTGGACTACACCAAAATTAAGAGTTTCTGCTCCTCAAAAAAAAAAAACACCATTAAGAGAGTGTGGTTTAATTTGCTTAATGGCCTCCAGCTCCATCCATGTTGCTGCAAGATACATGATTTCATTCTTTTTTATGGTTGCATAGTATTCCATGGTGTATGCATACCACATTTTCTTTATCCAGTCCATGGTTGATGGGGGCACTTAGGTTGATTCCATGTCTTTGTTATTGTGAATAATGCTATGATGAACATACACATTCATGTGTGTTTTTAACACAGGAACAGAAACCAAATACCACATGTTCTCACTTACAAGAGGGAGCTAAACATTGGGTGCTCATGGCCATAAAGCTGGCAGCAAGAGACACTAGGAACTACTAGGGCGGGGAGGGAGAGAGAAAAAGAAGGGTTGAAAAATTATGCTCACTAGTCAGGTGATGGGGTTGTTTATACCTCAAACCTCAGCATTATGCATACCCATGTAACGAACCTGCACATGTACCTCCTGCATCTAAAATAAAAATTGAAATTATTTAAAAAGTAAAATAAAATAAAGTATGGTGGACACTCCAATGTGTCACTCAAATTCTTCTTCAATGAAGAACTTGTTGCCTCACCTGCTGGGAGTGCTGTTGGCAGCCACCCAGCAACTTTCAGTTTCTTCAGGAGTTGTCTCAGCTACAGAGAGCTGCCCTCCCCAAGATCACGCTTTCCCCATAGTGGCACATAGTCAATGAGTGATTGATGCAGAGGTGCAAAAATCTGGCAATCTCCACCCAATCTGTCACAACTCTGCAGGCTCAGTCTCACTCCAAAACTCTCTGTGGGCTCAGCTGAAACCATTGTTGCTCCTGCATCACAGATTGACTCCTCTCTCTGCTCAATCCTGTTTATGGCTTCTCCCTTTGATTTGAGCCATAGGGGATTCTTTAATAAATATTCTGCGTGCTAAACTTTATCTGTGCATATCTTCTGGGGAATCCAAATTGTGACAGAGAATAAAAGGAAAAGCTGTGGAGCCAGAGAAAATATTTTTAGCTCATATAACTGACAATGGAATCATAAGCAGCAGTACATAAACAACATCTAAAAGTTAAGAACCCAATATGTAAGTGGGCAGGAGATTCAAAACAGATACTGTCTGTTTACAAAAGAGAGTATTGAAAATGATTAATAAACAGAAGAAAAGGTGTGTAACCTTGCTAGCAATCAAATAAACATAAATTTACACAACCAAAGAGATACTACTACACACTCACCAGAATGGTTAACATTAAAAAGACTGTGGAAGACAGTGTGGCGATTCCCAAGGATATAGAATGAGAAATCCCATTTGACCCAGCAATCCTATTACTGGGTATATACCCAAAGGATTATAAATCATTGTACTACAAAGACACATGCACACGTATGTTTATTGCAGCACTGTTCACAATAGCAAAGACTTGGAACCAACCCAAATGGCCATAAATGATAGACTGGATAAAGAAAATGTGGCACATATGCACCATGGAATACTATGAAGGCATAAAAAAGGGATGAGTTTATGTCCTTTGCAGGGACACGAATGAAGCTGGAAACCATCATTCTCAGTAAACTAACACAGGAACAGAAAACCAAACACCGCATGTTCTCACTCATCAGTGGGAGTTGAACAATGAGAACACATGGACACAGGGAGAGGAACATCACACACTGGGGCCTGTTTGGGGGTTTGGGGATAGAGGAGGGATAGCATTAGGAAAAACACCTAATGTAGATGATGGGTTGATGGGTGCAGCAAACCACCATGGCAAGTCCATACCTACGTAACAAACCTGCATGTTCTGTACATGTATCCCAAAACTTAAAGTATAATAATAATTAAAAGACTGTCAATATGAAGTATTGGTGGGGACGTAGAGCAATAGAAACTCTTACATACTGCTACTGGAGGCATAAATTGTTATAACCTCTTTGGAAACTGAAGCAACAGCTTGGGATTATCTGCTAAGGCTTATGTGTACACACATGACCCAGCAATTATGCTCTTAGATGTGCATTCAGAGGAAACACGTGTGCACGTGTTTAGCAGTCAAGTTAATGGCTGCCTTTCAGGGACAGTGATGGAGAGGAGGCACCAGAGGGATTTGAGGTGTTGATAATGTTGTGTGAGGTAATTCAGTGAGGTGTACATTTATGTTTTCTGCAGTTTGATGTATGTGTGTTATATTTCACAATTAAAAAGGCAAAAATAGTTGGCTGTGAAACCTGAAAAATAAAGAACCTCAAGTAAAGTTCTAGTACTAGAGTTATTGTGAGAAATTTCCCTTCTTCACCACAGCAAGAGTGAACCAGAGAAATCATGAGGACTAAGGGGGCACGGGTAGAATTTCCATAATGCGGTTAATACTGGTGGAGAAGAACAGTTGAGAATATTTGATGATGATGGTGATGGTGCTATCAAGGCAAAATCTTTATTTTCCAAAGTCACATCAAGGTCATGCCACATTATTAAATTACAGCAAGATATCAACATCTCAGGTCATACATTAGTGTAAAGTGGACTGATTCTACTTCTCTCTTTCTATGAATAAGTTACTTAACCTCTGGATATTTGTATCCTTATTGCTAAAATGTTAACAAGCCCCATCTCATGGTGTTATTGTAAAAAATAAATAAAGCAAGGTACATGAAGTGTCTGCATATTGTAGGTATTCAATAATAATGGTTCCTTTGTCACTACACCCCTTTTTACTGTCTTGTCATATTGTTTTGTTGTAGTGAGCATTGGGATTGACAGTACAGCTTTCAATCCACGCATTCCCTGTCATGAAGCAATAGTATGGCTTTAGAGGTATGTTCTAGTTCCAGGGTTGAATTCTGATTTGTTGAACTTATTTATGGCAATTCTAAATTCCTTGCCATTTTGATTCAAAAATGAATGCGAAACTTTTTTTGGCAACCCCCTTCTTATGATCATGAGAAGCCCAGCCTAAGAATGCAGATGATCCATGGCAGAGGGCATTCCTGAGAGAATTATAGGAAACAAAGCTTAAATCTTACTCCTAACATCCAAAGCACTCTCCCTGGACTTCTGGTTATATTAACAAATGGAACTGCGTATTTCTTAAAGCTTTTAAAGTTTAGGATTCTATTACAGACAAGTCACCTTAATTGATACACTCATAGTGACTTGTCATCAAAATCATTAGATCTTCTTCATATGATGTTTTTAAGTCCTGTATCTGTATACAAGCCAATTTGGGAACTTATGTAGAATACGTATAATTATCCTCATCAAATAACCACTTAATTTTAGTCAGACTGTCCTGATCTATTTAAGTCTCTTTTTTAGAACTCTTATTAGCAGTATCGCTTCATGAAGTCCCAAGTTCCAGGGAAAAGAAAAAAATCCCTGCATCGGCCTTCCCAAAACACAGTAAGCAGAGACCTGTTCCCTCTGCCTTTGTAGGAATTTATCCCTCTGTGTCTCTTTCTTTCTCTGTCTTTACTGCTCTGTACATCTCCCCACTATCCATCTTTGGGTCTCTCTGTCACTTCTTTCTATTTGCCCTCTTTTTCTGTCTTACTCTGTATCTGCCTCTCTGTCCCTCTGTCTCTCTGCCTGCCTCTATCTGTCTGTCTGTTCTCTGTGTTGTCTTCCTCAGTCTTGATCTTTTTCTCTGTTTTTCTGTCTTCTTGCCATTGCAGGGAAACTTTACTCTTTTTGCTTAGAAGGATTTAATTAATTGTTTGGAGAGTGAGCAACTGATGTGCGTTTCTGACTATTCTCTTTTCTAACCTAAAGGAGTATAATAGGCATTATATGAAATTACATATAAAGAGCCAGACACAATGTGGGCATGAAATTAAAGGGAATCATCATAATTCTTTCTTGAATTCTCTTTTTCTTGTATATGGCCAAAAGGATGTGCCATGTTTTCTCTGCACTTTTAATAACTTGTGTGGTGGATACAAGACTGACTATACTTGTTTCATTTCTCACTTATTATGACTCTTTTTTAAAAAAATAGTATTTATTTTTTTTGCTTTTTTTTAAGTTTTACTCTATTCTTATTTTTTCTACTCTTAACACCACTCAATGATTATTCTATTTTTAGTTGACAAGTAATAATTGTGTATAATCATGTGATACCACGTAATGTTTCCACAAATGTATACATTTTAGAATGATCAAATCAAGGTAATTAGCATAATCATCACTTCAAATATTTATTATTTCTTCATATAGAGAACATTTAAATTCTCTCTTTTAGCTATTTTAAAATATACAATATCTTATTATTAAGTCGAACATCAGAACTAACTTCTCTTATTTAACTACAACTTTGTACCTACTGACCTTAAGAAGATTTGGTTCTACTCTTCTAAGACACTTTACATTTCTGCTGATCAACACAATATTCCATTTTCTTGTGACGTTAAATCCAGAGAACAGTGGAGTAGACAGGATGTGGCCTTTGGAGGAAAATCAACACGCCTTTCCTCTGTCCAAGTAGTTTGTGAGACGTTGCCACAAACACAGCATTTCTGTCTTTCTATTATTTATCTTGTCCTCAAAGTTCTCTCTCCACCAGATCCTTGATGCACTTTAAAGAATTTGCCATCTTGACTTAGAAACTTGTTTTTAAACTCATCTTTAAAATCTGGGGTTTGTTGGTAATGTACACCTGCCACGGCTGAATTTCTGTCACGAGTTTCATCCAATCAAATCTTGAGAATACTTATAATATTCTTGTCTTTCCCACCCCCCCCCCACACCGTTTTTGTTTTGTTTTGTTTTGTTTTGTTTTTAGACGGAGTCTCTCTCTCTCGCCCGGGCTGGAGTGCAGTGGCGCAATCTCGGCTCACTGCAAGCTCCGCCTCCCGGGTTCACGCTATTCTCCTGCCTGCACAGCCTTCCGAGTAGCTGGGATTACAGGCGCCTGCCACCATGCCCGGCTAATTTTTTTGTATTTTTTTAGTAGAGACAGGGTTTCACCGTGTTAGCCAGGATGGTCTTGATCTCCTGACCTCTTGATCTGCCCGCCTCGGCCTCCCAAAGTGCTGGGATTACAGGCTTGAGCCACTGCACTAGCCTATAATATTTTTAGTATTATATTAAAATACGAAATTTAATACATGTAGTTTATGCTGTGATATTAGGACAATTCACTTGTTTAATACATACATATATACACGTAAGTATATACATATACATAAACGTAGCTATCTATCTAATCTCTTACTGTTGGCTAGGTGCTAGGGTCACAGTAGTGAATAATATACTCTAGTCTCCCCATCCTCACACAGCCCACTGCATTAGGTTGAATAGTGTTCCCCTAATATTCATATCCATCTGGAACCTGTGAGTGTAGCCTTATGTGGAAATAGGGTCTTTGTACATGTAATGAAGTTAAGATAAAGTCATACTGGATCAAGGTGTACTCTAAATCTTATATGACTAGTGCCCTTATAAAAAGAGGGAATTGGTCAGGCACGGTGGCTCATGCCTGTAATCCCAGCACTTTGGGAGGCTGAGGCGGGCGGATCACGAGGTCAGGAGGTCGAGACCATCGTGGCTAACATGGTGAAACCCCGTCTCCACTAAAACTACAAAAAAAAAAAAAATTAGCCAGGCATGGTGGCAGGCGCCTGTAGTCACAGCTACTCGGGAGGCTGAGGCAGGAGAATAGCGTGAACCCGGGAGGTGGAGCATGACGTGAGCCGAGATCGCGCCTGGGCAATCTCCAGCCTCCAGCCTGGGCGACAGAGCGAGACTCCGTCTCAAAAAAAAAAAAAAAAAAAAAAAAAAAAAAAAAAAAAAAAAAAAGAAATGTTCTCACACACATACACAGCATAACTCCATGTAAGGATGGGCAGAGGAGGAGGCCATGTGAACAGACGGGCAGAGACAGGAGGGACACATCTACAAACCAAGGGATGTCAAGGACTGGGGTCAGCCACCAGAAGCTGGGAGGAAGGCGTAGAACAGACCCTCCCTCAGAATTTTCAGTAGAAACCAACCCTGCTTTCACTTTGATTTCAGACTTTCAGCCTCCAGAACGGTGAGAGAATATATTCTCTTGCTTCAAAGCCATCCAGTTTGTGTTAATTTGTTATGGCAGTCTTGGAAACTAATGCTCATGCGGTCTTCTTTCTAAGCTCTTTTCTTGCTAATGTCTCTTGACTTTTTGGAAGGGTTGGGAGGTCTCTTATCCACTATCTTTCTTCCTGTAGTTTCATTGTTTCTGTCTACAATATAATCTAACCATTTATCTTCATCACTCTTGGCCATTTGTTTTAAGTCTTCAGGATCATGGTGTAATTTGCTTCTTCTCATTTTTCATAGGATGTGTCCCCTTGCTTGCCAGCATCCTTCGATTTTGGAATTATAAATCACAGTCTGAAAACGTGTTCTTTGATACCATCTATTTAATCAGCAACAACATTTTCCATATCTTTTTTCCCCGACCTGAAATGTGACCTTCAACAGGAAGAAAACACATGACCTACGCTTCTAGTCCTTCAGGAATGGATGCGTTGTATGTGTTCTTTTGACTAGTGTCATCCACTTAGTTTTAATTGAGTTTGACCTGTATCCTCTGGGTTACTTTTGTCTTTCTGAAGAAAATACATGAACATTGAAGGTGGGGAATATTGTTTTCTAACTTTTTTTTCTTTTTTCTTTTCCCTCAGAATGGTTAGCACAAATGTGGGCATAAGGGTAGCATTTAATACTAACTGGGTAACTCATTTGCTTTTTCTTATCCTTTTTCATTTGCTTTTTCTTATTTTTTCTAGCAAAGTGTTGAGGAGTAGATCAACATGTGTTAGTCAGAGGGCTCTTTGAAAAGCCCTGGTTAGGTGTTAATGATGTTCAGAATTTATGAGGATGTAAGTCAATTCATATCTTAGGCCACTAAGGAATTTCAGACAATTTTATTGAAAGGATCCAGATTATGACAGTTGTTTTTCCACTGAGTAGACTGCAGTTACTGGAGGATACCCATATTGGACTCAGGAATCTCTGAGATTCCCCTAATGTCAATATTGGTGCAAGCTATCCTCAAGGGGAGGACTTGGGTTCTGGTGATGATTTCCAGAGATACACTTTGCTTAAATCGAATGCCCATGTGCATATGCTAGAATGTTGAAAACCAGCACAGTGCCTCATTTGGAAAAAAAAAGGCACCCGTAACTGAGTGGCTCTAACTGATACCCCTCATTTATACAAGATCTTCTTATTTGTTGGTCAGATACTAGAGTTGAAGAAATTGAGTTTCTTTTATTAAGCTTTCACAAAATTTGTAAATTTCTCTGAGCATGTCTTATTTTCCTGGAGAAAATTCCTGACTGAAGTGTAAACATTAAGGCAAAGACTTCCTAGTTGAAATGCTTGATTTCTGAGAAATTATGTTCAAATTTTAGTGAACATAATATGATTTCAGTCTTACAACAGTGTGGAATAAGTACAGGCAAATTATTGATTTCTTGATTTTTTAGTGCACATTTTGGCTATGAACTGTTTCTAGGTAATAAGAGAAGGTAGTCAGAACAAATATTACCAAATTAAGAATTAGTAGTTTCAGACACCCAATATATTTATGTGCTTGAAATTTCGTAGTTATGACAGAAATTTTTAAGTCATAGCTAATGTTATTGTGTATTATAGAAGTACACAATGAAATGGATATTATATTAGGCTAACCATATTCTAAGTTCTTTTTTCTAGAAAATGGTTTATACCATGGTTCTGTTCATGAAACTAATTGTTATTGAGTACCTTAGAAGTTTAAACACTATAATAGCTAATTTTGATGATACAAAGAAATATGATTTGAGACCTCCTTCCATGGGTCTTATAATAAATCTAGTAGGGATGATAAAACCAGTGCAAATGTAATGAATAGTTGTCATTATTTTTGACTTTCTATAATCCAAACACTCTTCCTTTGCTCAGGGAATTTTTTACCTCATGAGTCTTTGTGGGAGATACGGCCTCTCTCCTCTCTCTCTCTCTCTCTCTCTATCTCTATCTAGGATATGAATATTCCAGATACTTACCTAGCCAACCTTGCACTGAGGGCATGACCATGTTCTCTGGTCCCTGCTAATCAGGTGCAACCACTCTGGACAGAAAGATTCAGGGTTGATGAATTTGCTCTGGCGATTGTTCTCATAAGGTTGAATTATTCAGGAAACAGTGCAACTAGCAAGTTAGCATCTGTGACATGTGTCAGCAGTGTCTGTGGGTCAAGGCACAATCCCTGGATGTTTGCGGCAGCAGCAGTGATGGATATACTCCCCAGAGCAGTTCTGTAGCCTGAGTCTTGGCATTATTTTTGGTTGCTTATCCCCAGGCGTGATTCTTCAGCCTTCCTGGAAATTCTATTATCTCTACTTAATTCTTCTTAAATAGTTATTCTGCTTAAACCGTTTAAGAGTTAGTTTTTTATTTCTTAATGCAGAATCTTAGTGATAGTGTGTGTGTGTGTGTGTGTGTGTGTAATTAAGTTTGCTTAAAGTACCATAGGAATGGTAGAAAGATGAGATTACTTCTGGATGGGGCCCTTTCAATGGGTTATCTACCTTGCACGTGATTACCTACTATAATATCAATCTTGAAAGGTTGAGTAGTCTATGCTAGCGCTTCTAGGTAAAATTATAACTTTATAATGTGTCAACAGTAAAGTTCTACAAAATCTTGTTTAATTTACAAATTAAAATGCTTTCGATTTAGACCTACTTGGGCATAAGAAATTTTATACATTGATTACACTATAAACCATATATATATAAAACATTATATATATCATTATATAAACATACTGTATATGTGTGTGTGTGTATATATATATCCCTACAATAAACCTGGAGAATTGGTTAGCTTGATTAATGTAGAGAATAAAGTCAGATTAATTCAAGTTTAAAATAATACAAGCTACTGCCAGGCCTGAATTCACCAGTCTCTATTTTGACCAAGTATGTAGTACAGTTGCCAATGTTCCATGTTCCTTTTATTTAAGCCACCTTGGTCTAGTAGAAATCTGAGGCATGGACAGATAGACTAAATCTTCTGAAGTTGCTGGGCTGAGTTTACCACACTTCACTGGTGATAAAGAATGCCAAAATAAACATTCCTGTTAAGTAATAGTTTTTGTGCTCTAGAAGGCAAGATCAACTCTATCTTCCAGACATGTCAATCCAGCTGCAGTTACGCATACATATTTGGGGTTCTGTAGTGCAGTCTTCTTCCCTACAATACTGTTTGACCACTATAAGCATCCACTCTAGAGTACAGGTCTTATTAGCAGCTTGAAGGAAGGTTTACAGTCAGTAATCAAATAAAGGCATATTCTTCTCCAGTTCCACATTCTCATCCCCACCATTGGACTTTCCCAGGGTTTAGAATTAATTCAAACCATGTATTTAGACATATTTCCCGTATGTCTTACGCACATTTATCAATGGATTTAGGTTCAGCAGTTGTTTTAGAGCATTTGCCTTGCGTCTAGGAGGAATTGAAGGCTTAGTACTCAAATACTCTTTTCCCATGTGTCAGTCTGAGTAAGATCAGCCTTTACAGAGATTGTGTTAAGCTCCTTTGGAGGCTGCTGGCTCTACTTATAGTTAGGGACTTCCAAGTGCATTTGTTAAACAATTATTATGAAACTCTATCACCTTCCCTTCTGTAACTCTTCCCTAAAATGCCCTTAACAGAAACATTTCTACCATGCAACTCAGAAAATGCATCATCTCTTTAAACAGGTGTTGATCTGGCTCACTGTTTGTGTTGTTTTAATTTGGTTTGGTATTTTATATTGTAGCTTGAATAATTTTTGAGGATAGATAATGTTTGTGCTTTACCATAGAATATGTCTTTTACCTGTACAACCTTATTGAAAGAGGAGCTATTCTAAATTTTACACCTTGGACATGGATTCACAAATAAGGTAATTGATTTTTTGGTAATTAATTTCAATTCAATGCAATTGAAATCAATTGATAACTAATTTTTAAAACAAATCATCATATCCTATACATATTAATATGGTTTTATTTCATTTTCTTAATACTCTATGTTATGGGCTGAATGTGTCTCCCAAAATTTATATGTTGAAGCCCTAACTCCCATTATGATAGTATCTGGAGGTGAGGCTTTTGAAAGGTAATATGGCTTAGATGAGGCCATGAGGACAGGGCTCCATGATGAGATTCATTTTCTTATTAGAAGAGGAAGAGAGAGCAAGCTCCATCTTTCTTCATTATGTGAGGACACAGTGCGAAGGCAGTCATCTGCCAGCCGAAAAGTAGGCCCTCACCATGCACTGAATCTACCAGCATCTTGACCTTGGACTTTCTATCCTCTAGAACCGTGAGAAAGAAATGTCTGTTGCATAAGCCACCCAGTTTATGGTATTTTGTTATAGCAGCCTGAGATGACTAATACCGTGTTAAAAAATCAAAGGAGATTACGAAGGATGACTTAGGAGTACAAGGTGTAGGTATAAGAGGTTACTAAGAGATAAGAATGAAAAGATAGGTTGGGACCAGTTTAGAGAAGTCTTGATCCTGAAGTTAAAAAGTTTAAACATCATTGGAAAGCAAAGGAAAAGTGTTTGAAATCTTTGAAGAAAGGAATAACATAACCAGAGTCATGCATTGAGAAGATCAATCGTGCATCCAAGAGCAGGCCATACTGGAGAAGAACTAAGTGTGGATGTGAGAGGCAATTAGGTCATACTGCTTTGGACACTTCTGAATTGCTGAGCTGAGCAAACATGACCCACATCATACAGTTGGAGGCCTTTCCAGCTAAGGGTCTTTGTTGTTATTCCAGGACTGAGAAACATTATTTACTAGCCTACAAACTTAAACAAAACACTATGTTCATTGTTGCATTTATTCACAGAAAACCAGGTAGCTAAAGTTGATGAATTAAGAATAAACTGTTAGTGAGCCAGAGAACATGAAAAGGGATCATAGTGAACAGTGATTAGGCTTATGTGGTATGTATCTTGCATGCCTCTTTCTGTCTCTATTTACTTATACCCCACCAAGTTAGATCACATAATCAAAGATTTATAGAAGGGAGAATTCACAAGGAGGGAGGCATCAGAGAATGAACCCTTAACAATATGTGAACAAGTGATAAAGAGAGTCTCCAAACTTTGAGGGGGAAGTTCTCATTTTCTTTAGTTTGTGAGATTATCTGTAGATATATAATGGGTTAAATAAACAGGCCTTTGTGAGTAGAATATGACAATATTGACAATATTGACTTTTACCTAAGCCCTGTGCTTCTGGAAATCAGTGATAGCCAATAAATCCCACCCCACCCCCTCAACACTTTTGTGTCTCAGAAAATAGTTTATTGCAGAGAATTTCTCTTTCCTGATGACTTAGATAAGACTCACAGATGCCTCTCTTGTTTGCCTATAGTAAGGTCTGTCATACAATTTCCAAATTCCCATTCTTTGCCTCAGAAATGATTAGCTGAGCTGTTTGTACCTACTGACCAATATGGACAAAATATCTGCTACTTTCACTCACTTAAACCTTAGTTAGTTTCTCTCCTTCCCCCAGGACCTTGAGCTTTGACCCACCTTCAGCCTGTTCTAGCATACACCCAGTCTTTAATGTCCTGATTGCTGACTGACCTCAGGAAAATATTACCTGATCAACTGTCCCATAAAGCCACCCTTGTGTCCCACTTACTCATGTCTGTTTTTTTTTTTCTTCTACCCTATTCACTCCTTCCTGTAAAAGAACATACCTTTTCTGCCTGGCCCTTGAGAGGTCTGCATGTCTCATGGACAGAGCATTCTCCACATTGGAATAGTCTCCAGCAATAGTCTCCCTATTGTAATAGTCTATTTCCCCTTTCTTGCAATAATCCTTTTGAACAATGTCTCTCATTACTTAAGTTCAGATTTGTTTTTTATTCTCTGAGTATGGTGTAGAGAATGAAGTTCTTTTGTTTTTGTGCAGTTGTGCAATCATAGCTCAGTGCAGCCTTGAACTCCTAGGCTCAGGTGATCCTCTCAACTCAGCCTCCCAAGGAGCTAGGACTACAGGCACATACCATCATGCCTGGCTAATTTTTAAATTTTTTGTAGAGGCAGGTCTCACTTTTTTGCCCAGGCTGGTCTCGAACTCCTAGCCTCAAGCAATTTTCCTGCTTTGGCCTCCCAAAGTGCTAAGATTACAGGCATGTGCCTCTGTGCCTGGCTGAGAATGAAATGAGAACCTAGAAGAGTGCTACTACCAACTTTGTTCCCCCATTTCCTGGAAATTTAACAGAAAAAGGAGAAGATAGCACAGTAGTAACTAGGTTGGAAAATCTATTGTTACCATAGAATCTTCTAACTAAAATGGATCTTAAGGATTAACCATCAGTTTGCAAATGAGAAAGCTATGACTCCATGTATCAATTTTCCTTTTCTTAAAGTAAATTTTTAATTTAGTTTTTTTTTTCTTACTTTAGGCTATGGGATACATCTGCAGAACGTTTAGGTTTGTTATATAGGTATACATGTGTCATGGTGGTTTGCTGCACTTATCAACCCTTTATCTAGGTTTTAAGCCCTGCATGCATTAGGTATTTGTCCTAATGCTCTCCCTCTCCTTGCTCCCCACCCCCCGACAGGCCCCAATGTGTGATGTTCCCCTCCCTGTGTCCATGTGTTCTCATTGTTCAGCTCCCACTTATCAGTGAGAACATGCGGTGTTTGGTTTTCTGTTCCTGTGTTAGTTTGCAGAGAATGATGGCTTCCAGCTTCATCCATGTTCCTGCAAAGGACATGAACTCATTCTTTTTATGGCTGCATAGTATTCCATGGTGTATATGTGCCACATTTTCTTTATCCAAGTTTGGGGTTTGGTTGAATAGCAATAGAAAATTGATACATGGTGCTGGGAAAACTGGCTAGCCATGTATCAATTTTCTATTGCTATTTAACAAAACCTCAAACTTGGTAGCATAACAGCATTTATTTATTTAGCTCAAAATTCTGCTGGTTGGTAACCTGGGTTGACTCTAGCTTTTTAGCTCTGTTAGACTGGGCTGTGTTCACGTGTGTGTGTGTGTGTGTGTGTGTGTGTGTATGGTCAGCTGAGGACTGGCTGGTTTAGGAAGACATCAACTAAGATAGTGCACCTCTGCTCCATATGCTCTCTCATCCCCCAGCAGACTAGCCTGGGCTTGTTCACATGGTGGCTGTGCAGGATTCCAAAAGATTGAGTGGAAGTGTGCAAAGATTTTTGAGTCTGGCATCACATTGCTTGCAAAGCATTCTATTGGCCAAAACAAGTCACAAGGCCAGTCCATATTTAAGAAGCGAGGAGAGATTTGATAACTTGAATGGGAGACACTGCCATTTGTTCTGGCCATTTTTGCAAGCTGCAAAATCCTATGAGATGAAATAGTTTGCCCAAATTCCATATACTTAGTCAGTAGCAAACCTGAGAGGGAGAGAAATGGTCTGTATATTAGTTTAATACAGTTTGCTGATTACAGTTTTGCAGCCTCCAGATAATATTCTGATTAGGGACTCTTCAACTAGAAGAAAAAGACTATCCCTTTTGAGAGGATTTTCCATGGAAAGCAAATGGGAGGGTGGAAACAGACAGGGCTGTTCTATATGACTAGTCAGTCTGTGTCCTGCACAGGAGTACCGGGTTGCGAAGGTGAGTGGTGACTGAAACACATTTGTGCTCTGCCTGCAAGCCATGTGCTCTTACATAGAGTTTTATTCACTTGGAGAGATAATTTCCTTTTGCTAATTTCTACAAAGACACTGTTCCTCAGCAAGCCATGTGCCTGCCTGAGGGGATGCCTGTTTCTAATCCTCTCAGAGCTTTCTGTGGGCTGCCTCTGGCTTTGGGCACAGAGCTCTAAGTGCTGCTAAGAAGTTGAATATGAAGATAACTGTTCCAAGCTCCTCTCCCAAACTGGCCATTCGGATGGACAGCCCAAAGATGTTTGCATTTGGAAAACTGTTAATGAAAATGAGTCTAAGTACTGAGAAATAACTGATGACAAAAAAAAAGAGGCAAATCTGATTTTTGAACGCCTATATAGGAATTTTCAGGAACAGGAAGAGTCCTCCTTATTGTTTTTGGTTCATCCCACACTTGGCTTCCTGTTCCTCTTACCACTTTCCTCCGGCCTCTATCTCTCTCTTGAAATAGCTCTTCTGTAGGTGTTATCAACCACACTGGTTGTGTGCTTTGTCTCAGTCACCTCCCTAGCAACTCATTCCTTCTGTTCACTGATTTCTGTGGGCTGTTCTACTTGAGTTTTCTCTCTGCACGTGGTTTATTACCCTTGGAAATCCAATCTCTTGGCTTCTAAAACTCTGAAAAGGAATGATTTCTTTGCAGGAAACTGATGATAAGAATATAAATATAATGTATACTTAAATTTGAAGATGTTCTCTAAATAAATTCTACAAGTGCTTTCAGATCATTGGTTCTGTGCTACCAAACTCAGTTCTGTGGGATATTTGCCCTATGAGAAGATCTCTGAAAACAGCATCCTGTAGTTAATTGAATTTGGGAAACAGTCCATGTCGTATCCTCCTCTTAGAAAGTCACACACACATTCACGCATTAGAGGATCTAGAAGGTCCTCCAGAAATGATTTTTTAAATGTCCTTAAACTTATTTGATTATGAAGACTTTTATTCCTTTAAACCTAGTAATATCAGGTAGATTTAATATTCTGTAGTCCAGGCTTTGGAAAACACTGCTCTACTTGATATTATAATACAGAGAAGCATGAGGTTTAATAGAAATTAGGTAGGATTAAAGGCCGTGTGGCTTGAATTCTGACCCCATCTCACTGCTCATCATCTGTGTGACTTTGAGGGGACCATTCATTGAGTCCCTTCCCACTTTAAGTCAGTCCCATCTTCTTTATGAGAAGGTTTTTGTGGCCTCCCGTGGTCACGAAATTCTCTTGCATTCATTGTGTTACTGATCTTGCCTTTATGTTTTCCATAGAGCTTTGTCATGTCCCTGCCTTTAATCCTGGACTCTGTATCTCATGTGGGGTTTTACAGAATTCTCCTAACTGGGACCCCTGTCCCAAATGTGGAACTTCAGCCCCCACTGCCCTTCCAGTCTGGCTATGATTCTGGCACTGGAGGCATTTAACACTTGTATTTGAAGACCAAGTATTGAACTCTTATTTTTAAAATCTTTGATTAATCCATCTTGCCTACAAGATAAGTACAAATTACAAGTTTAATTTTGTTTTCTTCTGGCCTAGAGAGCATATGCCAAACTGGCCCAATTTAACTTACTTGTTTTATTGCTTACTACTACCGTTCCTGTTGTTTCCTAATTATGAGAAGCACTTTCTACGCATTCTGCTTAGAAGCTCCTTGTCATCCTTCAGGGTCAGTCCTGAATATCATTCCCCTGGGTGGCACTACTTTTTCCTTTATGTTCATATAGCTCTTTGTATATACCTATATAATAGTGCTGAGTCACATTGCATTCTAGATGAACATAGTTCTGTAGTTCTAACTGCTCTTTGATTGCAAGGTCTGTGTCATTGGCTTCATGACATCTCAATGCAGAACACAGTGTCAGCCATATAGAAGGCATTCAGTAAACATGTGTGAGTAGATTTAAAATGAACCAGCCCCTTCCAGTTAAAGCTGGAAGGTATCTTTATGATTATTGAGCAAATGACACATATATGACTCTCTTCTTCTGTTATGGTTTGGCTATGTCCCCACCCAAATCTCATCTTGAACTGTAATCCTCATAATCCCCACATGTTGTGGGAGGGACCCCATGGGAGGTAATTGAATCATGGAGGCAGTTTCCTCCAATGCAGTTCTCCTGATAACAAGTGAGTCTTATGTGATCTGATGGTTTTATAAGCGTCTGGCATTTCCCCCACTGGCACTCATTCTCTCTCCTGCTGCCTTGTGAAGAGGTGCCTTCCACCATGATTGTAAATTTCCTGAGGCCTCCCCAGCCATGTGGAACTGTAAGTCGATAAAACCTCTTTTCTTTATAAATTACCCAGTCTCAGGTATTTCTTCATAGCAATGTGAGAATGAACTAATACACCTTCTAATATTTTTCCTTTTTAAGCTCATGGTAGTCATTGCTAATCAAAAAGGGCACTTTTTCCCCAGGTGTAGTTTTAGAATCCATATCAGCACATTGTTCCTGGAAGTCGCTGATTGGTTAGAGTCAGCAGCACGTAACCTGAAATCTATTTTCCATGCTAAATATATTTGAACCCTCTTATTTTATAGATGAGTAAATGAGCTTAATGAATTGTCCAAGAGGTCACACAGCAAATAAGTATCAAACTCATAATTTGAGTCCAGATTCTTTTATTTTCTACTGTAATATTCTTTCTGCTATACTGAGAAGGCTACCTTTGTTAATTTTTCTATTCCTATATTTTCTGGGTGCTTCAATTAGCTTGAAATTCTCTAAGGGAGCGAACTAAGGAGGATGCACTTTTGACACCTCTTGTCTTGCACATCATAGGTATTCAGTACATATTTGCTGATTATGTAAATGTAATTGGCATGCCAGTCATAATAAGTTTGAAGTGGTTTGAACAGTCTTATTTTTCTTTTATACTTAAAATATTTCCTCCATCCCTTTGTGTTTTCACAATCAATATGAGAAGAGATTTTTCTAAGGGCAGGTGGCCATTCAGCCTAGTTTCCGCCTGGTGCATTTTCAATTCTGAATGGAGAGATGAGCTCTAACTGTGCTTCTAGGTTTTGCCATTCTACTTTGCATCGTTGTCCTTTTCCTCACAATGACTCTTTACTTACAAAAGTGTCAGACTTTTTCTGAACACTACATTTACAACCATGGTTTCACCGAGTATCCCCACTCAAAATTAGGCATGCTGCTTGTAACACCTTAGCCATCACAGCAGTGGAAAATGTAAAACACATTTTTTAAATCTGAATGCTGAGCTTCATGCAACACATCAAACACACCCAATCTTCCCAGCCCCATATGGAACTTGTGAACATACATTTAAACAGAACAAGAAAAGGTTTTACCCTTTATATCCCTTTTATGGGTGTCTAGAATCAGTGATAAATTTTCTTTTTCGTATAGCCACTGCTTACACATAGCTGCGAATAAGGAAAGTAATGGGAAGTGTATCTATCTGCTTGGTGCTTGGTGCGAGGGTGGCTCTCTCCTCTGAATTGTTCATCTCCTCCACTCCTGCCCTGACTTTAAGTTACTAACATGCTGGAAATTTCCTCTATTGGAGTCACTCTTTCAGCCCAATGCATTATCTTTCCAGAAGACAACTGCTAAAATATCATGAATGTCCATGGACATTTCAGTATGAAATATTTGAACCAGTTAATTTCTATAGAAGGGTGAGACCATAGGACCTTGGGTGTACAGAAGGTTAAGTTTTCCAAGAATTGTTGGCCAAGCATTAGAGAGCAGGAAAGCCCAAAGCATTGGATTGTGTGGTTATGGAGATTCTGAGCCCCCGAAAAGGCAACACACAGACACTTGCCTTGTCATTCTGTTCCCTCTGCTGTGTGGATATCCCTCTCTCCTTTGCCTTGCCTACCCCTAATCAGTGCTCCAGGCCAAAGCAAATGTTGCTTTTTCAGTGAAGAGTCCCTCATGCGCCAAGCAGTAAATTATTATTTCATACTTCCATTGTATTTCACATTGATTTTGTGGCATCTCCACTTGCATTATATTTAGTGGTATATTAATCTGTTATTTCCCTTTCAAGTCATAAACTCATTTTTCTCTGTTTATTTATTTTTGGATGCCTAGCATCTAACTTCTGGCACTTAGTGTGTCCTTATTCAATGTTTTTGGAATTGAATTGGGCCCAAGGCATTTGACAATCAATAAAATGCAGCAAACCTGTTTTTGTTGTTGTTTTTGTTGTTGTTTTTAAGGAATTCTACATCTGGGGGCATTCTCAAGAGCTAGGACTTGCATCTGTCAATGGGCAAAGCATTCATCCATCTGTTTTGTGCATTTAAAATCTTTTGCTGTTAGCTAGAAGTAAATAGAATTTAAAAGGAGCCCTTCTCTGTTTACACTGAATTCTGTCTTCTCTTGCTTTTTTTTTTTCTTCCTCTTTAGATGGCTTTGACTTACTTTTATAGAGATTGCAACTTCCTTTCTAAGAAGTTTGACTTGGTTGATTTATTTCTCTTCCCCTTCCTTCTCAACCTTCTCTCTTTCCTTTTCCTTTGCGTCAGTGCCGCTGCTGTCATCAGTCATCATTGTCACTATTACCCTCCATTGCCCTTGCTCTACATGCCAGATGCTTTTCAAACACTATCTCACTCTTAGTCCTCACAGTGTTTTTCAGGAAAGGTCTTATTTTCCCTTTTCTAAAGATTAAAAAACTGGTGTTGAGAAAAGTTTAGGAGCTTGCCCATGTCACAGAGAGCTGGGATTTAATGCTTGGAGCATCTCCCTCTTCCTTCCTTCCTTCCTTCCTTCCTTCCTTCCTTCCTTCCTTCCTACCTTCCTACCTATCTTCCTTTTCTTTCTCTCTCTTTCTTTCTCTCTCTCTTTCTTTCTTTTCTCTCTTTCTCTCTCTTTCTTTGCCTTTCTCCTTCCTTCCCTCCTTCTTTACTTTTCCCTCCCCTCCCCTTCCCTTCCCTTGCCTCCCTTCCCTCCCCTTCCCTTCCCTTACTTCCCTTCCCTCCCCTTCCCTTCCCTTACTTCCCTTCCCTCCCCTTCCCTTGCCTCCCTTCCCTCCCCTTCCCTCCCTTCCCTCCCCTTCCCTCCCCTTCCCTTCCCTTCCCTCCCTTCTTCCTTCCTTCCTGTCTCCCTCTCCTTCCTTCCCTCCCTCTCTTTCTTTCTTGTTTTTCTTTCATTTCCTTCTTATCCTCCTTCTCCGCCTTCTTTTTCTTCTTGAATAAAGTCACGATTTCAAATTCTGCTCTTTTACTCTAGAAGTAAATTTCTTTTGTTGGTAAATACATGTGCATGGTTTGGATAGTTTTCACCCACTTAAGCCCTCATCAAACTCCAGCTGAAGTTGAGAGGCTGGATTATCCTCACTGTTGCAGAGAGATGCCTGTATTCTCATGCACGTCTGTATAATCCACTAGCTGTCAGCCCAAAACTTACATTCATGGCTTAATAACTACTCACTGTATGGGTGGCTTTTTCAGAAATAGATTTTCCTTCTCTCATTGATTTGTTCTTCCTGATCCCCTATTTTTAGATCAAATTTGTTTTCTTCTGGAAAATATTATATTTCACTGTGGTCTGGTTTCACTAGTGCTGTAGCAATGGAGGTGGATTTATGGACAATCAGACGTAAAGACTGTATTATATACCTAAGGAAGCTAGTTCTCAAACTTGGATAGATCACCAGAGACCCTTCTCCAGGATTTAGGCTCACATAGTGTAGGCGCATTACAGATGATTCACTAATAGGAAGAGGGGAAATGTCTCAAATCAAGGTAGGCAATTTTCCTTCTAATTTATTAAATTCTTAACTATAATTGATCCGGAAAAGTGGTAACAAATGGGCTGCCAGCTAACTTGAGGTAGGATGTGGCTGCCCTTGCAGCCCACTCTGAATTTGTAGACCCTCTTAAAGAAGATGGTGGCATTGAGAAATAGAGCTGTTGGTCCTCCCAAGGGACCCCCAGTATAAGTGGTGTGATGATTAAAGTGTTTTCTCTACTATTGACATGTTGCCTTCCATGACCTCATGGTCCCCAAATTTCAAAGGTTCCTCCAAAGGATGCTGCTCTTAAGTCCCTGTGTTATTGCAATTTTTCTTTTTTAGAAGTGGGCACTGCCTGTCTCAGGAGACATCCTTGGTTCTAGCATTTCTTTTATTCAGACCTACCATCTGCTTCTACAAATAATTCTACCAACCGCATTTTCCGTGATTTGCTTCATTATGTCTCCACGTCCCTTACACAGTCCGTGATTTTTATGGAGTTGGTGTTTCTTGGGGAGGAGAGCGGAAAGAATGAGGGGGTTTATAAAAATAATGAGACTGAGATTTGCTTAAAGATGTTCCAAATAACCCACTTATAAATTGACTGTTTAGAGAGGCAGCTTTCAAAATTGGCCGGGGAACTAGAAGGAAAAGAAGTAAAAATAATTCAGGCTCAGCAGATATATATTTAGATAACAAACTCAAAGAGAAGCAGATGAAGAAACCTGGATAAACAACTAAACCCAGCAAATGAAAATAACAGATCGCAATTGGGCCACGCAGCTGACACATGAATAGTAAATCTTGACAGAAAATTTGCAAACGAGGCAGCCCAGGGACTCTGAGATTATCTGAGAAGCTGGGATCTAACAGCCCCAAACTCCACGTGTCCCTGCTTGAGAAAAGCTCTGGAGCCAGGGCAGGGGGAAGTTTCCTCCTTGCCTCAACATCAAAGGAAGACAAATCTTCCACTCTGTGATGCCAATATCATTATCCTCAGCTCAGCTCCAACCCCTCTCTGGCCCCCTGCTGAACTCAGGCCCTTTTGTGGGGTGGGGGGGGGGCATTTATGAAAGAGCTATTCACTTGTTCCTTCATCCAATCAACACACTTGCTTGCCAGGAATTGTGTTAGCTGCTTGCAAATATTGATCTATGTTTGTACAGTGATTTATAGTTTGCAAGATATGTTCCAATACAAGCCTCTCAACAACTTGGGAAGTAGATTTGAATGCTTTCATCTAATAGATAGGCTAGAGATAGGGAAACTCAGGAGGTTAAATAACTGCTTAAGGTCCCACAGTTCTTGAATGGAAAATCTGGCATTGAATATTTATTATTCAGTATACAAGGCACAGGATTATTTGCTGAGATGCCAAAGACAAGACATTGTCTCTGCCCTCGAGAAGATTAGGAACCAGGACAGGAGAGCAAAAATGAACAAAGACTTACCTCTGTATGGATAATGCAGGAAATACACTAAGTATGATAAGAGAGGTACTTATGAAAGGAATAATTGAGTGGCGATTGATAAGAATTTAAGGAATCTTACCTTCTACCGGCATTTGAATTGTAGTTGAGAACTGATGAGGGCAAAAGCAGTCTCTGCGATCCAAAGGAATGAATCATAAATGGAGGCATTTCAGGTGGTGGTGATGGGAAGATGAGAAAGATACTTTCCTCAGGAAATCTGGCCAGCTAACTCCCAATTTGTATAATGTAGAGAGTTTTCTGTTACTGAATCTGACCCTTTGGCCTATGTTTTAAATGCAAGTGGGTAAGGATAGATTCACCAGTGAGCAGAGTAAAACTCCATTATTAAAGGGTTTAGACTGTGGAAGCGGATTCTTCTGTAGCCCCTACTCTGAAATTGCTTGGGTCCTGACCTGTACTTGATCATGTATGTGAGTAAACTCAGCTGTTGTATTACAAATCCACCCCTGTGCAATACCTCCTATAACTTTCCTCCTCTAAACCTGTTGCTTCTCTACCAATGAGGTCTCATTTTTTGCCCAAACTATGACAATGGCCTTCTTTTCTAGCCTCTCTCTAGCCTCTGCCCTATACTGCTGCACAGTGACCAGTCTAATCCACAGCCACGACCGCTATTACTTCTGGGTTCAAAAATATTTGATGATTCCTGCTGACTTAGAGAAAAACAATCATGATAAGATCTCAAAGGCTAGGGTGGCCATGCATCTTAGTATGCACAAGACAGTCCTGCTTTATAGCCTATGGTCCTAGCATCATTGCTCTCCCTTCCACTCTCAAATGTGTCCTGATTTGGATGTTACCCTACCCTAGGTCCTCAACCATCTTGTCCAAGCCTACATTCCAGAACCATAATCCAATCTCTCCCTGCCGTGGTACCCAGTGCTACAGGTACAGCTGTTTCAACCATCCTCACCCTAGCCCTGCATTTCCGCAACTTTGTACTTTTGCACCGCAGTGGCTTTTTTTGTCTACTCTGCTCTTTTCAACCTAGCTCAAATGTCACCTGCTCTTTCTAGCCAATTCTGTTTGCTCCAGAATTAATTGCTTTCCCCTTCTGAATCCAGAACATTTATTCGATCTTTATCGAAGTGGTTGGTTCCTTCTGTCATGAATAATCGTTATCTACAGACCAGATTCTCTAACTGGAATGTGAGTTCCTTAAGGGAAGTGAATGGGTTGATTGTCTTCTCAGTAGTGGCTTTTTGTCCCAGTATTTTGTATGTTAGAAGGTGCTCAGAAGTGTTGGCATGACTGTGATGTTGAGTAGTTTAGTAAATTGGAAGTTAATTCATGACTGCTCAGTTTAGATAGGATTGTTCCCTTTTTCAACCATTAGATCTTCTAGGGCCCTCGTAAACCTTTGCGCTTTACCAGAGGGGCCCCATATGACCTGTTTTTATATAACCAGGTCATAGGTTTCAGCCACAGATACATTATCCTTCACCTGATATTCCTTGCATCATTGATAACCACTATCCCTTTCTGTTGACTTTGTTTATTGAATACTGTGTCCTACTTTGAGCAACCTAATATAAATAAATCAGAGGTGATGAAACACATTAAGGGATAATTGTTTGCTTAATGAAAGGATTCTGTGTAGGATTGTTTTTAATAGTCAATTCCTGTTTTTTATTATTTTGTTTTAAAAATAATTGAGAAATCCATTTGTTAAATAAAGGTATAACCTGTCTTTCAAAGATCATGAATGGATTTGTATTTTGATATTGGTTATCCTTTCCCAGTTTCTTGATGTGTTATGAAATAAGTTCATCTTAACTTTGACCGCTCTGGGTTTCTGCCCCTGTCAATTCTTCACTTTTATGCAGACTAATTAAGACTGCAGGCTTAATTATCCCTGGAAGCTCACCCAGTGAATATTTGTTTTTGTTTGTTTGTTTGTTTTTGAGATGTAGTCTCACTCTGTTGCCCAGGTTGGAGTGCAGTGGTGTGATCTCGGCTCACTGCAAGCTCTGCCTCCCGGGTTCACGCCATTCTCCTGCCTCAGCCTCCCAAGTAGCTGGGTCTACAGGTGCCCGCCACCACACCCAGCTAATTTTTTGTATTTTTAGTGGAGATGAGGTTTCACTGTGTTAGCCTGGATGGTCTTGATCTCCTGACCTCGTGATCCGCCCGCCTCGCCCTCCCAAAGTGCTGGGATTACAGGCGTGGGCCACCACGCCCGGCCGAATATTTGTTATTCTTTTTGTCACCTAGCATCTAGAAAGATTCTTCTGTGTTTGAGGAATTGAATTTACTATCTTATTCAGAAATAATTTGCTGCTATATAGACAAAAATATTCGTTTTCCTCACTTCCCTTGTGGCTAGGGTAGAGGCATGTAGCTTTGGTGCTTGCAAGCAGAGTACTGTGGCCAAATATTGAACTGGAAACTAGTGCACAAAGAAAAAGTTAGACTGGGAAAAACTACCAAGGCAAGGGTGGTGGCAGTTGCATCTGATTTTTGAAGCAGGAACATTTGAGCAACGTTGGAGGTACAGCTGTGGGGCCTCAGACCAGCAATGGGGGAAATGAAGTTACCAATGAAGTAGCATTATGGTATGATTTGCTATAAATTCTCATTGCAGAACCTTTTTTTTCTGCTCCTCTGATGCGCTAGGAGATTTTATGAATGACTTAATATCCTTTAATAAATAATTATCTGTTTAAACTAGCTAGAATTAGCTTCTGTTATTTGCAACTAAGATAATTTTCATGGATATAGAATCCACATTATGTCCAAGGCTAGTTCATATTGTTGATTCTGTCTCTGGTAATTGTCATGGCAGATGTGATGGCGAGAGAGGGAATCCTGCCATGGCTTTTGTCTCTGTAGTGTAGCTAGTGTCTGTGTCACAAAGTCCTGGAGTCTCTAACTTTTAAAGAACTCTCACATTTGTTGACTTTTCTCCATCTCCATTGCCATCACCTGAGGCCACACTATCATCATTCTCTTCCAGGGGTACTGTAACAGTCTCCAAATCTGTCTCCCTGAATACAGTCTTAGCTCTCTAATCCATCCTCCATTCTGCAGTGAACGTGAGCTTTCTAAAGCATGCGTTTGATCGTGGCATTGCACTTAGTGAACCCCTTTAAAGGTTGTCTGATACTTTTTGAATAAAATATAAAGTCCCCAACATAGCTTCAGGGCTTTAATGTTATAGCTCTGTCTACCTTTCCAAGATCGTATCTTATGTCTCTGTTCCTTCTTTATGTTCCAAATATACTGAACTCTCTGTCAGTTCCTTGAACATGGTCCTAACCTCTGGGTCACTCTTACTCCTGCTTAGAACACTCTTCCTTTCCTCATTCAGCCTTGCCTGGCTCACTCTTTGTAATAGGCAAGATATTGCTAGCGGCTGTAAAAGACAAATCCAAAAATCTCAGAGACTTACCACAGTGAGAATGTATTTCTCATTTGCTTCAGAGTACAGTGATAGTATTTCTAGTTGGGAGGCCTTTTTGTGGCCATTCAGGGGCTCACACTCTATCCATCTCCATGGCTTCACCATCATGTAAGTCCTTGGAGATGCCTCCATTCAGTGGATCATGGGGAAAGAGAGAAAATGAAGAACCTCATGACTAAGTGTGAAAGTTGTGTGCTTCACTTACACACACACACACACACACACCTCCACCACATAGTCACTCAACATTATAGGTGAAACTGGAAAATATAGTCTATCAGTGTATCTATAGGAAACAGAAATGGAAGTCTCCACCACAGAACTTATACATTTTTAGGCCTTAGCTGTGACCGCCTTTCAGAGTATGACTTTGATTCTCTGCTCCCAAGTCTGTTTAGGTAATCCTTTTGGTACTCTCAAACTAGCATGTTTTCTAAGAGGCATAGAGCGTAGAAGCTAAAAATGCAGGTTTTGGAACTCATATGACTTTGCATCCCACCTCCGTTATTGATTAGTTATTGGATTTGAGCAAGTTACTTAATCATGTTATGGGCCTAATTACCTTTTTTGTAAAACTTGGGTATGAGTAGTGCTCCAGGGGTTGTGATGAGGACTAAATGAGATCATGCACATAGGGCAATTAGTGGTCATATACATATGCACTCACGTGTATACAAAGTAAATGTTTAATAAATATTAGTACTTGTACTTCTTTTGTTTATCGATTATGGCACATATCAGTCTATAAAGTAAATGTTTGTTGACTGGCCTGTTGAGTGTCATTCTGGAGCTTGCTCACAAGAGCCCATTGTATACATCTATTCTCAACTCCACTCTAAGTTACCTCATATTGGTAGCTTGAAATTGGCCATTGTGTGTGTATTTACACCACATAAATAGGCAAACACTATAAAATTTCAAGTTGTAGTTGTTCTTTTAACCTGTATACCACTGCTTCTGCATGCATTCCTTATTTGGTTCTGTGGGCGAAGTTCTATGGAGGCAAAGCCCAGCACAGTGCCTCACACATAGTGAGTACTCAATAATTATATTTTGAGCGACTGATTGAAAGTGTTGGGAGAATACAAACTGAAGAACTGTGGAGAGAGTGGAGCAAAGTAGTGTATGCACTGTATCTATTTCCTTTCCAAAATTCTAAGCAACAGAAGATTGAAGAGTTACCCAGTTTCCAAAGACTTACCCAACAGTATAAGGACATTTCTTAATTGAGTTGATTAGGAAGCCAAAAATAGAAGCAGTGCGGCCAGAATGCAGTAATAACATGTTTGTGTTCCCTAGTTATCACAGAGACATGCAAGATGGGATAAAAGTGAAGCTTCTTAGAGCATGAGATTCTGTCATTTACGACATCATGAATGGAACTGGAGATCATTATGTTAAGAGAAATAAGCTAAGCACAGAAAGACAAACATCACATGTTCTCACTTATTTGTTGCTCAGAACTTTTCGAAGGAAGTAGATGTGTTGCATGCACTGCTTTGCTCCACCCTCTCTACAGTTCTTCAGTTTGTATTCCTCCAACACTTTAAATCAGTCTCTCAAAATATAATCAAAAATAAAAATCAAAACAGTTGAACTCAGAGAGTAGGAGAATGGTTACCGGAGGCTGGGAAGGGTGAGTGGGGGAGAAGGAGGGAATGGTTAATGAATGCAAAAAAATTGTTAGAAAGAATGAATAAGACCTACTATTTGGTAGCACAACAGGTTGATATAGTCAATAATAACTTAATAGTACATTTAAAAAATAAGCAAAGTTTCTTAAGAAAAATGAGCTGGTAATTTCCTGAGAAATATAATAGAAGCAATGCAATGTAGAATAAAACACCATAACTGATCTTGTGTGGAGTTTCATCCACTGTAATGTTTTGGCAAGTTGAATTGACTAGTTTCATTTTCCAGTAATTGTTTTCCATGTTTCACTTGGTGCCAGGATCAGCTTGAGTGACTCCCTTTATTTTATACTTGGTAATTTTGAGGAGAGGGCTATTTATTAATTTATCATTGCAACTCATTCTGGAAAGTATCATAGTGTTTAGGGGCAGAAGACCTTAAGCAGTTCCCTGGTTTTCTCCTCTGCCCCCAGTGAAGGTATCAGGCTCACCTTTTCTTTCTCAGGGCATCTGGCTCATATTCAATAAATATTTTAAAGACTTATATTAGCCAATTACACCAGAATCCTTTTAATACAAACGGCAGTCTAATCAATTGTAAGAGATAAACAGCAGCTTTCCCATACTCACCCATCTATATAAAGGGTTTGCTTTTTTCCTCCCTCCCACCCTCCCTCCTTCCCTTCTTTCTTTCTTCCTTTTATTTTAAACATTTCAACCTAACCCCATGTCTATTACTTCACATATGTGACTTAGTACAGGTGGCCAGTGAGGGTTAGATTTTATTCTTCATCACCTCAAATGCAGTATTTTATGTACATAAAGACCACTTATTTCAACTTCTACTCATTTTCTCTGAATTTCAAAAATCCAATGCCCCATCCTTTTGTGTTATAAGTTCTACAACACTCTCAATCTCTGTTATATGAAAGGAGTCTCCTCATAGCAGTCATTGCTTTATGTTGAATTTCTTCTCAACCTGTCTCTCCTGTTCTCAAGAAATTCACAACCTAGAAAGAGAATTTTGTTTTATTGCTCTTGGTTTTTCCTGAACAGAAGGCAATATCTGGCACATAGGAGCTCTATAAATATGTCTTGAATGCCTGTATGTTTCATCAGTGAAAGAGAAGGCTGAGCCTTGTAGTACTTTTATATGCCCGTTAGTGCCGAGTATATAGAGTTCTTAGACACTGAAGGAAATTTAGAAATCTTTTAGGCCCCCAAATTCTCTCTTTTATACATAAGACAACTGAAGGCTCAAAGATCTTGACTAGGTTTCCTGAGGTCACACAACTTATAAGTGGCAGAGCTGAGATTTGAACCCAGTCTCCTTGTCCCAAGCTGAACTCTTTCTATAATCACTACAGCCGCTCTGTCTACTGCTGGGCGTATTCTGATGGATGGTGCTAGGTAGACTATGGTGATGCAGAAGAACTGATTAGGTCCCTTTTGGGGGTGAGTGCATCCTCTAAGAGTCCATTTAGCAGAAGAATAGCCATGAATTACTATTCTGAGGTTACAAAGGAGTGTCCATTTCTACAGGAAAGGGAATATACCATCAAATGGAGTCTAACTTATACTAATTACTGCTCCTTCTGATCCATTACTTCAGCTTTCGAGTTTATCCTCCAAAGCACAAAAGAAAAGAGACTGAAAAAGAATTCATTATTTAGAAAATTTAATCCAATCTGAAGCTGTGAAAATGCCAGTCTTGTTCCTATTAAGGGAGGAAATATCCATTTACTAGGATATTAAAATAGTTGCTATTTGCCTTTCTTTCAAATGGACTTTAAAAATACTCTGATGAGAGAATACAGCCACAGAAGAAACATGTCTGTCCAATCACAAGCACAGACAAGAATAAGCTAAAGATTAGAAAACTCTAGCAGGAAAATTACCTAACAACTAAGCCTGCCCCCACTCTGATTGATGTGCTCAGAATTTCCATTATTGAACTGAGCTACCACTGTGCTCTTTTGGCGTTTTCAAGTGCAGTACCTAGTGATTACGGGGTGTTTTTGTTTTTGTTTGTTTGTTTTGTTAAGCAAGATAATTCCCCAGGAGATAAGGATTCTGTCTGATGCATACTGTCTGATCAGAAACAAGAAAAATGATTCTAAAATACATGATTGTTTATGAGAGTCTTCCATAATTGAAATGAAGGGAAGGGAAGACATACAACATTTTTGCTGATGCTTTTTATTCCCCCCAAATTCAGGGCTACTGGACACTGTGTGACAGTATGTACTTGACAAGCTCAGCATGATAAAGAATAGTACAAGGAGGCTGTCAAGATGGCATGGCCCTCCTTTAGATGTTCCTTGATCCTTCGACAACTTTTAGGCACACATTGTAGGTCCCCAAGTCATTTCAGATTCACCAATATATCTGAGTGACAATCCATGAACTATATTTCTTTTGTATTCTTCCATTAAACATAGCACACAGCTTAGTACATAGATGGTGCTCAATAAATAATTGCTAGATTATCAAATAAGTCCTCTATATGATCTTGTCTTTAAAGTGCTTTCATTGACATTAATCTACTTGATCTATACTTCAGCCTTGAGATGTGGGATCTATTGATGTCATTTTACAACTGTGGAAGTTGAGCTTCAGTGAGATTTCATGACTTATCCAAAAAAGACATGAAGAAGCAATTCACAAAGAAGCATAAAAATAAGCATGATTAAATATTTGCAATTTCATTAATAATACAAATGCAACTAAATAGAATATACCATTTTCAGTCATCATATTAGCAAATATTTGGGCTTTTTATTATAAATTTAAGGGGTACAAGTGCAGTTTTGTTACATGAATATATTGCATCATGAAGTCTGAGCTTTTAGTGTAACCATCACCTGAGTAATGTACTTTCTACCCACTAAGTAATTTCTCATTCCTTCCACTTTCCCACCCTCCCACCCTTCCAAGTCTCCAATGTCTATTATTCCATACTCTTATGTCTATGTGTACACAATGTAATATTTAGCTCCCACTTAATAAGTGAGAACATGTGGTATTTCACTTTCTGTGTCTGAGCTGTTTTAGTTAATATAATGACCTCCAGTTCCATCCATGTTCCTGAAAAAGACATAATTTTATACTTTTTTATCTGAATAGTATTCCTGTGTGTGTGTGTGTGTGTGTGTGTGTGTGTGTGTGTGTGTATGTTTAGGTGGATTCCATATCTTTGTTATTGTGAATAGTTCTGCAATAAACATACAACTACAGGTTTTTTTAAATATATAATAATTTCCTTTGGGTAGATTCTTAGTAGTGAGATTGCTAGGTCAAATGGAGCTCTACTTTTAGTTCTTTAAGAAATCTTCACACTGTTTTCCATAGAGGTTGTACTAATTTACATTCCCGTAAACAGTGTACAAGTGTTAATTCTTCTCGGCATTCTTGCCAACATCTGTTATTTTTTGACTTTTTAATAGTAGACATTCTAATTGGTATAATATATTTCATTGTGATTTTAATTTGCCTTTCTCTGATGATTGGTGATGTTGAGTTTTTTTCAAACTCTTCTTGGCCATTTTTATGTCTTCTTTTGAAAAATGTCTATGTCCTTTGCCCACTTTTTAATGGAATTATTTGTTCTTTGTGGTGGTGGTTGTTGAGTTGCTTGAGTTCCTTGTAAATTTAGGACATTAGTCCCCTGTCATACGCATAGTTTTCAAATATTTCTCCCATTTTGCAGGTTGTTTCTTCACTATTTCTTTTGCTGCGTAGAAGCTTTTTAGTTCGATTAAGTCTCATCTGTCTATTTTTGTTTTTGTTGCTTGTGCTTTTGAGATCTTAGTTATAAATTCTTTGCTAGACCAATGTCCAGTAGAGTTTTTCCTATGTTTTCTTCTAGTATTTTTATAGTTTTAAGTCTTATATTTAAGTCATTAATATATCTTGCACTGATTTTTGTATATGGTCAGAGATAGGGATCCAGTTTCATTCTTCTGCATATGGCAGTCCAGTTTTCCCAGCACCATCAATTTTAAAGGGTATCTTTTCCACAAATACTGGATATTGATAGAAACATGGAAAAACAGAAGCTCTTGAATACTTTTAGTGTGAGTATAAATTAATACAACCATTTCAGAGGTCAATTTGTCAATAAGTACCACCATCCTTGAGAATTTACAAACTATTTGTTCAGGGAATTCTGCTTAAAGACATTTATTTTGAGAAAATAATTACACAAGATATTTGTAAGCATGTTTATTAAAGCATTGTTTATACCAAAGAAAAATAGATGTAAGCTAGATATCCACCAATGAAACAGTGATTAATCTGCATGTGAATTGGTTAATGTAGGTATATCCATGTATTGAAAATTAATATATGTATATCTTGTGTTCATAAGTTAATTAGACTAATTTGATAATATTTATTGGTATAAAAAAGCTTTCATGGCATTATCTCAAGAAAACAGTTTATGAAATACTTTGTATAATGTGGTTGCTTTTTGTTTGCTGTGGACTTATGTAGATATCACATGCTCATGTGTATATGTTCATGTATAAGGAGGGATGCACCAACTTATATGTTAACATATCAGCCCTCTGGGTGGTAAGAATTTAGGTTAATTTTATTTTCTTCTTTATTCTTTTCTATATTTTATGTGTGTGGGCATTTGAAAAAATATTGCATCCTGTTTTTTTCTCTTATGGTTTTGATTTATTCATTGTTTAAAAATATTTTTCTTTTCAGGACTATCTGAGAGCACCTGGTGTTTTGGGAAATTTTATTTTTGTTGGCTCTTGAGTTTGCCAGCTCACTCACAGTAGATTTTTTTTTTTTGTCTGTTAATAACTCTGTGAGCTCATTTTACCTGGGCCTTATCTATGGAAATTTTATGTGGCTTCATAGAAATTGTTTCCCTAAGGGAATTTTCCATCCAACCCAATGGTATTACCAGGTAGGGACACTTTTTATATTAATTTCTCAATTTGAGGCTTCCCTGACCATGAAAGTGGTGTACATTCACTTACCAAAGCAATATGAGGGCAGGCTCTTGTTGCAAATTCTCGATTTTGAACTTCCCACTTAGGGCACAAGTAGAAACATACAAGCTTCCTGCAGTCTTCCTGAGTTCGTGGTCAGTTCTTCTTTTGTTTCTCAGTTCACACTTTCATCTTCTCTTCCCTTACTTTTAGGTTCTCATTTTTCCTTTTGGTCTTTTTTATCTTCACCCAGATCTTTTCATTTTTCCCATTTATTTATTTCCCTGTCATTACCAACTTCCTCACCTCATCCTTCTCTCCATCCATGTGAGGGTCTAAATTCAACTCTTACCCAGGTTGGAGCCCAGGAATTCACCCACCTCCTACAACTGGACATTAAAACTCAGGTTTCTTAGTTCCTGGAGATGGCATACTGTTGCATGATCCATTGTGTTTCTTTTAACTGTGACCATGCTGGCTCACAAACTGGCTGCTTTCTCTAGCTTTATCCTTGTTTTTTGGCTTTTTATTATTTCCTTCACTTTCCTAAGAGCTCAGCTATGTATTTAAAATAATATCATATTTTATCAAGCTTTACTATGTGTTTTGCAATACAGATTTTCAAGTTATGTCTTAGAAATGCAAATCTTATATAAATATGGAGAAAAACAATAAGCTGTTACATTTTGGGAAACAAAAAATGATTTGCCCAAGGTCATAAATTGGCAGAGGCAAGATTTGAGTGTAGGTGTTCTGACTCCAAATCTTAAAATCTTTTTCCCTGTGTCCACTGACCCAGGCCTCTTCAAAAATGAGCACAGTGAGTAAGGCAGAGAGGCAATGAGCATATCAGAAGGCCGAAGGTCTAGGTCTTTTCAATAAATTTGTCACCTGTGTGATCTTGAGTAAATTTTATTCTCAGATCCTTAGTTTCATTATTGGTGACATCAGAATAACATTTAAGTTTGCTTATTGCCAATCTTGCTATTAGGACATCCATCAACAAAAGACTAAAAGTTCTTAAAAGATGATTAGAAAGAAAAAATAACACAAAAACAAAACAAACGCCCCCTCCCCCCATGTGTTTTCTTAGGACGGGATGGGATTGGGGGATTGTGTTTTGTGGAGGTGTGGGTAATGTTACAGATAGGTTGATCCTGGATATTTTGTTCATAGCTCACTCTTTATTTCCCTTGTCATCCTTTGTTATCAAGATTTCCGATTTCCATATGGTCCTTTCCATTTTTTCGTCTTTACAGTGCCATCTGATATTGCCAATATTTGTGTTCTGTCCATCAATTATTCTAACATTTATTAAAACCCTTTCTGGGGTTACAGAGAGATCATAGACTGTG
This sequence comes from Homo sapiens, assembly GCF_000001405.40. Classification (NCBI taxonomy): domain Eukaryota; kingdom Metazoa; phylum Chordata; class Mammalia; order Primates; family Hominidae; genus Homo; species Homo sapiens. The sequence goes on from NC_000011.10 coordinate 109,361,512, forward strand.
AAGGAAATGGCTGAGTAGACTCACTGGCAGTCCGGTGAGATGAGGGTTAGACAGAGATGAACACAGAGGGCTGGGAGATCCAAGGGAAGGGAACTTCTTTCCACCTCTCTCCCATAAAATCATATCTGTCCTGTGTACTAGTCTAAAAAAGTCCTACCCCTAGCTAGATGAGTCAATAGATCAGAAAAAAAAAAAAAACTGACCTAGTTTGATAAAGGCTGTTAATTTCTATTCTTCAGGAAATAGGTTTTCTAGGGACAGTGCTCCAGTTTGAAGGAGTGATACTGCTGGTGGGGAACTCGGGCAGCCAGGCTGGCAGAGGGATTGTTTTGGTGCAGGAAAGCTTCTAATACATACCCCAATCACATCTTGTCATTTAACTACAGCAACAGATGGACTAGAAGAACCCTGAATGGACAGCTCAAGCTAGGTTTTTGCTTTAGAGCGACCTGACCAACATTGACAAGGTCCATTTTTTTCAGAAGAGGTAGCTTTATATACAGGTGGGAAAAACTTTCTTCTATGAAATGCTATTCATATTTGTAACATGTACCTTTGGTGTGATCTTGTTGGAACAATATCACGTATGAGTATTGTGCAAAATTCAGTTTTGCTGTGACCTTTCAGATGACCTGAGATGCCTCTATTTTTAGATCTGAGTTTATCAAAGTTATAGGCTACGGTAAACTTGTCCTACTGAGTAATCTGCTCAAGGAAATCAGGGGTTGGTAGAGAGAGTGGGGGTGGTTGAAAGGGGGTGACTAATCCTAGAATAGGTTAAAAAAACAAAACACTCAAAGTAGAAATATTAAAAATAGAGAAGCCTCCAGGACCAGATGGTCAGAATTGTGAACAAGCCTGGGGACAAAATTAAATAAACTCTCGGGGAAATATTTTGTCATCCTTCTAGAAGCCTGGATGGGCACTCAGAATTGCTAAAGAGCTTCCTGTGCCCCCTCCTCCATATAAAAGCTGCCGTAGTGAGAGTTAGCTAAAATCTGACCTACTTTCCAGGAAACTTTTTTGGTGAGATAGAAAAGGAAAGAAAACATGAAATGGTATCAAGTCAGTGGGGTGCAGAGATAGAAGCAGTGGCTTTGCTGTTAAGAAACCTGGACAACAGTGCTAGCTAACTCTGTCAATAATAATAAGATGACAACTGACAGTTATTGTGTGCTAAGTGCACTATATATGTTACTTCACTAATGATTTAAGAACCTCAAATGTACAGGGCTATTGCCCCCATCTTTCTGATACAGAGACACTGAGAAATGTTACATACCTTGTCTGATACTCCACAGCTACTAGGAAGTGGAGCCAAGACTTGAACTTGGGTCACAGCTTAGAATAGGCTTCTAACCATATGCTTCACTGACTCATTTACCTACCTGACTGACCTTTGGAAAGTCACTTCCTCTCTCAGCTTCATTTTATTTTATTTTATTTTTTTACCATCAAGTGACCCAGCTAGACTTTCCCATCTGTTAATAAGTAAGTGCATAATTATTAGTTTAATGTTCATCTCTCCCTCTCAGATTCTAACTGCCACAAGGACAAGGGCTTCATTGGAATCGCCATATTACCAGCACCTAGCACAGCATCTGTCTGGCATATGGCAGATGCTCAGTAAATATTCACTGAATGAATAAATGAACCATAACAAATCTCTTTCACTTGTAAATCCTAAGATCCAACAACAGAAAAGTCAGATAAACCTTTTGCACCAATCTCCCCTGTTTCTGGAGGGTCTTGCCCAGAGGGACATGGACTTGCTTGTAGGTTTCTCTGTGATTCTCTGCTCTTGGAGCCAACACTAATTTCTGCAGGACAATTTCTATTCCAGATCTAACATTGTCACATTTTAAAGTCTCTTGATGTAATTTAAGAAACAATGGCCTAGTCGATATCAAGAACTTTAAAAGCCCATCCTTACTATTGGACCAGAAGTGAGATCAACCTCCACCTAATAGGAACTTAAGGGTTTAACCCCCTCCCCTACTGTTCTTTCTCCATAAAGCCTTCAGGACTGCTACAGTTGACCTTCTCTTCTGAGGACCACAGTGTGCAGCTTCACAAAATCCAGTATTACAAAATTCAGTACTTGTTCTCACCTTCTGTATTTAACAACTTCCTTGTCTGCACGCGCTTGCTTTTCTTACCAACCACTAAACAAAAAGGTGGGCTGATCACATGATTTATAAAGGTCTCCAGAGTGAAAAGGAAGGTAATCTGGAAGTTCATGAAGCTGACGAAAGATAAGACGTGGCTCAATCTACTTCCTTGCTACTTGTAGATGGCTGGAGAATGGCTATGCCTTGGCTTATTTCAGCAGCAACCTTGCTAATGGTGTTCTCAAAACTGTATTGTGAAGCTATTGCAGTTGGTGACGTCAGTCTGTTTTTCAAACAGACCCTGAATTTGTGTGCATTAAGATATTAGAAACCTCTGTGCTTTCTTCTGTTCTTAATTTTATAAGTGTCTGGATAGTAAATACTATACCTTGATTACCTTTTGTATTCATTGTAGAACAAATGATTTACAGGGTCTTTCAGTGCTAACATTCTGGGATTCATTTGCTTATATTCAGACTTTTAGAGGGTCACTAGGGTTGGGGGGTGGAGAGTAGGGAAAGCTGGAAACTGTGTTCTGACCCGGGAACCATTGATGTTATTTATATAGTCTCTCCCATTGGTTATTAATATTCTGGATGAATAATAGAGCCTGATGTCTGCTTTCTATTGAAGATCTTCATTATCATTGTTGTTTTAAAATTTTTATGGGTTTGGGGGTACAAGTGCAAACTTCCTACATGCATATATTGCATAATGAGAAGTCTGGGCTTTTAGCGTACCCATCACCTGAACAGTGAACATTGTACCCAATATGTAATTTTTTCATCCCTTGCCCCTCTTACACCATCCTACCTTTTGTAGTCTCCATTGTCTATTATTATTCTACTTTGTATGTTCATGTGTATCTACTGTGTAGTTCCTACCTGTAAGTGAGGAGATGCAGTCTTTGGCTTTCTGTTTCTGAGGTATGTGACTTAGAATAATGTCCTCCCGTGATGTCTACTCTTTTACTGTCTTGGGGATTCAACCTCATATTTCTTTTTCAAATTGTATGTTAAGCTTGCTGACTAGCAAATCTCAGGACAGTTTGGGGTAGAATTTTTCAGGGACATTTTGTAAAATTGATTTATTTTTCTTCATTAATTTTTCTTCAATATAGAAAGCCCAGTTCTGAAACATTAGTTAACAAAGAAAATATTTTCACTTGTCAACAAAGGAATTGAAAACCTTGTTGTTTTAACATTTCCCAGAAATCAATAGCTATAGTCATGTTCTTTATGAGCAAAAAATCTTCCCACTGTCCTATTATGGAAAGGAACGACTTACTGAAGGCAGAGCTGAGGCTCAGAGAGTTGCTAGGAGTAGGGGCAGAGGGCGGAACTCATATGTCAAATGACAGAGCTGAACTTTCATCTTATTTACATTTTGTGGATGTCAAGTTCTGAAGTCTGGTGCTCTTGTCCTTGTCTCAAACTGTCACCACTCCTGCCAAAAGTGTAATAAAGGAGATGCATTGATTATTCAAACTTCATGTTCAACATATTACATTCTTTTGTATCTGTCATTTCTAGACATCTTTCCTCATACCTATCTTGATCCATCTAATGAAAGCGTATTTTGTCTCATGATGATCTTCTACATTAAGAATTTTTGTGGAGGTGGGGCGCAGTGGCTTACGCCTATAATCCCAGCACTTTGAGAGGCTGAGGCGGGTGGATCACTTAAGCTCAGGAGTTCAAGACCAGCCTGGCCAACATGGTGAAACACCATCTCTACCAAAAACACAAAATGAGGTGGAGGTTGCAGTGAGCCAAGATTGTGCCACTGCACTCCAGCCTGGGTGACAGAGCAAGACTCTATCTCAAAAACAAAAAACAACAAAAATAAAAAAAAGAATTTTTGTGGAAACTGAGGGCCTTTTGGGGAAATTTCTTAGTTTGCTTTCTGGAAATTCATTCATTTTAGAATACCACGACTCAGTAGTATTAAGTTGTATGTATGCATTACAGTTTTGTTAAGCATTTGTCAATTTATGGACATTGGTGTTGTTTTCTTTTTTCTTTTCTTTTTCTTTGTTTTTTGAGATGGAGTTTCGATCTTGTTGCCCAGGCTGGAGTGCAATGGCGCCATCTCAGCTCACCGCAACCTCCACCTCCCGGGTTGAAGCAATTCTCCTGCCTCAGCCTCCCGAGTAGCTAGGATTACAGATGCCTGCCACCACACTTGGCTGATTTTGTATTTTTAGTAGAGACAGGGGTTCTCCATGTTGGTCAGGCTGGTATCGAACTGCTGATCTCAGGTGATCCACCTGCCTCAGCTTCCCAAAGTGCTGGGATTATAGGATCACTCCTATAATCCACTGCACCCGGCCATTATAGTTGTTTTCAATTTGAGGCTATTATAAATAAAACTGTTCTGAACATTTTGTACAAGGTTTTGGGTGAACATACATTTCCACTTTTTGGATAAGTGTCTAAGAGAGCAATTGCTGGGTCGATGGTACTTGCATATTTAGTGCTATAACAGATTGCCAAACTGTTTTCCAGAGTAGTTGTCCTATTTTACAGTCCCATCAGCCATGCATGAGTTTCCCACATCCTTGCCAGCATTTAGTTTTGTTACTATTTTTTTTTACTTTAGCCATTTGTAGGTGTGCAGTGAAATCACACTGTAGTTTTAATTTGCATTTCTCTGATGGTTAATGGTGTTGGACATCTTTTCATGTACTTATTTGCCATCTGTATATTCTCTCTGGTTAGGTGTCCACTTATATCTTTTGCTAATAGACCTTTTGAATATCCTCATTTGTGAAGTATATGTTTAGCATTTTTTTCCATTTTTTCTACTGAGGTTTTGATATTTTTTGTTTTCTTTTTTAATTTATAAAAGTTATTTATATAATCTGGATTTATGCCATTTTTCAGATATATATATATTGCAGATACCATCTCCCATCTGTGAATTGCCTTTTTATTCTCTTAATGGTATCTTGCAATAAATGGGAAATCTTAATTCTAATGGAATCTGATATAACAAAATTTTATTTTATAATTAACACTTTTTTGGATCTTACTAAATCTCTGACTACTTCAAGATTGTGAAAACGTTTACCTGTATATTTCCTAAAATTTTTATTGTCATTTTTCTATTCTCTTGAAGATTATGCATAAATGTTGTCAATTTTTTAGTGTAAAGTTTTTTTTTATGTCTGAAAGATCTGAAGTTATGTCCTGTTTTCATTGTTACTAGTAATTTGTGCTTTTCTTTCTTTTTCTTTTGATCAGAGTTGATAGGAGTTGATCAATTTTATTTATTTTATGGGGAAACATTTGGGTCTTGTTTTCTCTTGTATTGTGTTTTCATTCATTAATTTCACTTATTTTGTTGTTTTATTTTTTCTACTTTTCATAGATTTGGTTTTCTGGGGCTTTTTCAGGTAACTGAGGTGATAGCTTAAATAATGATTTTCTACCTTTATTTTATAATATTAACTTATAAAGCTAGTAATTTCCCTCAAAGCCTTGCTTTAACCGTGTTCCATAACTATTTATATTTTGTCATATCTTCATCATCATGATTCAGTTCAAAATGTTTTCAATTTTCTTTTTTGATTTTTTCCTTGAATCATAATTTATATCTAAGTATATTGTTTAATTTCCATGCAATTGTATTTAATTCTATGCAATTGGATTTTTTCTGGTTATCTTTTTGTTATTGAATATAGTTTAATTTCATGTAGCCAGGAAATATACATTTTAAATTTAGGTGTTTTAATTGTATACAAAGAGTCATCTTTTGCTATTAAGAAAGACTCAACACATCTCAAAAGATAGAAATCATTTAGGGTATATGTTTCATGAATACATAGAGCTATAATAAACCTCTAAAATAAGGGATATGAAGGATTGATAAACCAGGAATTCAGGATAATGGTTACCTTTTGAAGGGGGAATGAGAATAGATAAGGAATGGACCAGGCACCAAGCAGTTAGAAGCACATTATTGTAATATTCCTAGTTTCCATTTTGAATTGTGCATTCATAGATATTTATTATATGTTTAATATAAACAATCAGTATGTTTATATAACATAATATTTTACTGTTGAGACCTATTTCAAACATATAGAAAAGGACTGGAAATTGTAACTCCCCCACAACACAAGATTAAATTATGTTAGCATTTTGCTTTGTTTCAGGTGAGATTTTTCTTTATAACCTTTAAAAAATAATATGTAACAGATACCACCAAAGATTTTTAACCTATTCTTTTCTTCTTATTTCTGTACTAGAGAGAACCACTACCCCAAAATGATATGTGTTATTCCCCCATGGAAGTTTGTATACTTTTACTACCTTTGAATATAATGATAAATTATAATGTATTGTTTGTGTGCTTATTTTTAAAAATACTGTTATATTTTGAAACTTACTGAGAATATATTTTATTGTAACTTCTATATAATCTATTATATAAATAAATCAGTTTGTTTGTCCATTCCTCAACTTTTTCATTTTTATGAATGGTAAATATTCCTTTTACATTTATATTTGTGTATATGTGAATATCTCTGGGGTATATATATAGTAGCCAAATTTTATTTGATATTGTAAGATTGGTCTTCAAAATGACTTTAATAAATTACGTGGTTACTAACAATGCACAAAAAGTAACATTTCCTTACATCCTTGCCCTACTTGATGCCCATTTAACAAAACTTAGATTTTCCGAAGTCCAGACTAATTGAACATCTTTTCAAATACATATTGGTTAAGAATTTTCTGCAATTGTGTTTCTCTCTGCCTTATTTCTTACATCTTTTGCCTTATTACTATGAATCTATTTGCCTTTTAAATACTGATTTATAGTGGTGTATACGCACGCATATTTTGTATGTTCTGTGTACTAATCTTTTGTAAGTTTTATGTATTACAAATATATTATTAGAAGCTATGTCTTATCTTTACACTTTATGACATGCCATTCAAAAGTTTTAACTGTAACACAAGCAGATTTATCACTTTCTATTTTGTCCTTTTACTATCTTACTTAATAAGTCCTTCCATAAGCTACAGGTCATGAGCATTTTTTTCTGTATGTTCTAAAAAACTTCATATTTTATTTTTTAAATATAGCTTTTAAATCTACTTGTTGTTTCTTGTGGATTTTCCATGTAGATAATCATGCCATCTGTAAACAAAGAGAGTTTTGTTTCCTTCTTCCAAATCTGTATATGTTTTATTTGTTTTTCTTATCTTATTGCATTACCTAGGACTTATATTATAGTATGATATTGAAAAGGATTGGTGGAGGGAGTATCCTTTACTGTTCCTGGCCTTAGCAGGAAAATTTCTAATTTCTCACCATTAAGTATGATGTTAAATGTAGGTTTTGAAGATGTTCTTTATTAAGTTGAGAAAGTTCCCTTTTATTTCCAGTTTGCTGAGAATATTTTTTTAATCATGAGTGAGTCTTAGATTTTGTCAGATGCTTTTTTCTGTATCTCTTGGTATGATCACATGATTTTTCTTCTTATAGCCTGTTGATATGATGGATCACATTCATTGATTTTTGAATGATGAACCAGCCTTGCATATCTGAGATAAATCCCAGCTGCCAGTGGTATGTAATTCTCTTTATACATTGTTGGATTTGATTTGCTAATATTTTGTTAAGGATTTTTACATCCCTGTTGAGAGATATTGGTATGTAGTTTTCTTGTAATATTTTTGTGGTTTTAGTATTAGGATAATGCTGGCTTCACAGAATGAGCTAGGAAGTATTCTCTGCGCATCTGTGTTTTAGAACAGATTGTAGAGAATTGGTATAATCTCTGCCTTAAATGTTTAGTAGAGTCTCCCAGTGAACCCATATTGTTGCTCCACTTCATGTCTATTTTCTCTGCCTGGAAAGCTCTTCCTCATTTATTATATCCGTAAAACTGTGACTTACCCCTTCTTTCTCTTTTTCTGGGAAAAAATTACCATATATGTATTTTTTTCTCTAAAGTGCCGGACACCAGGTCTATGATCCACTTTCTACCACCTTTCACTTTGCCTCTTGAGGTCTCTCTTTTTGGAAGTATGCCTGCTATGTGAGGCAGACTCCTCAACTCCCTCCTTTTCTTCTCTTTTGAAGACATGGCCATAGGTCATTTTTAGTGCAACAGTCTTTATTGCTTATCATTGTGGAAAAAGATAATTAAAGGTGCAACAAAAATGGTTAACAAAATGTAATATAATTAAAGGTGGAATTGATCTTTTTTGGTTCTTAGAATAATAATTTTTGCCTATGTTTCTCCTTTTTTGAGTTTTTAAATTTACAAAATAAGATAGGCAAGGTGGTAGTGTGGTAATAAATAACCCCCAAATATCAGTGGCTAATCACAGAAAAGTTTGTCTTTCTCATGCTACATTTCCATCCAACATGGTCACTCAGGGACCCACACTAATGAAAGAGCAACCAATTCCAATACTGCTGGCTGTGGCACTGGAGAACAAAAAGACTTTAGGGCAGGTGAGGAGTTTCACTCTGGTCTTCAAGTGACACAGATTTTTCTCTCAAAACTCATTGAGCAAACCTAGTCATGTGACCCCCCCTTGATAACAAGGCAGTCAGGACATAATGAAAAATTTGCAAATATATGGGGGAACAAAATGTTAATTCCTATCACAGTGAACAAAATTATCTTTATATTTCTAGAGAAGGTCTCCCAACTCTAGCCTTTCTCCAAATTTAGGGGAAAAGCATTGCAACCTCCTCCTCCTCACAATATGAAGTAAAGTTGCTAAGAATATCTGGATAAAATTATACACATATTCATGTTTTATGAAGACAAAGACAGTTTTCACTTTTAAGAATATTAGAATGAGAGATACCTATTTCAGGGACCTCTGATTCACACAGGAATAGTTCCCTTTATGCATTTGGAGTATATTCTTAACTCTATCTGTAAACCTAGGATTAATAATAATAATCAATAGAATAATAATAATGAAACCTGACAATAATTTGGTGATTACTATGTCCCAAACATAATCTAAGACATTTATATGTATTAATTCATGTAATTCTCACAACCCTCTGTAGTAGATAATAACAGTATTCCCCTTTTATAGATGAGGAAACCATTATAGAACACAAGACTGTGAGAAAACTTGCCCAAAGTCCTGCAGCTAGCAAGCCAAGGAGTTGGGCTTTTATTTTGAGCATTCTGACTCAGTTACCATGGTAGATGTATTAGTTCATTCTCACACTGCTATAGAGAACTCCTTAAGACTGGGTAATTTATAAAGAGAAGAGGTTTAATTGACTCAAAGTTCTGCATGGCTGGGGATGCCTCAGGAAACGTACAATCATGGCAGAAAAGGAAGCAAACACGTCCTTCTTCACATGGCAGCAGGAGAGAGACGTGCCAAGTAAAAGTGGAAAAAGCCCCTTATAAAACCATCAGATCCCGTGAGAACTCACTCACTATCATGTGAAAAGCATGGGAAGACTGCCCCCATGATCTAATCACGTCCCACGAGGTGGGGATTATCCCAACACGTGGGGATTAAAATTCGGATTACAATTCAAGATGATATTAGGGTGGCGGTGCAGAGCCAGACCATATCAGTAGATTAGCTTTCTGTCTTTCACTTTCTTCACTAGGCTACTTGATGTGCTCATATTATTTATTTTATCTTGATTTTGTGATATCTTCCTTCATCTAGACTGGTACCCTTAGTATAAACCAATATGCAAACAATAGCTTCCCTGCATCAGAGACAAACTTTACTGATTTTTCCCTCCTTCCTCACTAATATAAGATCTTTTAGTCTGTTTTTAGGTATTTTTGAAGCATTTGATAATCTTAGCCACGTTGAACCAATGCCATTGATAAAATGTCATGGGCCATGCCACTGACTCACTACTAACATCCTAAAGTAGGTTATCTGCTCCATTTTCCTTATCAGTCATGATCCAGTCATAAGGAAGGACCACTTTAGGCATTTCAAAAGAGGCATTTAGTAAAAGGAATTGGCAAGGTCTGGGAGGGGAAGAGTCAAACAGGAAGTAGTGAGGTAACCTAGTGTTTATAAACAGCAGAAGGCTACCACTGTCTCCAGGGCTAGGAAGACAATGGGAGGAAATTTGTTTCCAAAATCCAGAGACAGGACTATTTAATAAAAGTCAGACCAAGACAGGGCTGCCTAGCATACCTGGGATCACAGGAGGGGCTGTCTAGTGGTAGCTTGAACCATGGCAAAAAAAAAAATCTGCTAAAGTTTCTACCCAAGGTATTAAAAGAGATGAAAAATGCCCTGGCTTCTCTCTATCTGCTCTCTGGCATTCTACCAGATCCCCCCCACCCCCCCACATTGGCTAAGTATTTCCAGATGCCAGTTGAAAAGAAAGCCTAAGAAGTGTAGTTCCATGTGATACAGAGGAAACAAGGGGAAAGTCAGATAAAGGATTTGATAACAAATAGGCAATTGACTAATTGACTGACACACCAAACAACTCTGTAATTCTCTCTGAAACAAAGTGATAAATTGTATATAGCTCAGTCGGTATCATTAAAAATTCATTTCTCTCTTAAATCTATGTTATGTGATACAATCAGCTTGAATACATTTTTCACTTTTAAAGTGAATTATTTGATATAATGTAGACACAGCCATAGTAAAATAAAAATTTACTAGTACATACTCTAGAGATGATTTAGAGTGTATGGGAGGATGTGTGTAGTTTACATGTAAATACTATGCCATTTTATGTAAGGGACTTCAGCATCCTGAAATTTTGATAGCTGTGAGGGCCCTGGAACCAGTCCCCCATGGATACCAAGGAACAACTGCATTTTATTTCAGGATTACTCACTGTGTTCTCCTGTGAACGCCCAGGAATAATAGTTTTCAGTTGATATGTGGAATTATGATCCTTAAGGGCAAAGTGGAGATCTATGACTGTCTATGTGACATAAATTTTTCTTGTTAAAAAGTTAGAACAAACAAACTGGTTTTGGTGAGTCATATAGAACAGCACTTCCCAAATTGTGTTTTATACACTAATCTTTTAAGATGTCCCATGGAAAAAAAAACTATAGTAAAATAAATTTGGGGAATGCTGCATAATGTATCCTCTTATAGGAAACTCACCATGTCTAAAGAGTTGATGACATTTGGAAAAAAATTAATTCTGCTTAAGCCAGCATTTCAAAATAATACATTTTAAAGGAAGAGTCAGTCTCCTGCCATCAAGCAGGTGAGAGGTAGTAGGTGTCTGAACTAGGACCGTGACCACAGCGTTGATGTGATAGGTGGAGATGACAATGGGACATTGAATTGATGAAGACTGCCTTCAAATTAGACTGGGAGTGGTACTAACTTGGAGAAGTCAAGAGAAGCCAAAGAGATCTTTGGCAAATTTTATAATTTTGAAAGTTATCAAGAGAATAGTTGTGTTAATAACACACATGGGGATGTATAAGAATATTTATTGCAGCATCATTTATAGAAGTAAGAATCTAAAAACAAAGAAATACTCATCTGTCATAATTATTGAATATAATAACATATTAAATATATACTGCAATACATATAGGATTATTACACCCCTATTAAAAAGAATGAGTAGCCTCTATACTAATAGATTTGGAAAAATTTACATGATGTTCAGTGACAAAAGCAAGTACGCAGAATATGGATCAATTTTAGCCAAAAAAAAAGAAAAGATATGAGAATGTTAAAAAATGTATTCATCATGATAGATTCCATTGCTCTAACAAATAATCCCAAAATATTAGTGGCTTAACATAATAAAAGTGTGCTTCTTGCTCATGTCATAGTCCAGTGTGGGTCAGCAGGAGTTCTTTGTTTCTCTCCATTCAGCTGGCAGATGGAGAAGACAAGGATCAGGTGTGGATGGATGGTTTGTTTCTTCATATGCGTCAGGTTTTGTAGAGGCACACATTACTTTCACTCATACTCCTTTGGTCACACCTGACTGCAGGAGAGGCTGGAAAATAAAATCCAGGTATGTGCACAGGAGGGAGGAGGGAGTGCAGATATTGGTAAATATTATAAATCTCTTCCCCAAAGAGTCATTATCAGTAATAACCTGCCTGTGGTGGGGTTTGAGAGTTAGGGGAAATAAAATAATCAGAATAGACACCAAAGTCAGGCTGGGATATTGAGTAAGGAAATAATGGATTTAACTTTGGGGATAGTCGGGTTTGCTGGGAAGACCTTACTGGTGAGTTGCAGTAGGCAGTGGGGATTGCAAATAAATGATGGAAGAGAAGCAGGAGCTGGGGTCAAGCATTGAGTCATTTGCCTAAGTTGAAGCACATGCAAACTGAAGAGGCTACCAAGGGCTGAGGATAGAATATCCATTGCCTTCTATTAAAGAAAACGGGAGGAGGAAACCAAGGAAGCAAGCACAAACTACTTAGAGAAGTAGGAAGAAAATCCAGTTACTATTAGGGCTGTGGATGCTGAGTTTGATATACTCATTCAGGTTCTGAGCCACAGTGATGTGTTTTTATGAAATAATTCTAGAAGGCAAGATAGCTGAAGAATTTATTGCAGTAGGTAAGACCCTACAAAGAATTAGAGTAGGTTTTTGAGATAGAATGTGCCTCTGGCAGCTCATTTTCTCTTGAGTCAGCACTTCTCTCTCCAAGTCTCTTTCCCTTGCTTTGACTTTTTGCTCCACTGAATGACTGACTGTCTTTCTCTGTGCAGCTAACATTCATACCTTCCAAGAGAAGAGTTTATTGATTTGGGTAATTGTAATACAATGCAGAGTGCTCTTGTGGGTAAAGGTCTCTTACCAGGCCTCCTTAAATGCTGTTGGCAGGACTTCCAGTACAAACATGGTAGGTTAGCTCAGATTCCATTCCTTTCTTCTTCAGGGAATAAAACCAAAGAGAATTAAATAAAATATTTAATATGTAATATACACAAACTTTATTTTCAGTGAAACCAGGAGACACGTAAGTCTGGAAGCTCCAAATATTGCATAATGGCAGCCAAAAGCATCTACGAGGCAGAGCTGTGAGGGAAGCTGTGTCGGGTGTGGTGGGGAGTTGGGCAAGAACTGCCAAGGTACTCAGGGCACCAAATGGCAACAGACTTCAGGAAGAACTTGTACAATGCTTCCCCAAAGAAACCAAACCTAAAAGTACAGATGTTAAAATTTAAGCTGATGCTGCTGTGAAAAGAATTTATCTCCAACAGGGCTAGGGCCAGATAGTAGTCACCTGCACCGGGGCAGGTGAAGAGCAAAAGTGCAGAAAGGATCACAGAGGAGTGATTAGGATTCAAATGTACAGATTATAGGGAAATAGTTTTGAAAGAATTTAGGCAGTAATTGCTTCATGAATCCTTCTTAAGAAACGTACTACAAACAACCAAGAGATGGCCAGAAAAATTTTGGCAAAAGACTTATGGTGAGCACTGGATAGATACACCATTAGAACTAAATGAAAAAAAAAAAAGGGAAAGAGAAAAAGCAATTTTGGAATGAAGAGGTGGAAAGTATATTAAGCACGTTGATTGCTTCCTTCTGGCTCCAATTAGATCAGCTATATGTGTGTTTGTTATAATTATTGTTTGAGAAAAGCCAAAAGATTTAATGTGGAAAACAAACTTGAACATTACCAAGCAAGGTGACCAGCGTCTTTCACTAACTGATATTCTAGGGATTGGTGTTTATTTTGCAGGCAAAGCTGCCACATCACATTAATTAGACTTGTGGAAACTTGTGTTTGTCCTTTTAGAGATGACTGAGGGTGGATGGGAGCTAGCATGTGACCTGCAATCCTGGGAAGATCCTTCCAAAGCCTATTTTCATGGGGACTGCGTGGGTGTGGATTCTGCCTGGGACCCCAATGTTGGGTCTTCACAATCCTGGCTGCAGACTCTTCTTCCTTTGATTTCTGTCAGGTTCATTTTGGTTCACTGAGTACATTTCTCTGTGAGACTGATAAAGATGTCTGTCTCTCTCTTTCCCAGTCCTGCATCTCCTCAATTGTTCTTTTGATTTTGTATGTCCCAGAGCCCTTGCTGAGCACAGCTTTAGGAAGATTTGAGGGTGTAAATGGCAGGGGTGGCAGGGGAGGCCAAATCCTCTATCACCCTGGGGAAACTTCGGGCTTTTATTTTTATTTTTTTATTATTATTATACTTTAAGTTTTAGGGTACATGTGCACAACATGCAGGTTTGTTACATATGTATACATGTGCCATGTTGGTGTGCTGCAATACCATTTGACCCAGCCATCCCATTACTGGGTATATACCCAAAGGATTATAAATCATGCTGCTATAAAGACACATGCACACGTATGTTTATTGTGGCACTATTCACAATAGCAAAGACTTGGAACTTCAGGCTTTTGTATTGTCTACAACTGATTTGTTATGAGCTTATTTTAATTAAGCCTCATAGTGTATGCTGAGTAGGTCTTTTAGAAGTAAATATAGAAAACAAAAGGGAAAAGAAAAAAGGTAAGTTAATTTTCCAATAGTACAAAAACAAACCTGTCAGCTTAGTCAAATCAGTCAGATTTTATTTCCATGAAATGAATTCATCACTTTGTTAGCTTGGTTGAGTTGGCTGTTCAGTAACTTTGTCCCATGCATGGGAATGGAAGCATTGGTTAGCCCGTTTGCACTGCCATGCAGTGATGGGAGGGAAGAGGTCCTTCTCTCCTTGCTCAGGTTGGTTGGAGTAGGTGGGTCAGAGTCATGAGTGAGGGAAATGGTCCTATCAACATGATTTACAGAATGGAAAAAGTTTACCTTGCTCACAAATGGCCCTTTCTTGTTTCATGAGATTTCATGAGACCCTAACACTACTTGTTCCTCCATTCTTGGAAATTGACATGAAAACACAAATGCCCTGAGGGAGGAATAAGATATGAAAACAATGTGACCTAGTCACACCCCAGTCAAGTGCATCTGTAAATAGCCCTCCAGGAGCCTACCAGGGGCCAAGTAAATGGGGCAAAAGGAGGAAGATTTTAATGGGCAAAAGAGAGGCAGGAAAGTGCAGAGGGTGTGAGAGTCTACCTGAATAAGGTGCTGATGTGGTGGTCACCAGAGCCTTGGGACCTGGGCAAGAGAAGAGTCACTAGAAGGGAGCTTAGGGCCAGAGATTACGCTGATTTATTTTATAATTCTGCATAGGACTGAACCTTCTTCTGCTAGAAATATAAGTTTCACATATATTGCACTGACCTCCTTTCCTAACCAGATCCTGAAAGAAGCCTTCTATTTGGGCTAAGAGGTGAAAATAAGGAGGACAAAGGGGCAAAGAAGGGCCAGTTATTTAAGGTAGTCAGAGAGAGAACATATGAAACACTTCAGCTAAAAATTGGCCAGAATGAAGCAGCAGTTAACTCATTCTGTAGGAAATTAGACCAGAAGGTGGACCCATCCTTCCAACTCATGTCAACTGCAGGACCATGCCAGCTCCAGAGCTCCACATGGGAACTCTCTTAACTTCCCCATCTGCCCAAGCCAGCTTCCATCCTTTCTCTTTTACAGCTGTTGATGTTAAAAGCACTCTGTAAGGAACATCCTGCATGCTAATCTCTGTCTCAGAGTCTGCTTCCCCAGGAACCCGACCTGCAACAATTTATAAGGCACAGTTCCTGTGCCGGGCACTGATACTCACAGGGCATGGTGATATTTTATTTCCAGGGGCTGTATTTCTGGGGCTCTGTGTTCACTCTCAGCCCTGTCTCATGTCAACACCCTCAACCTGATGTTCCAAAATGTTGGCTCAGCAGATAGGTACTCTAAACAAAATAAGGTACACAATAATCCTTCCAAGCAAAGGTTTAAATCCCAGTGAGTGTAAAAATAATTAGAGATACAAATCTATGGATGTGGAGCAGTTCTTTCCCACCCTGACCCATCACTTGTCTTGGCCAAGGGCACAGGCCTTTATCCTGAGCACGAAGCAACATCGCACACCACAACACCCACTCCTGGTTCCTGGCCATCTCTGAGAGAAAACTCACTGTTCTCCTTTTTGTTCAGAAAGGATCAGAAAGGTGACACTCCACAGAGGAAAAGCTGGGGCTTTTAAGTCCACCTTCTGGTCTAATTTCCTACAGAGTGACTTTTAACTGCTGCTTCTTTCTGTCCAATTTTAGCTGAAATGTTTCATGTGTTCTCTCTCTGACTACCCTAAATAGCTGGCCCTTCTTTGACCTTTTGTCCTCCTTATTTTCACCTCTTAGCCCAAATAGAAGACTCCTTTCAAGATATGGTTAGGAAAGGAGATTAGTTCAATGTTTGTGAAATTTCCATTTCCAGCAGCAGCAGGCCCAGTCCTATGCAGAATTATAAAACAAATCAGTGTAATTCCTGGCACCGTGCTTCCTTCTAGTGACTCTTTTCTTGCACGGGTCCCAAGGCTCCAGTGACCACCACATCAGCCTCTTATTCAGGCAGCCCCTGCACCTTTTATATCCCCACTATGATTGGGTTCAGGATGGTCCTGTAAAGAGGCACAACCTTGGGTAAGGCAGATATCTCTGGCCAAGGCAGTCCCCAAAGAGAGAAACAGCTGAGAGCTGTCTTTCAGGAGCACTCCCAACAGCTGGAGAAATAAATCCATAAAATCTGACACAATATGTGGTATAATACATAGAGTCAGTGCTAACTTGCATGTTTTGACCAGATGTTAAACTGGTTTCTTACAAAATGAAAAAACACCCCCTCACCCCAACCCCTATCTCAGTTAATCTTGCAACATCACTCTGCACTTAACCTAGGCAGGAAAGGGTGGGTGGAGAAGATTTATGAAAAACTACTGCCTGGATGGTGTTCAAATAAGTGGAAATATATCTGGGTACATAGATTCAATTATATTCTTACAAAGGAATAGTTTCGGTCAAGTGGTTCTCAACTAGGGGTGATTTTGCTCTCTAAAGGACATTTAGCAATGTCTGAAGACATATTTGGTTATCATGATTGGGAGCAGGGGGCAGTGCTACTGGCATGTAGTGGGTAGAGGCCACGGACGCTGTTAGACACCCTGCAATACACAGTACAGCCCCCATAACAAGGAATTATTCAGCCAAAATGTCAGAAATGCTGAGCTTGAGAAACCCTGTCTTGGCCCATGGAGTGAAAATGCGGGTGCTGGATGCACTCTCTCTTCCTTCCCTTGTTATGTTCCTCCCCTGGCCCCTACTACATGTATTGTGCTGTGCAGCTATCTCTCTTTTTGGGCCTAACTTCCATCTTGATTCAAACGTTGTTGAATACTTGTCTTATTTCCTTAATAGACTATGAGTGCCTGCAAGGCTGGAATAGTTCTTACATATTCGGTATCCCTCATTAAAACTTAGCACGTGGTAGGTATATATGTGCGTGCATGCACACACACACACACTCCATATATCTAGTTGAGTTGTACTGCAGTAAAATACAATGGACAGCATTGGTACAGAAGCTGATATCCTTCTACCAGATCAAACTGGTGTTCTTCACAAAGTATCAAATGCTTGTTAGAGGTGTTAAGAGTTTGGGTCTTGTGTGTCAGGTAAGCTGGACAGAGGATGGTGGAGTATTTACAGTGTGCACTGCAGACTATGGCTAATCATGGGCCTTGGTTCCATTTATATGATAGGGTCATTCAGAATACAGGGGAAGAAAGGCCTAAAGATGATGTGAGGTTGTTCTTTTTCAGGGTCTCCAAGGTAGAGACTAGCTAAGAGGGCCTCTGAAGCTGAGGTCAGGAAGAGACACCCAAACAAGAGAGGGTTGTCTTGTATTTATGTCTTCTTCCTTTAATTACCCCAATGATCTGAGCCCATTCATCTTCCCTATTTTCCCCTACCCAGACCAGGGGCTGGATAGTTCTGTTCCTTATTCCTTGGTCTCTAGGAGTTGAGGCAGCCTATAAGCTTATAGAAGGGACCATATTCAGGGCTGTAGTCTTCTGCTGGGAAAGAAGAAATATAACAGCCTCTTCTTCTTTCCTTTACTTTTCTTTGCCTGGGAGGAGAAGGCAGAATTACTAAGCAATTTTCAAAGGTTGCCTTAGACTGAGTCTGAATCCCTGTCCCCCCTGAAAATAACCCTGTGTTCACAGACTCAATAGTGAACAGTTTGTCATTTTAATCTGCAAGTTTGTTAGACCACCAAGTACAATCAGCTCAGTGTATTAAAAGTTCCCAGGAACAAAATTACTTCAGTGTAGAGTATATATTGCTGTTCATAGAGCAATTTATTTTTCTATAGGTATAGTATATACCTGCAGTATTTCTTGTGAAAAAATACCTGTAGTATTTCTTGCTAGTGGTGGAGCAATAGAATCTAGAATATACTGGCTCTTGTCTCATAGGAATCTATTATAAGTAGGATTGTAAAGTTCCTTCCTCTCTAGTACCTGAAAACCTGTTTTTTTTGGCATTGAGCCCTGAAGGAGACATCACAGGTGATGTTTTGCCCATACCAATAAAGCACTCCCCCTGTCCTATGAAAGGGTATGTCATTTACATAACACATTCAGCCCTATTGACACTGTTGTAATCTATCATTCAGTTAGGTATTTAGGATATGTCCTTCTTTAGACATAATAAAATCATTATAATAACCCATGGGAGAAATGCATTCTCCTTGGGCATACATTTGTTTTTAAATGGGAACATCTCCAACTGTTATTATTTTTGTGTGAAAATACCATAAGTGATTGGTCTAAGTTATGAATCAGTTACCTGCCAAATTAAATTCTTAAAATCACCATCATTACTGGGTTATGCTAATGCGAAAGAGAAGCAAGAAAATCTATAAAAAATTAGAATATTCTTACATATCTAACAAGTAGAGAGAGGCTGATGTCTTCCCAAGTGCATTATCCCTCCCAAACACCCACTCCTTTACCATCCTGCCCAACTGGTGCTCCAGTGTCTGCAATGCACACACACACAACCCTAAAGACAACCTAGCAACTAAGTCAAACTAGTCACATTTGGAATAAAGACTTGATAATCTCATTATCAGTATCAGTGATTCCAACTGGTTCACAATGGCTTTGGATGTCTGATCTCAAATCTGAGCTTTTGTCTTATACTTGGAGTGATACACAAAATTTTAAAGTAATTTTTCTAGGCAAGTTGGAGGTGAAAAATGTTTTATTAAGGAGAACCTTCAGAAGACAGACATAAGTGCAATTCATTATTTAGAGGCAAAATCTAACTCTGAGTACATAGTTTATCAGGCAGTTATGCAGAAAATGAAAGGAGAAAAATGATTCCTACAAAATCACCAACTGGAACAACGGGAAAATATAGATTTAGAGAATCAAGGATTTTATGAAATTATAGCAAAAAAGTATAGTTTGGAGTCAGAAAAACCCAAGTTAGGTATTTAATTTTTGGGTCTCAGCTGTAATATAAAGTAGGTGTAAAATCATACATATCTTATGGGTTAAAATGGAAGTCAAGGAGATAATGTGAAAGCATTTATAAACTCTAGAGGCATATCAATTATTATTTATCATCAGCATCATTACACTTTTTTAATACTTTTAATTAATCTGATTTTTATTAGAGCAGGATGCCAAGTTTTAGCCTCTAGAAAATAGCAATTGTATTTTTTGAAAGATGGAACAAATTCTTCAATTTATCTGATTCATCATTAGGAATTTGTGAATTTCTTTTCTGAAGTATTTTCCACAATTGTAATAAGAGGGATTGTCATGAAATAATTTGTCTGGGGAAAGACATTTTATCTAATTTTTCAATTATCACCCATTTCTCTGAAGAAGAGCCCTGTCTCTGAGAAAATGGGGGCACAGGGGCAGCCTAATTTGATAAAGAAAATGAGGTAGTGGCAGCATAAAGTTGCTTCATCATAGGTCATGTGATTGGAGGATCTGTGGTGTTGGGGAGCAAGAAAGGGTCCTGCTGTATTAGTCCCTTCTCACACTGCTATAAAGATACTACCTGAGACTGGGTAATTTATGAACAAAAGAGGTTTAATTGATTCACAGTTCCACATGGGTGGAGAGGCCTCAGGAAACTTACAATCATGGTGGAAGGCAAAGGCGCAGCAAGGCACATCTTACATAGTGGCAGGAGAGAGAGAGAGAGGGGAAGCAGCAGACCCCTATCAAACAGCCAGCTCTTGTGAGAACTCACTCCAGAACATCATGGAGGAAACCGCCCCTGTGATCCAATCACCTCCCACCAGATCCCTCCCTCCACATGTGGGGATTACAATTCGAGATGAGATTTGGGTGGGGACCACAGAGCCAAACCATATTGTTCCATCCTGGCCCCTCCCAAATCTCATGTCCTTCTCACATTTCAAAATGCAATCATGCCTTCCCAACAGCTCCCCAAAGTCTCGACTCATTCCAGCATTAACACAAAAGTCCAAGTCCAAAGTCTCATTTCAGACAAGGCAAGTTCCTTCTGCCTATGAGTCTGTAAAATCAAAAACAAGTTAGTTACTTCCAAGATACAATGGGGGTACAGGCATTGGGTAAATGTTCCCATTCCAAATGGGAGAAACAGGCCAAAACAAAGGGGCCACAGACCCCATGCAAGTCCAAAACCCAGTGGGGCAGTCGTTAAATATTAAAGCTCTGAAATGATCTCCTTTGACTCCATGACTTACATCCAGGGCACGATGATGCAAGGGGTGGGCTTCCATGGTCTTGGGCACCTGGCAACTAGGGTGTAAGACAACATATATAAAAAGAAAAGAGTTTCAAACCCACTTCATGACATCAAAGGCCAGTTCTGTTTGTGAAAGACTCATACATCTCCAGTATTTCCTACCCAGAAATTTGTAGATGAATATTGGTTTTATAATTTCTGCAGCTTTCCATTAATAAAAGGTCATTCCTTTTTGTTCTTTTCTTCTTTGGCCAAAGAGGGAGAGACTGTAAAACACTGACACTGACTAGGCTGCAGGCAGCATTCTGATTCTTGGTTTACCAGGGGTTCTGATCTTGGAGAAGCCAAGGTGACATCTTAGGCAGACAACAGATAATACACTAAGAGAAGAGAACTTAGAAGCCTCATGTTGCATGTTGGGTTGACAGATGGGGTTTGGGATGGGAGGGAATAGTTCTTCAGTGCAATCAGCAAAGGTGCCCAGGGCATGAGCTTGGGAGAATCTGACAGAAATGAACAACTGTGTTTCGATCAACCATCTGGAAGCATGGCCTAATGTCAAGCCAGGGCCAGGTGGAGGATGCGGGCCAGTGATCTGCAGCTGGACTTAGAGAAGAGCGACTGGATTCCCATGGAATGGCAGCAGTGGGGGATGCTAGAGTAAG
The DNA here is from genome assembly GCF_000001405.40 of Homo sapiens. Taxonomy (NCBI): domain Eukaryota; kingdom Metazoa; phylum Chordata; class Mammalia; order Primates; family Hominidae; genus Homo; species Homo sapiens. The sequence goes on from NC_000011.10 coordinate 109,382,883, forward strand.
CCCTCAGTTTGGTAACAGCCTAGGCAGCAGCTTGATGTGCAGCCTCTGTCCTGGGTAAGATGGCCTCACTGCCCAGGTCTCCTCTTGGTGCCTCCATCTGTCTCTCAGCTCTGCCTTGCCTTGGGCAACTATTCCGTCCTGGTTCTTTTCTGCCTGGCTACTGGGTCTCTAATGCAGTACTTTTCCCTGCTCCTCAGTTTGCTTGTATGCCTATATCCCTGATAAAAGTGTATGAATTATTCAACTAGTCTTTTCCTGCCTTCCCACCCACTTTATCCCCTTCTAGAGCTGCTAGTAATCCCAGAACGAATGGGGTCCTAGTAGGGGAAGACATATCCCAAGGGCATCATCATCTTATTATTATTAGGCAAGAATGCAAATATATACAACAGGTAAACCAGCTTTATTTCTGCAAGATGACACTGAATTCAGCTAGGCAGCTCCTCAATTTGGCTAGAGTTGAGGGGGAGCATGAGTTGGAAATAAATCAAACCAGTTGGCTTAGATTGACTGGTCATTTCAGCCCAAATGCTTGATCACTTTGCACTGAGTAGACAGGTTTAGAGAGCTTCCAAAACACAGTTCCCATAGCAACTATACAAAGAAGAAATGGCAATAAGAAGCAGTGCATGTGGAATTTATTTTATCTTTTCTTGCCTGACTTCCTTTTGTCCCATCTCATATTCCCTTAGGCGCTGGCCATCTGGGTATGTTCTTTTTTTCTTAGCAGTTTTCCCCAGGAAAGAACTGTGTTTAAAATGCCCTTTCTTACCTACCTCTGACTGACAGAATGAGATTGTCATTTGCAATTGTGAACTGGAGCCTTTTGTGTCTCTAATGAAATCCTGACTCAAACTGTCCCTGTCCTTCTTGCTTGAACTTCACTGGTTACATTTGCTATAGGATTAGGGAGTTCATTGCAAAAGGGATTAAGATTTTTGCTCTGGGACCTGTTTTGGTGATTTCTTTCTGTAAGGGAACACATCATTTGGCACATAGCAGCTCCTGTAGCTCTGAAAACCTCAAAAATCGAGCCTTGAAGTCTCATTCCACTACTTCCTGCCACCCTTCTTATCACTAACAAGTAGATGATTCAGAACAGTCTATGTTTTGGCAATTTACAGACTGATGTTTAATTCAGCCTCCTTTATTGATCTCTATCTTGATTCAAATGTCCATCTTCTGAACCTTGAAAAATATCTTCATTAGAATTATACTGAGCTTCCTTTTTAAAATAAACACATAACACAACAGAACAGGATGTCTCACCCAAAATTCATTTCATTATGTCTAAAACAATTTATTTCTTCTCATTTTTGAAATCTCTTTCCCTAAGAATTCCCTCTGTTTTCTGTTTCTAATACATGTGTAAAGAGGTTTGCTTGAAGTTGCTTGTTTATCCCCAAATCACAAAAGCAGTTGCAGACTTTCTTAACCATTTCTCTGAGGTTACATGTCAGATTTCCTTAGATTTATATTCAAAGTCTTCTAGAGGTTTATCCCAACTTACCTTTGCAGTTTATACCAAAACAAAAAAGATGTAAAAATCTTTGGCTTCTGTCAAAATGGTCTGTTCACTGGGCCCCCAAGGCACCTTGCCATTTCCAGCTACCTACCTAGCTTTGCTCATGCCATTCCTTTTACCTGGGATAACATCTGTCTTCTTTTAAGCAATTAAAAATTTTCTTTCCCACTCTCTACTTCAATTTCTATCTCTTTTTAAAGCCAATTTTGATCATAAACACACACACTTATTATTACATGCTCCTTGTTTTGGTGTTGGTATTGGCGTGTAATTGCTGTATGAGAAACTGCTGAAAGATCAGTGGCTTAAACAAGCATTCTTAAGCTTAAGCGTCCACAGTTCAATAGTGATTGATTCAACTGATTTAGGATGGGCTCATCTGGGCAGCTCTGCTGCATGCTAAGAGTTAACTGAGATTGGCTCCAGATGAGAAGTTGGGCTCAAATCTGCCCCATGCATGTTTATTTGGGGGCCCAGGTTAAAGGGGCAGTGATTACCTGGGGTATCTTCTCTTGGCAGACCACTGAGTGTGAAAAAAACCAAGCCAAACACACAAATACTCTTAAGGCTTCTGCTCAAATCACATTCACTTTAAGACCAGAGCAAGTTATGTGGCCAAGCCCGAGATCAGCTGGGCATAGAAGTCTACTCTTCCCACAGTGGGAGGAGAAGAATATTTGCTGACCAAGAATGCAAACTCTCATGGAATTCTTCATGTATTGCAATATCCCATTCCCATGTAGATATGCTGCATCCACCTGAATGGATAAGCTTCTGCTTGAAAAGTAGAACTATACTTTATCATTGTGCTCTCCACCCCTAGCACTTATGCCAATGACAGACAGATAGCTGGACCCAAATTAATATTGGTTTATCTGTTATTTTCACAGCATATTTTGGAGCAGTTTTAAGTTCACAGCAAAATTGCGAGGAAAGTACCGAGATTCCCCATAGTCTGTGCCCCCACATTTGTAGCTCCTCCCATTATCAACATCCCCCACCACAGTGGTACGTTTCTTATAACTGCTGGACCTACATTGACACATCATTATAATCCAAACACATAGTTTACATTAGGATTCACACTTAGTGTCGTACATTCTATGGGTTTTTTGACAAATGTTTAATGACATGTATCCACCGTTGTAGTATCAGAGTATTTTCACCACCCTAAATTCCCTGTGCTCTGCCTGTTCATCCTTCTTTATCCATTAGCCACTGGCAACCACTGATCTTTTCATTGCTCTGTAGTTTTGTCTTTTCTGGAATGTCATATAGTTGGAACTATACAGTATATAACCTTTTCAGATCGGCTTCTTTCACTTCGTAATATGCATTTAAGATTCCCTTCATGTCTTTTCATGGCTTGATAGCTCACTCCTTTATAGCACTGAATAATATTCCATTGTCTGGATGTACCACAGTTTATCCATTCACCTGCTGAAGGACATCTCAGTTTCTTCCAAGTTTTAGCAATTATAAATAAAGCTGCTATAAACATTTGTGTGCAGGCTTTTGCATAGACATAAGCCTTCACTTCTTTTGGGTAAATACCAAGGAGCACAATTTCTGGATTGTATGGTAAGAGTATGTTTACTTTTATAAGAAACTGCCAAACTGCCCTCCAAAGTGGCTGTACCATTTTGCATCCCTGACGGCAATGAATGAGATTTCATTGCTCCACATTCTCACCAGCATTTAGTGTTTTCAGTATTCTGGATTTTGGCCATTCTAATAAGTGTAAGGTAATATTTCACTGTTGTTTTGATTTGCATTTCCTTGATAACATGATGTGGAGCATCTTTTCACGTTTGTCACTTGCGGCGTATTATTTTCACCCTTACTATATACCAACAGATAACCCAGCATTAGGTTCCAAGGATGGTCTGGATGAGAGTAGTTCCAAGGGATGCCATCAGTTTGGAGTAAACAATGACTATTTCCACATTCCCAGCCATTTTAAGGCCTATGTAGTGGCACCACTAGGTAGCTGTGGTTAATGAAGATGGACAGGTAAAGGTATCTTTATTTAAATTGTACACTACTGGGTCAGTTTGGAAAACAGAAACACTGAAAGATGGGACCCTGCTCAGAAGTATCTCTAGGAGCCATTCTAGTCTACTCAGGGGCAAAACATCGGTTGTCCATTTTTATTTTTGTAGAAGTAATGACAGCATATTTGATAATAGGCTCCATCTACTTTTGGCAACAACAGCTCTCTTTTTCTTTTTCACTCTGCCTACTCTGTGACATAGATTCCAAGTATCTCTTTGAGAGAATTCTCGAGTGGCTTAATGCAAACTTGCAGTGCCTTTGATGGGCTCTGGCACATGCAGGGCTTCCTTTTGCAGCTGGATTGCTACTCAACATGTGAAAAAAATCCTTCCCAGGACTTTTTTTTTCACAATGAGAATAAAGCAGGGCTGCAGGGGAATTCGCAGCTGAGAAGTATTATAAAAGAGCATGAGCCGGGCCTGGTGGCTCATGCTGTAATCCCAGCACTTTGGGAGGCTGAGGTGGGCAGATCATTTGAGGTCAGGAGTTTGAGACCAGCCTGGCCAATGCAGTAAAATCTCTACTAAAAATATAAAAATTAGCCAGGCATGGTGGTGCAAACCTGTAATCCCAGCTACTTTGGAGGCTGAGGCATGAGAATTGCTTGAGCCCAGGAGGCAGAGGTTGCAGTGAGCTGAGATGGTGCCACTACACTCCAGCCTGGGCAACAGAGCAAGACTCTGTCTCAAAAAAAATAAATAAATAAAAACAAAACAAACAAAAAACATGAGCTTGAAAGTAAGACAGATCTGAGTTTGAATCATAACTCTGCCACTTTCTGACTTTCTGTCCCTGTAACATTGGAAAAATTACTTAACCACTCAGAAATTCAACTCCCTTATCTGAGAACTTGGGATGTTATCTTCAGTAATTAATTCAAAAATCAATAAATATTTATTGATTGTTTACAATACTTGGAAGGGTAGCTGCAAGTACAAGTGAAACAGTGCATATTTTTATGTAAAATATGCTTCATTGATATGAGGTGCTTATATTGCACATCATTTCTCTTATTCCTGACTTCTATTTTTCATTTTTCTGTGTAATCTGAATTTTTGTTTCTTTATTTTTAAATACTTTCAACTTTTAGATTCAGGGAGTACATGTGCAGGTTTGTTACGTGATATATTGCATGATGCTGAGGTTTGGGGTATAACTGATCTTATCACCCAGGTAGTGAGCATAGTACTCGATAGTTTTTCAACACTAGGCCCCCTCCCTCCTTCCCTCCTTTAGTAGTTCCCATGAGCTTGTGTTTTCTTCACTATCCTGCTGTTCTTCTCTGACCAGTTTCTCCATACATTATGATCCTTAATTTCATTGAACATTAAATGAAAATGGCTACTTAACTAGTTAAAATCAGTTCATAGGTATTTATGTGGTGTGTATGTACTGCCCCGAGGCAGTATATACTATAAAGTACATACTAAAAAGTAATACTATAAATCACTATTTCTTTGTGCAATAGGCTAAGAAAGTGCACATTTTTGGAATTTTTTATTTTAGAGAAGAGCAAGCCAAACCTCTCTCCAATTAAGCCATTTTCAGCTAGGGACAATTTTGCTTTCTGCAGCAGACATTTGACAATATCTAGAGACATTTTTTTTATTGTTACCACTTGTTGAAGTGAACGCTATTGGCACCTTACGGGGTGCTACTTCTAGCGGGAAGAGTCTGGGATGCTGCTGCACATCTTACATTGCTCAGGACTGCTCCCTGTCCCACAGTAAAGCATTATATGGCCCAGAATGTCAAGAGTGCCACTATTGAGAAATCCTACAGTCCAACTAGGGAAAAGGGGAGAAGGGGATTCTCTAAGTGAAGAGTGGATTTTGTCAAAAATCTCACTCTTACCTTAAGAATCATGCTGAATCTGGACTTCGTATCTAGTGGTGCTGAACCATTTGGGTAATTTACATTAAGACTGTCTCTAAAAATCCACATGGTTTCAACTGATTAAATAAATGCAAGGAGAAGAGTTTCTCTCTTCTCATTCCTCGTAAATCAAGGTAAGTGACTCAGAATTCATTGGCAGAAATTACTGACAACAATCTTGTTCTCAAGCTGCTGCATAACCTAGAATTTCAAAGCACAGAAACATGGGTTGACAACCAAAACAGAGGCCCTGAGCTGTCCTACATTATACTCCTCACTCAAGCTTTCCCTATATGTTTGAGTCCTTGGCTGCTATTTGGGGAAAGGCCCATACATTATTCTGGCACTGAGGGGTTGAGGTTATTTGCAAAATTCTCCTAGCAGATTGTAAGGACAGCAGGCCTTATCTCTCCACCACCCACCTTAATTCCTCCTCTCCTTTTACCTCTTGCCGGGTAGTCTGAGAAGTCCACCTCTTGTGTTGCAGGTGGCAGCTGACAAAAATGAATTCCTGAATTCAAGTTGATCATGCAGATTTAGGCTTACTCTGTTGGAGGTTGTTTCCAATAACAGCACTTTGCTGAATTACACCAAGTGGGTAGTCAGAAAGTCAACACCAAGGGGGAAGCTAAAGTGGAAACTAGAGGGAGTAATGTTGCAGTATCTGACTGGCTGTTCACAAAATCTGTTTCCTTTTTCTCTCGACTACATTTCCTAGTCTCCTTGCAGTGAGGTGTGACCACATGGAAGGCCAGTGGAACGTGTAAGTAAATGATATTTGCCACTTCAGCCTGGACCCATAAAAACTTCCCACACATCTGCCAAATGGATGTGGAGGCTTAGGGCAATCTTGAATATGTTGAGGACAGCAGATCTCCCTCCTCCCTTAAGTAATATGATAGCCATGGTATGAGAAGCAAGACCATATCCAGAGACCTGAATAGAAGAAGGTTGGGGACGAGAGAAGTCAGCTAACAGGCAGCAGGGGAGAAGCATGTGCAAAGTGGCAGTGATGACTATGAAAAGGGGGGTTTATCTGACTTTTACTAACCAGGCATTACTTGCAGGGAAGCTCTCACCCTGGCTGCATCTCGCAGGTGCTATCCAGTTTCTGGACAATGATTTTGGACAGCCAAAGAGACATTTGATTAAACCCATGGGATTAGAGAGTAATTATGCATAAGTCACTGTGATGAAAAGCACAGCCCTCACTCTGACAGATCTGCCTGGAGAGTCAGTTGTCAGAGGTGGACAATTTCACTCTAGAACACCATTAATGTCTTTTTTCTCTCCATACATTCTGGCCAATTATTTTTCCTTCATTATGCTCCCTAGGGTAAAAAGAAAGTCTTTTTTTTCTTTTTTTTAAACAAATGTATACTGATAGCAAAAACAAACAACTGTATCCTGAACTTTCCATTACAAGCACCCTTAGGTTTTAATTAAGATCGAGTCTTTTTTTCCCACCTCAAACATGGTTTTCCTGAGCAGCACAGGTGGCCACAGAAATCACTTGGAAATGGCCTTGGAACTTGTTTAATGTCACTGCCTAATCACTTTGCTAAATGTCACTGATTCAAAGCATTAATTTTTATCTTAAGTTTCTACCCCGGTTCTCTTTCCTTCCATGTAGGACACCCTCAACATATCTGCATGGAAGAACAAAATCTTCTGCTTGATTTTATTCCTCTTTTTTTTTTTTCTAGGATTGTGAGAAGGACTCCAGGCAGGGTAGTTTCTGTTTCAATAAGGAATGTTGTAATGTATGACAAGTAAGCTTCCTTTTAATGCTGATAATTAGGGTTTTACACGTCTTTATATCTCTTCCAGATTCCTGCAAATTTGGCAAGACAGCTTTCACCTTGACCCTGTATTCCAGACCTGTTGAGATGCCCAAGGGTATAGACAGAACTCAGTTTTCTCAAAATGTTTCAAGAGCACAATTCTTAGTTCTTTCCCCCATCTTCAGCTCTTTACCTGAATTTTATTCCATACTCATTTTCTCCAGTTGGTTGATAAGCAAATAATGGTAATACATTTTAAATATATTCTAAATAAACCACATAAAAGCACAACGTAACTCACCTTTGTGGCCTAAGCATGAAGGAACAGTGCAGATGAAGGTAAATGGAAGGAGACATATGTGAGAAAAGGGCATGGGAACTGAATCTGCCCATTTTACCTCAGGAGTTAACCAGCACTGGGTTAAATACCCTTCCTCTTTCTTCACCTTGCTCTCCTTTTGAAACTGTGGTTTAACGTAATGAAACACCTTCTCTTTCTCATATTACTTTTGGTAAAATGAGTCTTTTTATTTAATAGTGTTGAATAAGAATTGCGAGCCTCAGAGAGAAGAGAAAATGAGGGCTACTTCACACAGTGGACAACAACCAGTCTTTACTCAGCAAGCATCAACACTGCCAGTCTCTGTGACTCAGCGATGGAAGAGTTCCTGCTTCTCTGAGAGCTCCTAGTCCAATAGTAGGAATGGGCATATTAATACATTATTATAGCAAGTATAAATACCTTTATACTTCATCTAGGAAGGTGAGCAAGACACCAAGGAACCAAAAAGGAAAGTGTTGTAACCCATGGAAAAACTGAAGAAGGCTTTTTAGAAGAGGAAGCACTTCTTTCACTTGATTTTTACATAACAAATAGTGCAGTTAACCCAGTGGGGGAGAATGCAAAAGAAGCTATTTGGCGGGGGCATGATGAGTTTAAATTGGTTGTAGGCTGTACAGGCCTTGTGTTCAGGATCTATAATAGACTATATAGAAATAGATTTGAGCACCTATGATATATAGTAGTTAGGGCCATGGAAGTAAGTTTTTCCAGGAGGAGTATACACAAAGCTAAAGAATGAGGCAGATGAATGGTGGGAGAAATCTGGCATATAGGATGTCCCCAGTAAACATTTGTTGCATAAGTGAATGAATGAATGAACAAACCTGGGAAGTGTGTTGAAAAGGAGTAACCCAAAGATAGCCAGAAAAGCAGCAGAGAATAAAATAAAGACAGATTTCAAGAAGGATGATTGTGGCCGGGAGCAGTGGTCACGCCTGTAATCCCAGCACTTTGGGAGGCCGAGGCGGGTGGATCACGAGGTCAGGAGATCGAGACCATCCTGGCTAACACGGTGAAACCCCACCTCTACTAAAAATACAAAAAATTAGCTGGGCGTGGTGGCGGGCGCCTGTAGTCCCAGCTACTGGGGAGGCTGAGGCAGGAGAATGGCGTGAACCTGGGAGGCGGAACTTGCAGTGAGCCCAGATCGCGCCACTGCACTCCAGCCTGGGTGACAGCGAGACTCCGTCTCAAAAAAAAAAAAAAAAAAAAAGAAGGATGATTGTAAATAGCATTAAAAACTGAAGAGAGACCAAATAAGATGAACATATTGTTCAACTGGACTGAAATGTGTGTATTACATTCACCTATCAGAGGACTATTAACAATCTACATTTTATATTATGGAAAACCTTAGGTGCATTTTTAGTTCTATAAAATCCTGGAGATTCTGACCAATGCAATAAGATAAGAAATCAGAAGCATAAACACTGGAAAGGCAGAGAAAACATTACATTATTTGTAGATGATTTCAATAGAAACCTAGGAAATCAGCAAAATATTAGACTAATAAAAGATTTTAGCAAAGTTCCTGGCAAGATTAACAGTAGCATTTTCTATACCAATTAACAATAACCAACTAAAAATGTAATATAAAATAGATACCAATTAAAATTGAGGAAAATCTATAAAAATACCTAGTAATAAATTATCCACAAAACTCATGGGAATTTAAAAAATATTATGGTGAAAATGAAGAAGCCTTTTTTGAGGGAGTATGATAAACTTATTCTAAAGTTTATATGGAGAAATAAAGTCCCTGTATACTAAAGAAATGTTTTGATAAAGCAAGAAGATCAAGAAGGGTAGACTTGGCCTACCAAATACTAAGAAATATTACAAAATCATAATAACTAAACCAGCAAGTTACTGGTGAAGCTGCAAATACATAGACCAATAGAACATAGTAGAGGCCAGAAACAGGTACAATTTGTAGAAGAATTTTCTATAAGGTAGAGGTGATGTTACAAATCAGTGGAAAAAGGCAATTACAGAAGGGGAAATTAAAATGACTCCTAAGTGTATGAAGAGGTGCTCCATCTAACTGGTAATCAGAAACTGAAACTGGGTGTAGTGGCTCAGGCCTGTAATCCCAACACTTTTGAGAATCTGAGGTGTGACAATTGCTTGAGCCCAGGAGTTTGAGACCAGCCTAGGCAGCATAGGGAGACCCCCGTCTCTACAAATAAAAATAAATATACCTGGTAATCAGAGAAATGTAAATTAAAGCAACAGTGAACTAAAGAGAAAGCATATCACTACAAAAAAAAAATCAATGAAACTCAAAGGAATACAGCAGGAAATGAAGAGAGGAACCAAAGAACTACAAAACAGAGAGAAAACAATGAACAAAATAGCTACAGTAAGTCCTTCCCTGTCAATAATTACTTTAAACATAGAGGGATTAAACTCCCTAATCCAAAGACAGAGCATAGTACAAAAACAAAAATGAGACCCAACTCCTTGCTGTCTGTAAGAAATTCACTTTAAATTTAAGGACAGTCTGAAAGTGAAAGGATGAAAAAAGATATTCTGTGCAAATGATAACCAAAAGAGAACAGGGGTAGCTATACTTACAGCAGGAAAAATTTAAGTGATTTATAGATTCAGTGCTACCCCCATAAAAATCCCAATGACATTTTTAAATCAAAAACTGTTACAAGAGGTGAAGATATATAATAATGAAAGGATAAATTCATCAGAAAGTAATGTAGTTATAAATAGGTGTATATCTATCTATCTATCTATCTATCTATCTATCTATCTATCTATCTATCTATCTAACATCAGAGCACCTAAAGATACACTGACAAACATCAAACACTGAGAGGGAGAAATGGAAAGTGGCTGGGCGAGGTGGCTCACACTTGTAATCTCAGCACTTTGGAAGGCCTAGGCGGGTGGATCACCTGAGGTCAACGAGTTTGAGACTAGCCTGGCCAACATGTTGAAACTCCATCTCTACTAAAAATACAAAAACTAGTTGGGTGTGCTGGCACATGCCTGTAATCCCAGCTACTCAGGAGGCTGAGGCAGGAGAATCACTTGAACCTGGGTGGCAGAGGTTGCAGTGAGCTGAGGTCATGCCACTGCACTCCAGCCTGGGTGAAAGAGTGAGACCCTGTCTTAAAAAAAAAAAAAAAGAAAAGAAATGGAAAGCAATACAATAATGGTAGGAGACTTCAGCATTCCTTTCAACAATGAATACATTATCCAGACAGAAAACCAATAAGGAAACATTGGACTTGTGCTATACTGTAGACCAAATGGCTGTAACAATCATATACAGAACATTCCATCTGACAGCAGCTGAACACATTATTCTCAAGTGCACACAGAACAATTTCCAGGATAGATTATATGTTAGGTCACAAAATAAATTTTAACAAACTTAAAAGATTGAAATAATACCAGGTATCTTTTCTGACCACAATGGTATGAAACTTGAAATCAATAGAAGTTGAGTATCCCTTATCTGAACTGCTTAGGACTAGAAGTGTTTCGGATTTTGGATTTTTTTGGGGTTTTGGAATATTGGCATTATATACTTACTGGTTGATCATCCCAAATCCAAAAATCTGAAATCCAAAATTCTCCAAAACAGAAACATTTTGAGCATCAACCTGATGCACAAAGAAAATGTTTATTGAATTTTGAAGCATTTTGGATTTCAGATTTTTGAATTTGGGATGCTCACCCTGTAACAGGAGGAAAGCTGAAAAATTCACAGATATGTGGAAATTAAACATGTTTCTGAAAAACCAATGGGTCAAAGAAGAAATGGAAAGGGAAATTTAAAAGTATCTGAGATTATATGGTTTGGCTCTGTGTCCCCACCCAAATATCATCTTGAATTGTACTCCCATAATTCCCACATGTTGTGGGAGGGACCCAGTGGGAGATAATTTGAATCATAGGGGCAGTTTCCCCCATACTGTTCTTGTGCTAATGAATAAGTCTCAGGAGATCTGATGGTTTTATCAAGGGTTTCTGCTTTTGCATCTTCCTCATTTTCTCTTGCCACTGCCATGTAGGAAGTGTCTATTACCTCTCCCCATGATTCTGAGGCCTCCCCAGTCACGTAGAACTGTAAGTCCAATTAAACCTCTTTTTCTTCCCAGTCTCGGGTATGTCTTTATCAGCAGTGTGAAAATGGACTAATACATGAGATAAACGAAAATGGAAACACAACACCACAGAACTTACAGGATGCAGCAAAAGCAGTTCTAAGAGGTACGTTTATAATGATAAATGCCTACATTAAAAAAAAAATTAGGTTCTAGATAAACAGCCTAATGTTACACCTCGTGAAACTAGAAAAAGAACAAACTAAGCCAGAGTTAGCAGAAGGGAAGATATAACAAAGATCAGAACAGAAATAAATAGAGACAAGAAAACAATAGAAAAGATCAATAAAATAGAGTTGATTTTAGAAAAGATAAAAATATTCAAGAAACTTTTAGCTAGACTAAGAAAAAAGTGGAGAAGACTCTAATAAATAAAATCAGAAATTAAAGAGAAGACATGACAATAGATACCACAGAAATACACAGGATCATAAGAGACTACTATGAGCAATTATACGCCAACAAGCTGTGTAGCCTAGAAAAAATAGATATATTTCTAGACACATACAACTTACTAAGACTGAATCATGACGAAATAGAAAATCTGCACACCATTAACAAATAAGGGGATTGAAGCAGTAATAATAAAAATCTCTCATAAAAGAAAAGCTCAGAACCAGATGGCTTCATTGCAGAATTCTACCAAGCGTTTAAAGAAGTAACACCAATCCCTCTCAAGATCTTCCAAAAAACTGAAGAGGAGAGAACACTTCCAAACTTATTTTATGAGGCCAGCATTACCCGGATACCAAAGCCACAGACAGACACTATAAGAAAATTATAGGCCAATACCTCTATGTCTGTAGATGCAAAAATACTCAACAAGATACTAGCAAACTGAATTCAACAGCACATTAAAAAGATCATGCACGATGATCAAGTGAGATTTATCCCTGGGAAGCAAAGATAGCTTAACATATGCAAATCAATTAATATGATATACTACATTAAGAGAATAAGGTATAAAACTCACATGATCATCTCAATAAAGGCATAAGAATTTGACAAAATTTAACATCCTTTCATGATAAAAAGTCTCAAGCTAGATGTAGAAGCATTTACCTCAGCATAATAAGTGCATATAGCAAGCCCACTGCTAATATTCTATTCGACATGGTTTTGGAAGTTCTGGCCAGAAGAATTAGGCAAGAAAAAGAAATAAAGGGCACACAAACTGAAAAGGAGAAGTAAAACTATCTCTATTTGCAGATGACATAATCTTATATGTAGAAAACCCTTGAAGCTCAACTAAAAAACTTGTTAGAATAAATAAACAAATTCAGTAAAGCTGCAAGACAGAAAATGAACATACAAAAATCAGTTATGTATTTATACACTAAGAACAAACTATATAAAAAGTAAATTAAAGACATTTACAATAGCATCAAAGAGAATGAAACACTTAGGAATGAACTTAAACCAGGAGTTGAAAGACTTGTACACTGAAAACTACAAACATTGCTGAAAAAAAGTCCTAAATAAATAAAAAGACATGTCATGTGTTCATGGATTAGAATACTTAATATTATTAAAATGTCCACACTACCCAAAATGATTTACTGATTCACTGCTATCCCCATAGAATCCCAAATACATTTTAAAAATAAAAATAGAAAAAACTATCGTAAAATTCGTGTAGTACCACCAGGATCTCAAATAGCCAAAATAATCTCAAGAAAAGGAAAGCTGAAGGCATCACACTTCCCAATCTCACGATATATTTAAAACCTATAGTAATTAAAATAGGATGGTACCAGTGTAAAAACAGACACACAGACCAACTGAACATGATAGAGAGTCCAGAAATAAACCCATGCTCAACTGATCTTCAAAAAGTTTGCCAAGAATACACAATGGGGGAAAGAAAAGTCTCTTCAACAAATGATGCTGGGAAAACTGGAAATCCACATGCAAAAGAGTAAAATTGGACTCATACTATACACCAAAACCAACTCAAAACTGACTAAAAACTTAGACATAAGACCAAAAGGTATAAAACTCCCAGCAGAAAACGCAGGGAAAAAATTTCTTGAAACTGGTTTTAGCAATAATTTCTTGGATATGACCCCAAAAGCACAAGCAACAAAAGCAAAATAGAGAAATGGGAATACATCAAATTAAAAAGCTTCTGCACAGAAAAAAAAAATCAACAGAATAAAAAGAAAATCGGCATATGGGAGAAAATGTTTACAAACCATATATATAATATCCAAAATATATAAAGAACTCCTTTTACTCAGTAACAACAAATAAATTAAAAACAAATAACCTGATTCAAAATGGGTAAATAAACTAAGTAGACATTTCTCCAAAGAAGACATAGAAATGGCCAACAGGTATGAAAAAGTGCTGAACATAACTAATCATAAGGAAAAGGCAAATCAAAACCATAATGAGATATAATCTCACACCTGTTGGGATGGCAGCTATCAAAAATACAAAATATAACAAGTGTTGGCAAATGTGTGGATAAATTGGATCTCTTGTACACTGTTGGAGGAAACGTAAAATGGTAGAGTCACTTTGAAAAACTGTGGAGTTTCATCAAAAAATTAAAAACAGAACTATCATAGGATCGAGCAATCCCACTTCTGAGTAAATATCCAAAAAATTGAAAACAGGATGTGAAAAACATATCTATACTCTCATGTTCATTGAAGCATGATTCACAATAGTCAAGATATATAAGCAACCTAAATGTCCATTGATGGATGAATAAAGTGTGGTATGTACATACAGTAGATATTATTCAGCCGTTAAAAAAGAAGAAAATCCTGTTATATGTGACAACATGAATGAACCTGGAAAATATTCTACTTAGTGAAATAAGCCAGTCATAGAAGAACAAATATTGCATGTTTCCACTTGTAAGAAGTATCTAAAATAGTCAAATTCATAGAAGCAGAGACTAGAATAGTGGTTGCCATGGGCCAGTGGAAGGGAAATGGGGGAGTTGTTCAGTGGATATAAAGTTCAGCTATGCAAAATGAATACGTTCAAGAGATCTGCTGTTAAGCATTGTAATTATAGTTAACAATAGTGTGCACTTAAAAGATTTCCGAGGATAGATCTCATGTTAAGTGCTCTTAGACACGCACAACACAAAATAAAACAACCAACCAATAAAAGATGAAAGGGTACAAGGAATCTTTTGGAAGTGATGGATATGTTTATTACCTTGATTATGGTGATGGTTTCATGGGTGTATGCATGTGTCCAAACTATCAAATTGTATACATTAAATATGTACAATTTTTGTATATGAATTATGCCACAATAAATCTATTTAAAAAATAAAAACAACAGAGAACTCGACAGTGGATCAACTATTAAAATTGAATATGCTTTTAAGTATATGGGCTAACAATTATCTGCTTGTACTGGTGGAAGGATAAATCAGGACAGTCATTTTGTTGAGCAATCAGGTGGTAGTTAGTGTAATCAAATATATGTATACCTTAGAAAGCAGTATTTTCATTCCTGAGAGTACAAACTGGACCAGTGCTTCTCAAAGTTTAGTACACATGTGAATCACTTGAGGATTCTCTTAAAATGCAGATCTCAATTGAGTAGGTCTGTCGTGTGGCCTGAGATTCTGCATTTCTAACAAATTCCAGGTGATGTCTGTACTGCTGGTTGGTGAGCAATACTTTGAAGAGCAATGCCCTAGAATAATTCTCACTGCCATGTATACGTTAGAATCAGCTGGGACCTTAATAAAAATACTGATGTACAATTCCCACCCCAGAACAACTGAGTTGGGTTTGAGATGGGGAGGGTGATGGGTGAGGTTTCCAAGCATCAGTATTTAAAAACAAAGAACTTTCCAGGTGATTCTAATATATAGCAAAGGTTGAGAATCTTTGAAATAAATTTGCTCATAGGAAGCACAATTTATATATAAATATATATATATACACACACACATACATATACACATATATACACACAATCTTTATATACACATCTATATATACATCTATGTATATATTATATATGTATATATAGATGTGTACATATAGATGTGTGTGTGTATATATATATAGATAGGTGTATATCACAGGGGTATCTTGGCAAATAAAGGTAATCAAAATGTCCATCATTCATGTATGGATAAGTAAATTTGTGGTATGTGTACAGAATAGAATACTATTAAGAAGTCTAGGGAAATAAAACATTTATATATAACAATATAGATGTATGTTAAAAACACCTGAAACAAAGAAAATTATTTTTTACATCATAGTAACATTTATGTAAACTATACATATGAACAATGCTATGTATTTTGCTATGTACTTGCATTTGATAACATATATGTATATAAAAATATCACACCGAAGCTGGGTTTTTAGGTGGGTACCTTAGGCAGATAAGAAGAGTAGAATTAGGAAGAGCACAAAGAAAGCATGCAACAAAAAATATTTTAAAGAATATTTTCATAGAATGTCAATGAAAGTTTGCCATGACTGTAGAGGATGAAAAACTCAATTCTATGCATCAGATTAAAGAAATAGAAATCACCAGCTCTTATGAATGAACTTTAAAAAAAATAATTTCCTCACGCCTGTAATCCCAGCACTTTGGGAGGCCGAGGCGGGCGGATCATGAGGTCAGGAGATCAAGACCATCCTGGCTAACACAGTGAAACTCCGTCTCCACTAAAAATACGAAAAAACAATTAGCCGGGCATGGTGGCGGGCACCTTAGTCCCAGCTACTCCGGAGGCTGAGGCAGGAGGATGGTGTGAATCCGGGAGGCAGAGCTTGCAGTGAGCCGAGATCGCGCCACTGTACTCCAGCCGGGGCGACAGAGCGAGACTCCGTCTCAAAATAACAATCGTAATAATTTCCATGAAGTTGTTGGTATGGAAATCAAAATGGTTGATTAGGGAATGTGGAATGAAGCTATTTCCTTTCATGGCTAGCATAAGAAAGTTAGCTGTAAAAGAAATTAAAGAGGTAGGGATAGCAAGAAGAGTCTAGAGGGGATACTTTTATGTGAGATTCTTGAACCCATTGCTAGATGGAGAGGAGGGAATCTGCAGAGAAGATGAAGTTGAGGCCCCTGAACTAACAGTGACTGTTTCTTGGAGATGCAGGAAGCTATGGAGATCCAGAACAATGGGTCCTAAATGCTGTTCTACAGATTAGAGATTGCTTAGTTTTATGAGATCACCTAGGGTATACACTCAATACATATCTCCCATCCCCCTTTTCTTGCATGAAATATTTTACCACCAAGAAAAAGATCTCAAGAGCTTGTGAAACTATAGATTCCTGACTCGTACCCTTGAGAATTCAGATAATTCAGATTCAGCTATATGGGCGTTGGAAATCCATATTTTTAACAGGGTTTTCAAATGAGTTTTATGTTTCTTAGATTTGGGAAGCACTTGCTTAGGACATAGGTGAAGAGAAGAGTTTTGGGCAGAAGAAAGTATGTTTCTTCTTTTGGGACAGCTAAAGAGATTTCAGGATGGATGTGGATGGAGGTAAGTTTACTGGTTTAAGCAAGATTGGCTTCTGGACATGTCATCTGATAAGACAAGTGGGGAAAATGTGTGTCTCATCTAGAAATCTGGTTTCAGAGCTTGAAGGAAATTCTTTGAAGGTAACAGTGACTGACATTGCTCCAAAAGTGCCCTGGCCTCTTGTCCCAGGAACAGGGAGTTCTTAAACCAAAAAAAATGAGGTGTGTGTAGGTTGGAGACTACATGACCCATAATGCCATAAAAGCTGGATCAGCTAGGGTCTATGCAGAGTGGCCAAGTGGACGCACTCAGGATGAAGCAGTGGTCACAAAGCCAGCTATCACTGGAGAGCAGCAAGAACTTTTCTGGAGCTATGGCAAAGAATGGAGACGGACTCAGGAACTCTGCTTCTTCACTAGATGGTCTGTGTGAGGAGAACTGTGGGAGACTGATAGGAAACCTACTCACCAGTGATGAACCCACAATTCTGTTGCCCTTTTCTGTGCTATATCTCTACTTGAATCCCATTTTTTCCCACACTTTCCCACATAATCCCATCTACCTAGCAAGCTTGAGCTCCTCCTTCAAGTACCATCTCAAGAATCATTTTCAAGAGTCATTTTCTGTGAGAACTTCCCCTGGCTTCTGGAGATCGGTGAGTTTTTCCTTTGTGTGTCCAGTGGATCATGTTTATATCTGCCATTGTTGTATACACCAAATTGCATCCTCCCCCCCGCCCACTAGCTTAGAATGTTACAAATTCTCAATAAATAACCATGAATTAATAAAGTAATAAACTGAGTGATTAGGGGAACCAAATGATTCTGTGACTATCAGCTAAGCCTTTGATTGTACATACTTAACCAGGGATGGCCTGGAAAAGAAGTGCTATAGAGGTAAGCATAGTAGTTGCATGGATAGTCTAGGGCAGTCTACACCCATTCCCCACTAATGTGCCAGGAAGTCAAGGAACATAAAAATCAACAAATACAATTCTATCCTAGGCAATTTAAAAACGATTGAAATGTTCCTAAAGCCTAGTGTGATAAGCTTTGCCGTGGGTGGAATAACTGAAGGACACTGAGTTTCAAGATAATTATGGCTCCTGTTTTCTAGATACCAATAAAACACAAACTCCTGAGTGAGAAAGGGACTTTTTTAAAGATAGAAAGCAAGAGATGTCTGATTAGCTGAGTATCATCTTTCAATAATCTCCCATTATAGAGGCAGAGTTTGCAGTGAGCCGAGATTGCAGCACTGCACTCCAGCCTGGGAGACAGAGCGAGACTCCGTCTCAAAATAATAATAATAATAATAATAATCTCCCATTATATCATCTAGCCTTATTCTGCTTGAGTATTCAGCACATCTATGTATACTTCTATTCAATTATAATTAGCTTACATGTGATATATGTGTTCATGTCCCATCACTATGATTATATATTGTATATATGGGTAATCTCCCCGGAGTATCTTGGTCATTGCATTTCACACAACAGATGTGAAATCATAGAATGGTAGGAAGCATATAACACAAAATTCTCATTTTGCCAAAGAGAAAACTGAGCCCTAGGAACGTTCTACAAACTTGCCTGTATTACACATTCATTCAAACAATGGAAGAGTCATCAAATTATTCATTCATTTGACAAATATTTCGGTGACTTAATGTGCAAAAACATAAAAAATGTTGGCTATGAAGATGAATACGACACACCCTGACATCAAGACTTTCACAGTCTTCTTGGGAACAGACACATAAACAGCAGTAAACTGCCAGTGGAGTGTATACTTTGGTTTAAATCTTTGGAGAAGTTTGACAATGTATAATTTTTTTAAAAAAATGACCTTGGCAAATGTAAAAGAACAGAAATTATAACAAATTATCTCTCAGACCATAGTGCAATCAAACTAGAACTCAGGATTAAGAATCTCACTCAAAACCGCTCAACTACATGGAAACTGAACAACCTGCTCCTGAATGACTACTGGGTACATAACAAAATGAAGGCAGAAATAAAGATGTTCTTTGAAACCAGTGAGGACAAAGACACAACATACCAGAATCTCTGGGACGCATTCAAAGCAGTGTGTAGAGGGAAATTTATAGCACTAAATGCCCACAAGAGAAAGCAGGAAAGATCCAAAATTGACACCCTAACATCACAATTAAAAGAACTAGAAAAGCAAGAGCAAACACATTCAAAAGCTAGCAGAAGGCAAGAAATAACTAAAATCAGAGCAGAACTGAAGGAAATAGAGACACAAAAAACCCTTCAAAAAATTAATGAATCCAGGAGCTGGTTTTTTGAAAGGATCAACAAAATTGATAGACCACTAGAAGACTAATAAAGAAAAAAAGAGAGAAGAATCAAATAGACGCAATAAAAAATGATAAAGGGGATATCACCACCGATCCCACAGAAATACAAACTACCATCAGAGAATACTACAAACACCTCTATGCAAATAAACTGGAAAATCTAGAAGAAATGGATAAATTCCTTGACACATACACTCTCCCAAGACTAAACCAGGAAGAAGTTGAATCTCTGAATAGACCAATAACAGGATCTGAAATTGTGGCAATAATCAATAGCTTACCAACCAAAAAGAGTCCAGGACCAGATGGATTCACAGCCGAATTCTACCAGAGGTACAAGGAGGAACTGGTACCATTCCTTCTGAAACTATTCCAATCAATAGAAAAAGAGGGAATCCTCCCTAACTCATTTTATGAGGTCAGCATCATCCTGATACCAAAGCCAGGCAGAGACACAAACAAAAAAGAGAATTTTAGACCAATATCCTTGATGAACATTGATGCAAAAATCCTCAATAAAATACTGGCAAACCGAATCCAGCAGCACATCAAAAAGCTTATCCACCATGATCAAGTGGGCTTCATCCCTGGGATGCAAGGCTGGTTCAATATACGCAAATCATTAAATGTAATCCAGCATATAAACAGAGCCAAAGACAAAAACCACATGATTATCTCAATAGATGCAGAAAAGGCGTTTGACAAAATTCAACAACACTTCATGCTAAAAACTCTCAATAAATTAGGTATTGATGGGACATATTTCAAAATAATAAGAGCTATCTATGACAAACCCACAGCCAATATCATACTGAATGGGCAAAAACTGGAAGCATTCCCTTTGAAAACTGGCACAATACAGGGATGCCCTCTCTCACCACTCCTATTCAACATAGTGTTGGAAGTTCTGGCCAGGGCAATCAGGCAGGAGAAGGAAATAAAGGGCATTCAATTAGGAAAAGAGGAAGTCACATTGTCCCTGTTTGCAGATGACATGATTGTATATCTAGAAAACCCCACTGTCTCAGCCCCAAATCTCCTTAAGCTGATAAGCAACTTCAGCAAAGTCTCAGGATACAAAATCAATGTGCAAAAATCACAAGCATTCCTATACACCAACAACAGACAAACAGAGAGCCAAATCATGAGTGAACTCCCATTCACAATTGCTCCAAGGGGAATAAAATACCTGGGAATCCAACTTACAAGGGATGTGAGGGACCTCTTCAAGGAGAACTACAAACCACTGCTCAATGAAATAAAAGAAGATACAAACAAATGGAAGAACATTCCATGCTCATGGGTAGGAAGAATCAATATCATGAAAATGGCCATACTGCCAAAGGTAATTTACAGATTCAATGCCATCCCCATCAAGCTACCAATGACTTTCTTCACAGAATTGGAAAAAACTACTTTAAAGTTCATATGGAACCAAAAAAGAGCCCACATTGCCAAGTCAATCCTAAGCCAAAAGAACAAAGCTGGAGGCATCACGCTACCTGACTTCAAACTATACTACAAGGCTACAGTAACCAAAACAGCATGGTACTGGTACCAAAACAGAGATATAGATCAATGGAACAGAACAGAGCCCTCAGAAATAATGCTGCATATCTACAACTATCTGATCTTTGACAAACCTGAGAAAAACAAGCAATGGGGAAAGGATTCCCTATTTAATAAATGGTGCTGGGAAAACTGGCTAGCCATATGTAGAAAGCTGAAACTGGATCCCTTCCTTACACCTTATAAAAAAATTAATTCAAGATGGATTAAAGACTTACATGTTAGACCTAAAACCATAAAAACCCTAGAAGAAAACCTAGGCATTACCATTCAGGACATAGGCATGGGCAAGGACTTCATGTCTAAAACACCAAAAGCGATGGCAACAAAAGACAAAATTGACAAATGGGATCTAATTAACTAAAGAGCTTCTGCACAGCAAAAGAAACTACCATCAGAGTGAACAGGCAACCTACAAAGTGGGAGAAAATTTTTGCAATCTACTCATCTGACAAAGGGCTAATATCCAGAATCTACAATGAACTCAAACAAATTTACAAGAAAAGAACAAACAATGCCATCAAAAAGTGGGCGAAGGACATGAACAGACACTTCTCAAAAGAAGACATTTATGCAGCCAAAAAACACATGAAAAAATGCTCACCATCACTGGCCATCAGAGAAATGCAAATCAAAACCACAATGAGATACCATCTCACACCAGTTAGAATGGCGATCATTAAAAAGTCAGGAAACAACAGGTGCTGGAGAGGATGTGGAGAAATAGGAACACTTTTACACTGTTGGTGGGACTGTAAACTAGTTCAACCATTGTGGAAGTCAGTGTGGAGATTCCTCAGGGATCTAGAACTAGAAATACCATTTGACCCAGCCATCCCATTACTGGGTATATACCCAAAGGACTATAAATCATGCTGCTATAAAGACACATGCACACGTATGTTTATTGCGGCATTATTCACAATAGCAAAGACTTGGAACCAACCCAAATGTCCAACAATGATAGACTGGATTAAGAAAATGTGGCACATATACACCATGGAATACTATGCAGCCATAAAAAATGATGAGTTCATGTCCTTTGTAGGGACATGGATGAAATTGGAAATCATCATTCTCAGTAAACTATCGCAAGAACAAAAAACCAAACACCGCATATTCTCACTCAGGTGGGAATTGAACAATGAGATCACATGGACACAGGAAGGGGAATATCACACTCTGGGGACTGTGGTGGGGTGGGGGGAGTGGGGAGGGATAGCATTGGGAGATATACCTAATGCTAGATGACGAGTTAGTGGGTGCAGCACACCAGCATGGCACATGTATACATATGTAACTAACCTGCACAATGTGCACATGTACCCTAAAACTTAAAGTATAATAATAAAAATAAATAAATTAATTAATTTTAAAAAATGACCTTGGTTCTTCAAATCCACTCCCAAGAATTAATCTAGTGGAACTAAATGGATGTAAGCAAAGATTTAGCTATAAACTATTCTTTTTTCTTTTTAAAGAAGAATATTGCTTTATTTCAGAATACACTAATTTATGATACATGAAATCCTTTGTAATCATTAAAATGTGCACTGAGGGAGAATATTAACATGAAAAGATGATCATAACAGTTTGTTGAAAAGGTAAGAAGGTAGATAACATTGCAGTTTATATATTATGAACCCACTTATGAAAAGTGTATCTTTATTTATGTCTAGAAAGAAGACTCTCAAAAATATTAACGGTAGTCATCCCAAAATGGTAAATTACAGATACTGTTCTTTTTTTCCCCTTTTGGCTGTATTTCCTAAATGTTTTACAATGAATTCACATTTGCTTTAAAAGAAAAAAATTCTTTCTTATGAAAATAAACTGTGTCTGGATATCAAAACAGCATAGAGTTCCTGAATATCTGGGTCTACCCATGTAGGGGCAGAAGGCTAGAAGGGTTGAGTCAGTACAGACTGACTCATCAATGACCCATTGAATATGAGCAGTTCTCATTTTCTACTGAATTGTCCAAATTGAGCAGGATATGTAAATACTTTTTTGAAAAATTTTATGGATGAGAACTTAGAACAATTTTTTTTCTATAAATCTTGGTAAAGAAGAAACTAGAAACAAGTAAACAGATCAAAGTCAAAGCTGCTTTCAAAAAATGTTCCGAGCATGTGAGAGCACTGTCCTGCTCATTCTCTTGTGTGAAAGTTATTGACAATCCTTCTGGTGAGTCCCATGTCCCTGCCAGCCTCTGAGTAGCATCACTAAATATCTCATGTTCAGAACTGGTTGTGTGTTTTGATGGGTTTTATTCTTTGAAAATAGGTAATTTAGGCATACATGCTAAGTCTTTATTAGGCTGAACAGCAAGTTACCCAGAACATCCCATTCTCTAATCATCCAAGTAACCACGTATTTACTGGTTATTTAGATCCTGCTAATTTCTGTTTTTACCAAAGTGCTTTCAGTCTATTAGGAAGGCTTCAGCATGACATAAAAGGATGAACTGAGATAAATTCAATGGGAACGCTGCACCCAAGGTCGGAGTGAAAATAATATTTACCTCGCAAAGACCTCCAGGCACTCAAATAGATTAAATTAGAACAGTAATGAGTACATGCTCTCCTCTATTTATTTACTTGGCAGGAGGTACTTTATTTTATATACATCACATAGCCATCATTGAAAATGTATTCTATTTTTAAAGTGTCACACCCTGTTGGATAGATATGGCCTCTTAAAGGTCATGGTGTAGTCTAAGGAGGCAGAGAAAGGGGAAAGAGGCAGAGAACAAACATTTATTGAACATTTCCTGGGATCTTGTTTAACCCTCCCCCTCGAATCCTCATTGATCCCAGTTCTCAAACTTTCCAGGGAGTTATAATGATTCCCATTTTACAGATGAACAAATTGAGATAGATTGTGTTTCAGAGAGTTTAAAAGGTTTGGTACACCCGTGATTGCATAATTGGGAGTGACAGAAACAGATTTCAGACTCAGGTCTGTCAGATCCCAAAGCTTGTGCCTTTTCTAAAGTACTTTTGAAGGTTGTACAGAATGAATGCCATGGTGTCATGTTAAAAAGGAGGCAGAAAGACCAAGTGACAGGGAATGTAGACTTGCCATTTAGACATTGAGCCCCTTCTATGAAACTGTCACACAATTTCCTACATGAATATCAGCAGAGCATGAGAGATGTAGTCAAGGGAGGTGAATATGATCAGATTCATATGCACATTTACAGGCAGCTAAGTAGGACTGACTCTCAGCAAAATTAAGGAGCAGGCGGTCATTATCTCTGTGTTGGTGGGCCTGCCACTTTCAGATGGGACACAGCATGCAGGCCGGTGATGGGAGGCCCGTGGCCAGGAGATTCATCCTAGGCCAAGCATGCTCCATTCTTTCACTGTGCTGCCTGCCCATTCCTGAACTCCTCCTTGTCTTTGTTTGAGAAGCTGTTGCTTTTGGGTCTCCATGAGCTCTGGCAATAGTAATTTATAATCTGTGATTCCACCATTGGAGATCTGTTTGATTTGGGGAAAGGATGTTGGTTGGTGGGATGGGCTTGTCTTTTACTTTTTGATTTAGAGAATCAAGAGTGAGCTTGTGGTAACTCATTCTTTCCTGACCTCTAACACATGGTACTTTCTCTCATAAGTGGTTCAATTTGATGAACATTTGGGTCTGGCCCTCTACAAGCCTTTTTTCAGGCACCCAGGACCATCCCAGACTCTACAGGACTTTGCACAAAGAGAACTACAAGGCCACAGCCCTCCAGGCTAGAAGATCTCACCAAAACTTAACTCTCTCATGTCCCATTCCCTTAGGCTCTGCAAGGTCACTGATTAATTTTAATGTCATCAAATAATAACTTTGACCTTAGGAGTTAATAGACTTTAATATTGAATCTCTCCCAATTCAACTACTTCCTCATTTGACAGTAATTGTTTGAAAGTTTGGTCTTATGTTGAATCAAAATCAGCTTCTTAGCTATTTCTCACTGGCCCCAATTATGCCCTCTGGGGTTATATAGTCTACTGAGGGGTAAAGCTAAACAATTTTTAAAAGAGTTGATGTCCTTTAATGAGGTGGTTAAGAGAGGCTTCTTGTAGGACAAGGTGTCATATGAGAACAAGCTTTAGGCAGGCCTTTCAGAAGTCACCTTTGAATTTCCATTGATCCCATTTCCTCTGTTAGGCTGTGTTTAGGATTTGTGTTCTTCACTTGAAATAAGCCAGGAGTAGGCAGGCCTCTGGTTCTTAGATGAAAATCCTCTGAGGACATCTTCTGTTGCCAAATATTGAGAGAGAATGGTCTGTGTAAGAAGAAAATGCAGGCTTTTGTGTAGTCCCACTTGACATCTCAAACAGAGCCAAAGCCTTGTATCAAATAAAAAGGTAGAAATAAAATCTTTTGTAAGTTTTTTTTTTTTTTTGAGATGGAGTTTTGCTCTGTCACCCAGGCTGGAGTGTAGTGTGCATGATCTTGGCTCACTACAACTCCGCCTGCTGAGTTCAAGAGATTCTCCTGCCTAAGCCTCCCGAGTAGCTGGGATTACAGACACCCACCACTAGGCTCGGCTCCGGTAACTTTTGTATTTTTAGTAGAGTCGGGGTTTCACCATGTTGGCCAGGCTTCTCTCAAACTCCCGGCCTCAGATGATCTGCCCCTGCCTTGGCCTCCCAAAGTGTTGGGATTACAGATGTGACCCACTGTGCCCAGCCTGTAAGATTTTTTTGACAACTGACTTGCAAGTAAACAGATACTAATTATAAAAGACCTAGTAAAGCATCTAGTACATTTTATTGGAATGGAAACTATTAATAGGAATCTTGTGCATTGCATAAAATTGACTATAGCTCACTTATTGGGTGCTGAATCACTGAAAACACAGCAGCTTAACCTTACAAAGAGCAAGTTAATCCTTTGGGTTCTAGTGATTGCATGTGCAGTTCACACCAGCTCTTCCCCTTCTAACCTTTGAGGCTTCTGGCTGCTGGTGCTCAAGTGATACAGCCTACTGAAGACATAGCCACTGCTTATGGAGGCAGTATCCACACGTTCAATGAACTGTTAGTCAATATCTGTCAGAATGGCACCCTGGATTAATGGAAAGAGAAGGCTTTTCAGACAGGCAGACTAAGGTTTGAATCCTGGCTTCATCATGTAGTATTTGTGTTCCCTTAGATGAATTATTTAATCTTTCATTTTCTTCATCTATGAAATGGAGATAATTTTTGGT
This sequence comes from Homo sapiens, assembly GCF_000001405.40. Lineage (NCBI taxonomy): Eukaryota > Metazoa > Chordata > Mammalia > Primates > Hominidae > Homo > Homo sapiens. The sequence goes on from NC_000011.10 coordinate 109,409,162, forward strand.
CCCATGAGGTGTTACAAGGATTAAGTGGAATCACGATTGCAAATGCTACATATGATAGTAGTTGCTGGGTGCATATCTCTTCCCATTCTGTTTTCTACTGATATCTCCCTTGACTTATTCTTTCTGTAGTCTGGGGTTTAGGATAAGGACATGTTAGTAAGGGCTTTCAGATATACTTCCACACCCCAGATCTTTGGGGGTGCTTCCTCTGCCTACTGCTCCTGCTTCCTCCTTTGACCACTTTGATGCTCATCCGCACTTTCACAAAAAGATGATGAACCAGAGGGCATATAAAAAGCAAAACTGAAACCCATCTGCTTAATTCTTTGTATGCACAACTTTTGGAAGGAGACTAAAAGCTACTAATGGAATTGGGCATGTGTGGGGCTTTTATTTATGATGCAGCTACTCTAGACAGTACAGAGAGCAATCAAACATAATGCCTGCCATCCAGGGCCTTGCTCTGCATGGAAGGAGTTGTACATGTAGATGAATAATTTCAGGAATGTGATAACTGTTGTAATAGAGGTATGAACAGGTCATTGGGTCATTAGGGTCCACAGACTGCTATTCTTGTTCTTTTTTCTTTCTCTCCCATTCCTCTATGCCTTTCACAACTGAAGCTAGAGAGGCCTTCTGTCCCATCACTGTTGAAGTAGAAACTTACTATGGGTCTGGAAAGGACATTAGGCTTCTTAAATTCTCCTTAGGTTTTGCTTCTAATGAATTAATTCTTAGATAGTGCTAGAGAACTTAATGGCCACTTGCTATTGTTGACAAAGAGTGATGGACATGGAGATAATTTTGAACTGTGTTAATGTTATGGGAAACAAATGAACTTCTGTTGACATAATACCTGATTTAGATAATGGATTACAGTGTATTAGATTTCAATGCCCTTGCTGGAAAGCTCAAATCTAAGAGCAAGATGTGTTTTTGTGAGATCCGATACCATCATAATCCCAAGAGTTTGCTTTATTCTCCCACTAAAAAAGGAGAAAAGTCAGCTTCTTTTGATGATCTGATTAAATTCCTAAGAATAAATGTAAAGCACTTGAAAGTTCTTCATAAATCAGCACCTTCATGCCAAAGTGAATCCTTTGACACAAAAATAATATAACTTAGACTATCTGTTACTTAGGATATCTGTCCTTTTTAATGTTTGGTTTAATTTTGCTGTTAATAATTATCATAAATTTATTTTGACAAAAAATATACCGTGTTTCCAATAATAAAGGTCAACTGTTATTAGAATAGAGTCAGAACTAACCTGTGTTTCCTGTTCTCATGCAACCATCAGACCTGAATGTGAAGTGGCCTCTCTCTTCTTCCACTGACCATTCAGCTTTAGAGTCAGGCAACAGCTCATTTCATGTCAATCAACCTTGATGTCATACTTCCATAAATTGAAATAATCCATGAGTACTGTGTAGAAACTCTATGTACTCTAGGCATTCTTCATCACCTACTTCTCCTCTTTGTGCTATAAAATCACGAAGAATAGAGGTTTGGAGAAATGAAGAGGGGCCTAGATTGGAATTCTACTATACATTGGAGAATTTAAGAATTTCCATTTGCAGAGTGCCTTCTGTATGCTAGAAAATTTCCACATATGTTTTAAGATTTTTACATTATACTCTAAAGGAGAAATTGGTTATGTCCACATTACAGAGGTAGAAACTAAGTCTCACAGAGATTAAGTGATTCATCTCAAGTTTTCAGATAGTAGTGGCTCAGTTAGAGTCCATACCTAAGTTTGTCTGGCTTCGAATCCACCGCATGGATGTTGGTCTGAATTAGCAAACTAGGAGCTCATGGGGCCCCATCTCATTCAAGGCCATAGTGTTTTGTTTTGCTTCATCAGCACTGAACTATACTTTCCCCAGTTTTACTCTCTTATACCTTGTCATATACATCATACAAATGATTTTCTCTTGCTATTCCCTAGCAGTATTTAGTCTGTGGTAGCTGTCCCTGGTATAATGGAATAATCATGAGTTTTTGAGCCAGAAGGTAGAATATTTTAGTCTGGACCCAGCCAATTATGAATAGTGTGTACTTTGGGTAAGTCTATGAGGCTGTTTCTTCCACACAAATAGGAATAACCAATCTTAGGTCATAGAGTTGTTGTAAAGATTAAAAGGAAATGCATGGAAAGTACTTGATATTCTGTAAACAATAGTGACATCTGTGGTCTCCTCCCCTTCTCATCGCCATCGTTTGTGAAATAACTTGTTTGAGAAATTTCCACATGTCCTTTAAGCTGTAAAGTCTTTGTCCCTCAGGAAGTGTTGATTGAAGCTATGGTATCAATTACTACTATAAAAGGATATTAACTAGAATTCATGCTGCCTTTGTTTCCACTGAGGGGTGGAATTGAAAGATGTCAAATACCAGTGAAAGTGTGAGAACAATCCTCATATTTCTGTATGATAATTTATAACAGAAATTTTCAATAAGCACCTTTATGATTCTTGGTCTCTCAACCATATCAAAGAGCTAAAAGAAGAGTCACATAGGGAGAGGTGGGGAGATTGCTGAAAAGATTTCCTAGGAGTGGGCTGTTGCTGTACTAACAGTTTCCACCCTTTCTTTTGCCTCATGCCTAATGGGGGCAGATTCTTATATGGTCCTTTGGAGATATGCACATATATAGTTTGTTTGGAAGTTGTATAGAATACCAGTAGGGGAGTGAGAAAGTGATACAGGGAAGAAAAGACAGCCAATAAAAGGTGTACTACTAAGCCAGCTTCTGTGAGAGTTTATGCTCACAGGGAAATTTGGGGAAATGGTGCCAAAAACCTCGCATATATATGTATATGCGCGTGTGTGTGTGTGTGTGTGTGTGTGTGTGTGTGTGGTGTGCGTGTTGGTACAGTTGGTGGAGAGGGGTGCTCTGTTTACCTGGGTCTGATTGTCATGCAGAAAACCTAGATGACAAAAGGCAAATAGGTTGCATTGGTAGCAGAACAGGAGAAGTTGGCTGTAATTGCACTGATCTGCATTCTTTGAGCCCATGAGGCAAAGGTACATGAATGTTTTCCATAGAGCAAATGTGAGCAACATGGAGGAACTGGTAACAGATGTTGTCAGTGCTTCACCTATATCTCTTAAACCCTTCTATTTCAGTGTGCTGCTATTGACTTCTAATTACTAGTAACTGTTCCCAAGGACTTTTTCTGAAACTAGAGGAGGCCACTCTGCCTGTGGGTAAAGCAGGCCAGATTGTCAGGGAATTAGCTCCTCCTTGGAGCAGTCTTAAAACTAGATGGAAGTGAGGTAAGACTGAAGTGCCCTTATACACCTACACATACCACAACTCCCTTATTTCTAATCTGGAATAATCCTGAGGCATGTATTTGGCACTATTTCCCAAAATGTCCCTGTGAGCATAAACTCTCATGGTAGCTGGCTTAGCAGTATGATTTTATTGGTTGTCTTTTCTTCCCTGTATTACTTTCTCACTCACCTACTGGTACTCTATACAACTTCCAGACAAACTATTTTTATTCAAGTCCCTGTCTCAGGGTCTGATTCTGGGGGAACCCAAACTAAGACAATTGGCACTAGAAAAAGACCAAGGAAGAAAACCCTCATGATGGGATTCTAGAACTAGCCAGCCAGATCACAAAAGGGCCCCATTACTGGTGTGGATAAGAGAAGTGCTAATCATTCCTGGCAAACTGAGCATCTCAATTACAAATGCTCTCATCTGGATGTGTTTCTGTAGTGTAGTGGTTATCACACTACTCTCATCTGTACTGTATTACAATAGGATATAGCCTTGTGTAATATTGCTAGCATTTCTTCAATATGGTGGCAATGGTAATTATGAAGACTGTGGAATTGATTGTTTTTGTCATAGTGGCATTGAAGGAAAAAAATGACAGCCTTGATTCATCTGACCATAAAATAAGAGCTCAGTGTGAAACTCAAAAGACAACGCAGCATTTAAAGATAATATATTGCCTGTGACTACAGAGCAGAGCCAGCTGAAAATCATATCTGGGACCTGAGTGTGCGAGAGAGAGAGAGAGAGAGAGAGAACTGCAAAGACTTAATTCTCAACCTTCAAGATAAAGATAAGAGACTTTATGCCTTGATAGGAAAGGAGTATGCCTGAGACCTGAGATGGGGATATTTGAGATAGATGTGCTTGGGAACCGTGAACTTCCAGATTCTCCCAAACCTCTAAGCATGTGGAAATCATTCACTCGCCATTGTTACAGGATGTCATATTCTTGTTGCCTGGAAAATATAAATAAGACTCACCTAAGGCAAACACCTCATAAGGTGTTATTTGTCTTCTTTAAGGTTTACTTGTACTTCCCCCACAGATTCTAGGACAATAACTTGGGTCAAAACTCAGCTTGAACCCCTGGGAAAATATTTTACCTGTTCCAGGAAAAAAAAAAAAAAGCATTGTTAAAAAACGAGCTGCAAGAACTGGCTAATCTTTCCTGGAAGAATCGGAGAGAACATACCTCAAAGTGAACTTTTAAGAATGCTAGCCCAGCAGTGAGAAATAGAAGGCTGGAAAGAGAATTTTGGGAAATGGGGACATTCTCTCACGGCTTCAGCTAAATGTACTGGGAAGGACTTTTGGAATTGATTCTAACATGCTGCTGGGATAGTTCCTCAATACTTAGAAAGTGATGGCATGCAATAAATGAGATGGAGTTGGTGCATAAATTCCCAGCTCCTTTTCCTCAGGTAGAAAAGTTATTCAGTAGGTGTTGAATGTTCTTTCTCAAAAGTTTTCTCTTAGGATTAAGCAACAAGGAGCTGAAATAAATTAGAGATTCCTAATAGATGAAGAAATAGTCAGCAGTGACAACTGAGAAAACAGGTGAATGTAAACAGGTCAGAGAAAGAGATCCTCATCCTGAGCCAATCTAAACATCTCTCAGGCCCCAGGAGTGTAAAGAACAAATCTAAGTAAAATGTTCTTATGCTGTTACCATTTTCGTCTTACTTCCTTTGACTACCGAGATATAAGAAACTATCTAGTAATCTAGGGATGAGCAGAGGGGGGAAAAGAAAAAGAAACAAAAGCCAGAGAAATAGACAAGAAGCTAGATATTACTCCTTTTCATGCTCCAGGCTTTCTGTCTAAAATAACCCCAAGCTTTGGGAAAAGAGAATAAATTTTGAATTTTTATGAGTGTCTTAGACTAAATGCTCTACCAGATTGATATTGTGTTTATGATTTAAAAGGTTGTAGGATTGTCTTTTAACTAAAAGTGATTCAAAAAGTCATCAAACCTATCATTTTTTTAACCTAGCAGCTGAAAAAAAATTATGTACAGTATCTGAAGGGACAGTGAATCAAAAAAAGTTTCACTTGATTACGTCAGATGTGCCTGTTCAACATGCCAGTAATCCTACTTTATTGTTGTTTTTGTCTTCCTCAGAAACACTCTGGCTTTACTCTCTGTATGTCCTGTTACAGTAATAAAAAGCATAGTTGATAGCAATTGATGTAGAAAAAAGGCAACATATTGAGCTGGAAGAAATCTAAGCTGTCCCATGTGTTTCTTCCTAGTCAGTCATACTTTGTGGTTAATAACTCCCAGGTTATTTTAAAGCCATATTCACATTTCTTCATTTGTTTTCTTGTTCAAGCATAAAGTGATAAATAGACAATAAAAAGACTCTAAGACATAAAAGGTCGAGGCTGGGAGTGGTGGCTTACGCCTGTAATCCCAGCACTTTGGGAGGCCAAGGCAGGTGCATCACCTGAGGTCAGGAGTTTCAGACCAGCCTGGCCAACATGGGGAAACACCATCTCTACTAAAAACACAAAAATTAGCCAGTGTGGTGGTGGGTACCTGTAATCCCAGCTATGCAGGAGGCTGAGGCAGTAGAATTGTTTGAAGCCGGGAGGCGGAGGTTGCAGTGAGCCAAGATAGCACCACTGCACTCCAGCCTAGGTGACAGAGAGAAACTGCCTTAAAAAAAAAAAAGGTTGAAAACCATGGGGCCATTTGGTTTTGTCTCTTGGGTCTTAAAATTAATACAGTAATATTTGCTTGATAAGGAAATGAGAAAGAGGAAGAATTGAGATGGCCACCCACAATGTGGAATAAGTCGCTATCAATCACTGTGTTCCATCAGAGTCTTCCAGAGCATTGTGTATTGTATACCAACTTAAAAAACATGTGACTCAAACCAAGTGTTTCTTTCTTGCTGTGGACTTTTGTATCATAGAAAACAAAATTCAAAAAATTATACTCAAATCTGGCAAGATCACTTCCCCTTTCTTTGCATGAAATTTCATTTACCATGGAAAAAAATTGTATTGGCACTATTTGTTCTCCCCCAAACCGTCTTGATTGATCCCTGGACTTAATGCTTTTTGCTTTTGTTGCAGATTAATTTCTTAGAGAATGCCTGTTTTCTTTCCACATCAGAGTTTCTCAATTAAACAACTCAGAGAAAATAATCAATTAAATTGTAGTAAGATACAAGTAGGGTTCAAGAAAACGCCCATCTCTTTCTTTGAACCATTGTTTTCTAACTGTACAGTGACAAGTTGTATGTTTAGGCCAGTGGTTCTCAACCAGGGATGATTTTGTTATCCCCTCACCCTCATGACTCTTCGCAGTGTTAGACACATCTTTGGTTGTCACAACTGGGGAGGGGTGCTATTGGCATCTAGTGGGTAGAAGCCAGGAATGGTGCTAAGCATCCAGGTTAGTTTCATATTGCTGCATAACAAATTACCATGAACTTAGTAGCTTAAAAAGCACATGTTTATACCTGATAGTTCTGTAGGTCAGAGGTCTGATGGGTGGAGGAAGTGGTGGGGGCCTGACCAGCTTCTCTGCTTGGAGTCTCAAAGAGATGAAATCAAGATGAAAGCCAGGCTGGGCTCTTATTTGGAGGCTCTGGGGAAGAATCCACTTGGAAGCTTATTCACATTTGTTGGCAAAATTTAGTTCCTTGAAGTTGTAGCACTGAAGTCCCCATTTCCTTGCTGGCTGTCAGCCAAAGGCTGTTCCCAGCGCCTAAAGGAAACCCACACTGGTTTGCTTGTGGCCCCTCCATCTTCAACATCAAAAATAGCATGTTGGATCCCCCTAGTGCCTTGAATCTCTGACTTCCCTTCTTCTGCTAGGCAGGAGGAAAAATAACCCTCTTCTTTTGAAGAGCTCACTTGATTGTATCAGGCCTATTGGAATAATCTCCACATCTTAAGTTTAGCTATTTGGGACTTTGATTACATCTAAAAAAATTTTCATCATACCATCCAACCTGGGCAATATAGTGAGACCCTCCAGCTCTACCCAAAAATAATTTTAAAAATTAGCCAGATATTGTGGCACATGCATGTAGTCCCAGCAACGTGGTGGGGCTGAGGCAGGAGGATTGCTTCAACCTAGGAGGTCAAGGCTGCAGTGAGCTATGATCACACCACTGCACTCTGGTCTGGATGAAAGAGCAAGTCCGGGTCTCAAAAAAAAAAAAGTCACAAAAATATCTAGATTAGTTTTGTTGTTAAATAACCATTGGATTTAATGATTTAATCTTGTGGGACTGTCTTTGGAATCCAGCTAACCACAACAGCCTACAAGGCACTAGACAGCCTCCCACAACAGAGAATTATATGGCCCCAAACTCCTATAGTGGCAAGGTTGCAAAACCCTGATCTAGGCATATCTTTTTCCAGATGATGGAAGTATTTTCAGTTTATCCTTCCTATGAAAAGCAGATTCACAGCCTCCAACACTTGAAAGAAGCATATGCCACTCGGTTTCTGACCATGATCCAGGACTCTCATTATCTAGGATCTGTTCATCACAAAGATCTTATCAAATATTTGACATCTGCTGGTCCATCTATTTTTACCCATCTGCCTCTTTAACTTCACATCTATCAGTCTACTTAGTTTACATTCTTCTGTTCTTTGACAGGAGTGATAGTTCATTTAAAAATATTAGGAAAAGAGGGAATTGTTAACATTCTCTTCGTCTGGCCAGATAATCAGAATGTGATCATGTGTGTAACTAGAATGTAAGTTCCCAATTGCAGAGACTTTTCCTTGATCCCTGGTGTAGCAAGCACTTGACACAATTTGTGGCACACAGTAGGAACACTCTGGATATTTGTTTAATAAATGAGTTTCCCGGTCTGGCATATTCTGTATCCTATATGTTTTTAAAATATATTTTGTCAAAACTTTGGATCAACAGATTTAACTCATTCAATTTGTATAGGATGTCTTCATACAATCTATCAGGCAAATCCAGTTCTAACTGTCAATCTAAATAGACAAATCAGGCTTACTGTCTCCAAAAGCAGTCTGGGTCCATTTTTCAATTTAAATAAACTAGAATACTTTTATTCCTCTGACAACCACCTCACTTTTAAGCTCTAATTCTAAGATAAATTGATACATAGATAGTTTGTCCCCCAGATGACAGCTGTCACCTCTCTCAGGAGTTACACATCCTCAAGGTATTGTTTTTCGTAGTTTCACAAAGGTTTTCACACCCTGAGTAAACGCACTATAGTTAGGTTGAGAACTGGTGAAACATACGTTTTTCTTTTGTGAAATAGGACAATTGCAAGGAGAGGTGACAAAAGATAAATTTTAATCCAGATAGATACATTTTGGGGAGAAGTACATATAGAGGTAGAGGACTTGGAAAATAATTCCCTTAAAACTATACATATATTCCCCTGGAAAATGTCTAATGTATTCTCAGGGATTGACTCCTCCAGTTTGAAGACTGCTGAGGTATATGATAACCAGCTACATGGTTAGAAAGATCTTTCCGCTACTGAAATAATGAATTGAAAGAGGCTCCCCATCCTACATCTGTTTCACTACATTTCTGTTCTCTCTTGAGTATGTAGGTTAGGATAAATCTATTTTCTATTGACGATACTCCGAATATTTTAAGAGGCTATGCTACATTCCCCACATCTTTCCATCTCTAAGATTAGTATTCCCTTCTCCTTGAATTGCTTATCTATCATTGTTTTCAGTCCCTTCATCTTTCTAGTCATCTTCCTGTAAAGGACACTAATACTTATCAAATTTTTTTCTGAATTTTGATGTCCAAAACAATATAATGCTTCTATTGCCAGGGATAAAATGTCAATCTTAGTAATTTTCTTTATAATGTAATGGGCTACTATTTATTGAATGCTTGCTATATGCTCAGTGCTTAAAATAGCACTGCAAAAAATGATTCTATTATTCCCATTTTGCAGATGAGAAGACTGAACTAGAATAAAACTAGATAACTAGAACAAAGTCAAGAACTTCACTCGACCTTTATTATTTATTTACTGGGTGGGGCAGTAGTTAATAGTAACATGACAACATATAAGCATACCTCTGTAGGTATGCAGGGGCCCAGACTGGAGGAGATATAAGATTAGGCAAAATGTCAAAATCAGCTAAACATTCTCTGGAAAAGTCCCTGTAAATCTAAGAGGAGCCTGGCATATATCATGCTGCACTGTGATTTAGAATGACCTGCCTTAGTCAAACTAGACTTTGTTCAGTCCAAGGGAATCTGTGGAGATCCTGTAGACTGCTCCTGGTTGGAAGGAAGGACCTGAACCATGGGGATTTCCCATCTTCCCTCCTACACTTCAACCAAGCATCTCTGCTTTTCTCTAGCTTTACATAATTACCCCAATCAGAAGTAGACAGAGGTAAAATAAAAATAAAAATAAGTAAGTGTGTTTGAAAGAGAGAAACAGAAAGGGAAAGAGAGAAAAGCCATTAGTCATGAAAAGTAGTCATAAAAAGAATTCTGACTTTGGAATCAGTTTACCTGTGTTTCAGCCCAATAATATATGTGGTAATATACTTCTCAGTGGGTTACTTAGACATTGTCTTTAAACACTCTGAGCTTTAGTTTTTTCACATTTCTTATAGCAGGTACTCAGATTTTTGTTGAACAAATGAGTAAATGAATAATTTTGTATTTTGGCAAAAATAACCTTACGAGGTTGTAGAGAGGATTAATGCTAATATAGGGTTTACTATAGCCTGGTACATAGTAGGTGTTTTGCAAATAAGGATAATAGCTATTATTATTATTGATTCAATGCTGCTTAGATTTAGGTACAGGTGCCCATGTGGCACTTTTATCTAAGTTAGATCGAGATTCTTCATTAAACTTGAAAGCAAATATTAAATGCTCTTAAATATTTGGAACATGCTTATGTCCAGAGGGGCTTTCCCATTACAAGGGAAGATTATAGGAATCTCAGGAGCTTCTTGGTTCTCTACTCTTGGGAGTGTGGCTTGTGAAGTTTGGTGGCGAAAATAGTGGCAACAATGGTGTTGTCTGGAAGAAGCCTTGCCATTCAGCCAGATGTGCCAAAAATCATGTGGCAACTCAGTGGGATCAATTCCTGCAGTCCAAGAGGTGCCCATATTTGCTGTCATTGCTCTTCCTTGGGTTTAAAACACACTACCCAATGACATCCAAATCTACGTATTTAGTACATTTGTCCTCTGGGTAAGAATAAATTATGAACCTACTGCCTATTCTTGAAAGAGAAAAGACAAAAAAGGGTACTATGCTTTTGATCTGAAAACTAATGTCTTTAATCTACCTAAATCATTGCTAGTTAAATACCATTTTCTGGTGAATCACATTTATCTGCTGTAGAGTATAAGTTCTCCAGATTAAGATCTTGTCTTTTCATAGGGTGTATAAAATAATGCACACAGCTTTAGCACTCCTGGTATAACAGATGGCTATCATTTGTAACAAAAGAATAACATTGGAAGCCTTCTGACATGTCCTAGAAGCTTGGTGTGCAAGAAGAATCCCATTACATACATATTGTAATCCCATTACAACATGTTGTAAAGGTATATTCCCCATAGGGAAAGCCCAATAACTAATTCCTTCAAATCTAGAAAACAGACGACTGAGAGTTAATTTTTTTTTTTTTTTGAGATGGAGCTTCACTCTTGTTGCCCAGGCTGGAGTGCAATGGCACAATCTTGGCACACTGCAACCTCTGTCCCCCAGATTCAAGCCATTCTCCTGTCTCAGCCTCCCGAGTAGCTGGAATTACAGGTGCCTGTCACCATGCCCGGCTTTTATTTATTTATTTATTTATTTATTTATTTATTTATTTATTTATTTTGTTATTTTTAGTAGAGACAGGGTTTCACCATGTTGGCCAGGCTGACCTCTAACTCCTGACCTCAGGTGATCCACCTGCCTCAGCCTCCCAAAGTGCTGACATTACAGGCATGAGCCACCGTGCCTGGCCAAGAGTTAATTCTAATTGCATAAAAATTCTTTGCTTTACAAAATAACATTTTTTAAAAAATTTTTTATTTTTTGCTAAAGAGTCTCTTGAAATAGCCAGATCTCTTTTTGGAGAATCCAAAATTGGATTTGCTTTACAAAATGTTTATTAGACTCAACTTTTCAGGAGCAAAGCGAGTGTGAAAAAATGGGACATTGCCTGTCAGGCATCAATGGTAAAGTGTCACTTAGTCACAGCGTAAAAAATAAATAAATAAATAAAAAGGCTCACCATTCCATCCCCTAAGCCCACCAAAGTCAAATTGTCCAAATGTGGCAGGTGGCTATTGCAGGCATCTGGTGCTCTCATTCCAGTCAGGAAGGTGAGGCTAGCATTGGGGTGGGGGCGGGGGGCAGACATCAGTAACTGTATGACCCTAAACACAGAGTCCGAAGAAGGGACCCCCAGATTACAGACAGCCTTTCCTCCACATATCAGACCCTCTTTCTTTACAAATACAGCAAATACAAGCAGATAACTGGGCATCAGTCATTTCTGATGCATTGCAGGAAAGAGCAACAACATACACTGTATCATTCAATTTATCAAGTAAACTACAGGCACTGTGCTAGACTCAAAGATAGAAAAGAAGACAGGGAGCAAAGAAGAAAACGCACGTTTAGTAAGACACCTGAGTGCCTTCAAAGACCATGCAATGTCTTTAGGTACTGTTCCCAGCTAGCTTCTCCAACAGAAAAATGAGCATACTCCATTTCAAAGCTGGATTCTGTAACCAAATGCACTATTCATATTTTTCCAAGGCTCCTAAACCAATAGTTAACTAGTCTCTTCCAAGATTTAGGGAGGCTGTTGAATTCTTTTCTGGAAGTTCTATGTATTTTGCTAAAAGTTGTGCTCCAAACACTTTACCAAGAATTAGGGTCAATGAAGGGGTACTTTGTGCAAGCTACAAATACTTGGAATTTTCATAAGGCAGTTCATTTCTGCCTTCCTGTGAATAATTTCATATTTCTTCCTTGTAAGACTAGGGTTTGTGTGCTCATGAGTGTCTAGATTGTCAGAATAGAAGGAGTGTTTAATACATTGAGTGGGTCTGGGGCCTGGAGATGAAGATGTGAGGGATGCAAGAAGGAGGATCTTGAATCAGATGGAGCGAAAGATAACTTGGAAACTCCAGTGGAGAAAAATGGCTAATTTGGATTGTTTAATTTGTTCAGGTTTGTGTTTTGGGTTCTGTCACACTTATGTTGAGAAACGTCCCTGCCATCTCTCTAATGCACGCAGTTTATGTTCAGAAACGGGCAGCACAGAGAGGAATTAGCGGTGGGGGAAATTTTCATCACCACCGGTGATGTGTGCACCGATGGTAGATGGCTATCCAGAGTGTAAAAATGTGATTCTGGGACCAAAGGGTCAGCTCTAGAACGAAATCAGACAGCTGGAGAACTGAAGATTCAACTCTTCCTAGGCAAGAGAGTGAGAAAGGTGGGTTGCTTGCAGGGTGGAGGTAGGGGTTGCTCCTCCTAGTTCCTGGGCTGGAGAAGGGCAGGGAACTGGGAAGTGTGTGTCAGAGGCTCGCTATGCTAGGACAAGGTGTTGGGGTACTAGGGTGGGTGGGGGCCTGAGGGGTGGCTTGGAGCCCTGGCGGTGGCTGCCTGACGTCACCGGCCTCTCTGGCAATAGGCTGCGAGCTCAGCTCCCTGAAGCGGCGGCGAAGGCGGCGGCGGCGGCGGCGGCGGCGGCAGCAGCGCGGCTCGGTCTCTGGTCCATTCACTCCACGCTTTCTGCAGCCGCCACTGCAGCCGCGCGGCGGGGGCTCCCTCCTTGCAGCCAGCCGGCGGTCCAGGTAAGAGACAAGGTGTGAGTAAAGGCTTCTGATGGCCGGGTGGCCTGACGGCCAGGTGCGAGTGGGGAGGACAGCTCACGCGGCCTGAGCAGCCACCCCTGGCCATAGCTCCAGCCCCCGCCCCTGCCCCCGGCCCCTGCCCTGGCTTGCTTGCGCGCTACCTCGCTACTCCGCAGTGCAACAGTTTGCAGCTGCCTCTTGGGAGCAGCAAGGAGGCTCTCCTGTGCGCTGCGGGTCTACCGGCTCCAGTATGCCGGAAAAGCCTCGGGGCCTTTGGGCTGGGTCTGGGAAGGACAGAAAGAAGGTCCCGTTCCCCAAACTTTGCAGGCGGGAACCCTCCCCTTTCCATTCCAGCTCCTCTAGAAAGAAGCAGGCTACTGCCAAGTTGGGGGCACAGGGAAATGGGGAGGAGGGGGCCGTTTGTGGGAATGTGTCAGCTGAGAAAGATGCTTCAGCTGCTTTTTTTTTTTTTTTTTTTTTTTTTTGGAGAGGGGAGAATACCAGGGAAGAAGGCTGGAGAAGAGATGGAGCGCGTTCCTGCGCGTCAGCCGCGGTCGCGGACAGAGGCAGAGTGGGATGTGGTGCCAGGGGTATCCCCCTGGGAATGGGACCCAAGGGATCTGACGCTGTCCAGGGAGGGCGAGTCTGGACGGGGAGGGAAAGGAAGGGAGGACTGCGTACCCGGAGCCCGCGCGGCGGCCCGGAGTGGGTGCTGGGAAGGGTAGGATCCAGGCGAAGACATCAACCGAGAGGGCGCAGAAAAGAGGAGAGCCGGCGCTCTGGGAAGTAGGGACTTCAACCAAAGCGGCTGCGTGTCTGTTGCAATTATAAAGTTGTGAAGGGCGGAAGGGAGGCTGCCTTATCTGCTGAGTAATCTGCACCTCCGCGGTGCCGGCGCAGACCCCATCCTGTCGAGTGGCATGAGCAGGCTGCTGGTGGCTCTGGTGCACGGCCACGGGCCGGCAGGCTGGGGTCCGCTGACCGAAAATACAGGCAGCGCCCAGCTCAGGCAGTGTGCCCAGAGGGCCGCTTTGCGGTGGTGGTTGATCTTTCCCGACAGCACTCCCCTGGGCAGCGGCCGAGATTCTAACTAAGCTTTGTGTCTTTGCAGCCTGGTGCCTCTGCAAAGGAAAGGGGAGCGTGGAGACGTGTTCGAGGTGGTATCGGCGAGGATCTCTCGGGCGCCGCTCACTCCTTGGTCGCCTTGCTTGCCAGCAGTTGCTCCCTTAGTCCTTGGCTCGCTCGCACACCCCCTCCCGCTACAGGGAGCAGTTTTGGGTGGCGTGGGCTCCGTCCTCTTCTTGGCTGGTAGGAACGGTGTGCCCAAGAGGGGAAGCCTAGTGGGCCTGGCCCCTCCCAGCCCCGCGCCAATGAGTGCCAGGGCGCCGAAGGAGCTGAGGCTGGCGTTGCCGCCGTGTCTCCTCAACCGGACCTTTGCTTCCCCCAACGCCAGCGGCAGCGGCAACACGGGTGCCCGCGGCCCAGGCGCAGTAGGCAGCGGCACCTGCATCACGCAGGTGGGACAGCAGCTCTTCCAGTCCTTCTCCTCCACGCTGGTGCTGATTGTCCTGGTTACCCTCATCTTCTGCCTCATCGTGCTGTCCCTCTCCACTTTCCACATCCACAAGCGTAGGATGAAGAAGCGGAAGATGCAGAGGGCTCAGGAGGAATATGAGCGGGATCACTGCAGCGGCAGCCGCGGTGGCGGGGGGCTGCCCCGACCTGGCAGGCAGGCCCCAACCCACGCAAAGGAAACCCGGCTGGAGAGGCAGCCCCGGGACTCTCCCTTCTGCGCCCCTTCCAACGCCTCGTCGTTGTCCTCTTCGTCCCCTGGCCTCCCGTGCCAGGGTCCCTGTGCTCCTCCGCCTCCACCGCCAGCCTCCAGTCCCCAAGGAGCACACGCAGCTTCCTCCTGTTTGGACACAGCTGGCGAGGGCCTTTTGCAAACGGTGGTACTGTCCTGATCGTCTAGCCCCTCTCGTTCCCCGTCCTCGTTTCCAGCATCTTTGCCACCCTTGCTTTTTTCCTTCTTCCTTCCTTTTCCATTTTCCTCTGGCCCCTCTTTCCTCTTCCTGGTTTCCTTACCTGCCCTCCCCTTACTCTTGTTTCTCCTCCGCCGAGGCACTGTGCGGTATTTGTAAATATTGGGCGAGGAAAGTCTCGGAAGAAGAAATAACGCTGATAATAATACTTTATTAATATTTATAGTAATTATTATAATACTAATAACACAATCCAAGCGCATGACAAATCACATAATTTCTAACTGTCAATGGAGGATGCATCTTCCCATTCCACCCCGCGCTCCCCTCAATTAGGAGGAGAAACCGCACAAGCTACCAAATATATAAAAGGCATTGATTCCCGGAGCAAAGGGAGGGGAGGGGGCCCGGTAATGTACATAGCTGTCAAGTTAAGATTTAGTTTCCTTCCTTCCCCTCTGACCCCTAAGCTTTCACTTTTCCTTTAGCTTCCCTTTCCTCCCCATTCCCACCCTCAGCCGGGCTCAGGCAATAGTATATTATAAAGAAAATGTCTACATTAAGCACCAGGACTGCAAGAGGCCATAGAGAATAGTCCCCGGAAAGTGTTTATGACAGGTACCCCTCGCCAGTCCGCCCATTTCTCACCCTTTGGTTAACCATTACATTTTCCAGGACAGAGCATTTAATTTACTTTTTAAAATGACCCTCGCTGGCCGAGCATAAGTACGTTAAAATCTTTAAATGAGTTTTTTTTAAAAAGCTAACGCTTTCATTCCCTGCCCCGCCCCCACCCGTACACCTTTGACTTGTGACATTTTCAGGATTTACAAAGGATCTGGGAGCTGTCCAGCCAGGTCTGGTGCTGAAGTCGCCTCACCGTTCTGATTACTTCCTCTAGTTGTGAAGGCAGAGGAGGGGCTGTTTTGGAAAGTGACTATTCTGGCTTTTGGTTGGGTTCTTTCTTCTTTTTCTACAATCGAGTTAGCGTGTACTATTGGTTTTCTTATTATTAAACATTGCATAAGTTACCTTTTTTGTAAAAAAAAAAAAGTATTAGGTGATGTGCAGTACTGAAAGTGCAGTATCTAACCAACTAGAACGTTTGTTTTATTTTTAGAACAAGTGCACCTTTGTTATATATTTAGTATATTGGTACCAAATACAGAAAAAAACTATAGTTCTGTACTATGTCCTCCAAACTGTATATTATTGTTCTTAATTTCCAGCTGTTGATATAATGGTTACCACTGGATGAGAAATTCAGTGGTGCAGACCTGGCTTCTGCTGTTTCCAGAAGTGTTCTTTTGTACCTTATTCTGTAGTAGACTGTTATAAAAAGATGACACACACGCTTTATTTTTTCTTTTGCAAATAATAGAAAAAACACAACCACAGAAACAAACAAATAATGGATGTGCAAGAATGCCATCTATTAAAAACATGGTTAATATTTAAACAGTGCCTGTAGTTCTCCCTGCATGCAGTTACCACCTGGAGGCAGTGGTGTGTGTGCTTGCTTGTACTGTATGTGGTTGGGGATGAGACTGGTGGGGATGTTGGGCAATTTGGATGATAAGACATGCGAATTTCAAGAAAAGCTAGATCCAGTAATTACTTATAGGATACAAATGTTTGCAGCTTGTTTGTTTAGTTACAAATCTGTGCCTGCAGCAAAAGAAAGGCTCTCTTTCTCAGTCTGTCCTAACTTCACTGAACATACAAAAATACTGAGAAAAAAAGAAAGTGAGAAAATAAGATAAATATTTTATTATTTTCTAATGCCAGACAAGGCCATCTATGTTAGAAATGGAAGTAGTCTATAGTTATTTACCACCTTGTTTCCTTTGGTTGAATGACAGAAGAAGCCAGAAGCATATTACAATATTAATTATATGCAGTGACATCTCTTCTTGGAAATCAAGCCTTTGACAGCTATTCAAATTTTTGGAAAATGTATGAATGAAAGTGATCTGCAAAAAGCTCTACCAAGAGAGTCCTTACTATCCTGCAGGGTGTAAGGCAACAGTGCCCCTATGAGCATCCCTCTCCCAAGCAACTCATTGTTCTAAATTGTCTACTTGGTCCAGACATATGTGCTCTTATCCAGAGGAAACATTACCTCTAATATTTTTGGTCATCTATTAAATTGCCCAAGCTCAGTTTGCATCTTTTATAAAAATAATTTAATAAACTTAATTTTAATCACCCATAAGATAATCACCTTTCCTGAAGCACAGAAGATCATCATTGAAGCATGCCATCTTGTAATATTAGGAAGACCAGGTATAATCTTTGGGTACAATATATTAAACAATGAACCAGTTTTTCTCCAGTGCCTTAGTCACTTCCTAGTAATAGGTAAAAGAGTGCATTAACTCCCTCAGGCCACTAGGGAATCCTGTAGTGCATCAGAGTTCTACACTGTACATCAGAATGACTAAGGCACTGTGAAGAAGAAAGTCCATTGATTTTTGTAGCTTACCCTCATCCAGTGGTAGCTCTTTAATACCTTATTACAGAATGACTTTTGGACTTGAAATTTGAATAGAATCAGGGTCCCAGAAGGGAGCTTCATCATTTCCAATGAGCTCCAATAAGTGCATGGATATTACTTTCTTTCCCTTATTTGGTGCACTTTCTACAGCGAATAATTTCCCATTTTATTAAAGCAATAAGATGTTCTGTTGTGAGCAGTGCTGGATAACGATTCCATTTTCTTGGTGCTGAAGCTACGCATATGTTCTTGCCTTATGAATCATAGTATATTCAAGGCATGCAATAATAATCCCCTTCCAAGGAGCAGCCTGTACACTCTGTGGGGGTAATTATGAAATTGTCCTACATCATTTCTCCCCAAAGGAATGCAAGGAGCAAGAGAAATAAAAGCATTATGTATATTGTAAAACAAATGATCTCAATACCTCTCAACGTGGGCACACATCTGTAATACACTTTTATTGTGCAACTTTAAATGTGTGTGCCTTTCTCCATTAATTGACTGTAGTTTAATATTTTTAATAGTGCTCTGTGTAAAGATGATGCAGTTTGTGAGTCAGATTTCATACTGAGCTTAATATACTCAAAACCTAAGCTTCCAGTGGTATTACTTGTGATTTTTTTATGAGATAGAGAATTACATGAAATTCTAGTAATCCAGTTTCCACACAAAATTATTTCAATAAGCACATATCCAAGCAATTTGTACAGACCTTGTTTAAAGCACTGCTTCTTATAGGGCTCAATTGGCAGTCTCAGGAGCTTGGGATGCTACCAACAGGGCATTTAGGTTTTCATTTTTATGAAACAAAAGGCAATCTGGAAATAGCTAAATTTATTTTAAGGATTTTATTCACTGATGTCCCGTCAAACTAAATGCTTCAAACCCCTATAGCTACAGCTTAACTTCTGCACTTGCTATTCAGTATTAATAAGGTGGCATGCTTGATTCTTATTGTTTTTAAAAATGAGAAAATTTGGAGAGAGAATACTATTATGTCAACGGTACAAGACTCTGAATCTTGAAGATGTAGATGGATATAATATTTAGACTTTATATACACCCATAGATATGTATTTATATATGCATACGTTTTGTATAAATTTACAATTGACTTTTTGTATTCTCTTTTCTGTCATTACAAGAATGAGATGGAAACCAAAATAGTTGTTCCATCCTCTTACCCAAAGAGGATACTGAAAAGTCCGGTATGTGCATGCACTTGTTTCTCTGGGGTCAAATCTGAATGACTTTCTCTTTAATAATGAAAGGGGAGAGTCCTGGTTAGCTTGGAAAATTGGTAATTAGATAAGCTTCCTTTCCTAGGTTAGTGACTCAAATGTAGCAATGATAATAAAGTTATGACCATATCAATGTGGTCTAAATATCTAGATGGAAAGCAAAAATATCCAGAAGAGGTTTAGGGCCATCTAGACCACAAACCTGGAACCTGGATTGTGGTTTGATTTTTTTCATTTTCAACCTATATGTTGTGTAGAAATACAATTTATATCTGCATAGCTAAAGGTAAAGTGAAAATATGACCATTATCTGTTTAGTTTGAGAAATCATTTTTGGATAATATGGATAAATTAGCTTTAAGAAACTTCTTTGACATCTGACTTTTCCACCATTTCTATCTGTATCAATTGTATTAATTAGATAATGGTTAAATTTTTATTTTTTTATCATGTAGACATATGCTTTCATGCTTTTCTGTGGGTGAAAGTTGAACAATTGCTAGCTGATATTATGTGGAAGTTACAGGTTAAAGTAGAACCAGAAATTTTAATATAATCTGATCAGGTTCCTTAGTCCCATTCCCATGTGAATCTGAACTTTGAATTTGAATCTGAAAGGCCTACTTATTTGGGCCATTTTTTGTTGGAACTTGTGATTGTAACTCACAGATGTTTCAGTTCATATTAGAATAAATTGCCCAATCTATAAGAGAGTGTTTAATCATTGGAATGAATGTAAATCTGATTCTGATTTGGTTATTTATTTGATAACATTTGAGAAACAGCTAATGTGGCTTGACATCAATACTTATTAATGTCTTCAACCTAATAATACAATTGGTGTCATGTATGAATGCTTAGCTGACAATAAGAATTTAATCAACTTTATTTGGAGACAATGACTTATCAAGGAGGTCCTACCCATTTGTGGTAGGGATATTTCCCTTACAGTTGTGATTACAAGGGATTGTTTCTATAGAGAGATGAACAGCAACAACAGTGACAATGATGACAACAGAAAAACTGACTTTTGAACTTGAGTATATCCAATAGATAGAAGAAAAAAGATATTAGAATTCATGGAAATTTTGTTTTGCTTTTCTATCAATAAAAGAGTTTTCTTGTTAATTGGCTTTTTGGACACTATTTCCTTGCCAATTTAATGTACAATATACCAGGATAACATAATTGCTTATTCTATTATACTCAGATGCTCAAAGAAATTATATTGTTTTCAAAAAATTTTTATAACTCATCTGCTCTTCCTCACAAACCAACTACATCTTAGAAATGGGATGTGTATAAAATTTAGGACAACCCAATAAACAGTCCAGTATAATAATGTAGCAGCTCCTTTACACAGATGCTCAGGATCTTGAGGTCATATGCTTAAATTCTCAGATTTCCTCTTGCTCTGCCTCTACTTCTCTACTATAATATAATCAGGTATATTAGGAAGGGATGTGGCTGACATGATTCTGTGCCAGTTAGGGGAAAGGTAGCCTCCAACTTCTGTAAATTCTGAAGGATCCTAGCTTAACCCTGCTGAAAAGGATCTGCTCCCTAGTTTGAAGTGCTATTGTCCTACTGGCTTTTGTGTTGACATTTACCACAGCAATTTTACACCGTGGACCTTTGCCCTCCATCTCAAACTCATACATCCTGACCCCGGCCATCTATAGGTCCACAGTGCTCTCACACATTGTCCCCTTCTTGGAGATTCAGGAACTTCTGGGTGCCCTGCATGCCATGGACCTACTGGTG
Organism: Homo sapiens; assembly: GCF_000001405.40. Taxonomy (NCBI): domain Eukaryota; kingdom Metazoa; phylum Chordata; class Mammalia; order Primates; family Hominidae; genus Homo; species Homo sapiens. Next base: position 109,429,751 of record NC_000011.10, read on the forward strand.
AAAAGCTTGGGTCTATCTTGGGATTATTCATCCATCCACCTCCTCCTCCACCTCAATTCTGCTAATCTTGCTTCGTGTTAGATGGTGCCATGAGGGTTTCTTCTGAGGTCTTGAGACCCACAGTAATATATTTAAAGGAAAGGAGTTTGCCATTTATCTCCAATCCTTGAGCTTCTCCAAAGCTGTTTAGATGTTTTCAAGGCAACATCACTCCTTTTGGCTCCTAAATATGTGTGAAGAGGAGCATGAAAGCTTTAACGGCCACCTGCCTCACTTTTCTCTTATTTTTCTCAAAATTGTCCCAGACTGCAAGAAGCAAATATTTCCCTTAATGTCTACTTTTCTCTACCTAAGACTTCTTCTACTATGGTTAGTTTCCTGCTTCTGCAATGGACTTAATCATCTTCTTCCTGATGTCAGCATTATGATTAACTCTTAATGGCAGTTGGACAGGGTGTAAGAGACAGAAAGGTAAGCTTATTAATAAGGGATCCTAAATCAGGACATATTTGGAACATATTATGCCACACACCATAATAAATCTCCATATTCCTACAAGGGACATGTGCTCATGATTAAGCTCCTGCCCTCCCCTTTTCCATGAAGGTGGGAGCTTGATTATCTTACATTTATTTTCATATTCTACTCAATTCCTCTGAATTGGCTAGAAAACCTGATTACTAAACCTTATATCACTATTTGTCACTAAGAAGGCACAAACTCTTCCAAATACTGGCCCATTATTTCACCCTATCCCTCACACCCTTTAGGAGCTGCAGATAGTGTGTAGGAAATACTTCTCTTGAGCTTGGATAAACTTCTAGTGGATCTTGAATACTGGAGTGGAGATGAGTAGTTACTCGATGTAAAGGCAGCAGCAAGTAAAGATTGATGATACAACCCTATCCCTAGCCATTGTCCTCTTTATGCCCAGTAGGTATATGTGCTCTAACTTCAGCTGTTTGGCTCAAGAGAGGGATGAGTAGTAACTCAGCTAGCTCTTACAAGACTAGCATGGTTCCATTCCCCACCTCCTTCAATCTCTCTGGGTGGATTAATTTATGAAATATTAGCTGTGTATTCTCTTTCTGATTAGTTGTTGAAATCCAATCACTTCTTCCCAAAATACCATCTCCAGATATGTTCCAGGCTTGAACTGATGCTGATAATATTGGGTTTCCCTCTCTCAAAAAGTGGCTCTACTTTTTAAGACTTTAAAGAAGAAGAAGAAGCTCTTGTGATAACCTTTCTTAACCCCTCTTTTCTAACTTATGCTGAATATACTCTATGTGCATTTGCAAATCCTCTCTCTTCTTGGATCATGACCTTAACTCAGGATTTTAAATTTTAGCCTAGAGGTTTGTAGTCACTTTGTGGTACAAAATTTTCTGCACATGGAATCTCAAAAATTTAGGAAAGCCGCTACTAACCTCAATGTATTTAAGTGGCAAAAATGCATTGTGATGACAAAAATACTCTTCACATACAGATGTGCAAAACAAATGTGGCTATTTTATTTTCCTATAATTTATCTTATCTTCCTCACAGGGACCTATTTGCTTGGTAGTTCTCTTAAGAAAGTCACCACATTATCAAATTTTCTCTTTCCTGTGCCCCTTTCCAAGGCTGTGTCTGGGTATAATTTATGTTATCTCATGGTGGCAGAGGAAAAAGCCTCCTCAGATCTATGCAGAGTTAAAGGAATCCTCGCTGGTTCAGCTGGAGAGTGGCCAGTCTGGTTTGCTTCCCAAACTGGTGGCTGCTATGCTACAGCAAGTCCTATCTTGTACCCCCAGATGGAGCCTAGGATCCTGGACAATTTTCCAGAATCTCAAACTTTGAGTCTACAGTGACTTTTTGTTCCAATTGAAGAATTTTGCTGTTTTACTGTATTCTAAGCATCCCTGGGCTCCTTTAACTGCGACAAATGGGAATTTCTGGGTTCCATTCAGATGATAGAAAACAAGAAGCCTTCTAGTAGCCTACTGCCATGACCATCATCCCATTGCCACTGCCTTCTTGTTGGAAACAGGAAAGTACAGTAGCTCTCCCTATTAAGGGTTCCCACTAGTAGAGACACAGATACTTGCTAAAGCCCTTACTACCCTCAAAGTACTCTGGCTTCCTGATCCTATCAGAATGCTTGTTATTGGATCCTTCTGTATTGCAACTTTTCTCTGAATCAAGGGGCTTGGGGAGGAAGAGTCTTACAATTCATCTTCCTCAATCAATATTAGACTCCTCTCTCTTCCCTCCCCAAATTACCCAGGACTGGAAGGGATAGACTTTTCTGTGTAGTCCCTTAAGGATTTCCTTTAGTACAAAGGTATAATCAGACAGGAAGGTGTAGATTTGGGGCTTTTTGCTTTCTACGTACCACATTCTACACATTGACTGTAGCTTCACAGCTGTCTTAAAATGGAAACTAGAATGTGGAAGAGAGATAAATGAGCCTACATTGGGAGGCATATCAGAAATATTTTGTTAGTTACACTTGTATATACATAGATGATTATTTCGAATTGCATGGTAGGAATTCAATGACGACAGAAATACACTGTCTCTCCCTTTGCTTGCCAAAGTATGAACCCTTAATTCAGTAGGAACTAAGTTAAAAGCTTAGTTCCTGTGATTAATGTTGTAGTCTCCTGGCAAGCACCCTTGAGAAAGATCACAACTGCCAGCAGTCTTTGCACCTCCATATGGATCAGCCTTTTTTAGGGATCCCCTGATGGAAAGGAGAGGAGGAAGTGCAGGTCACTCAGTTCCAAAAAGGAGGAAAGAACAAAGAAAGGAGAGGCAGAGAAAGGCTCACTTCTCTACCTTTGCCTTGTGGAAAAAGCTTCCCTGGGACAGCCTTCCCACACCCACCATCACAAGTTTTCCTGTTGGGAGGTGCATAAAAGATTATGATCTACAAGTGGAAATTGGCCATGCTGTGTGGCAGGATTATTTTCAGGGTCTACCTTGGTTAGTTCTGTTCTTAAAGTTTTAGGTAGTTTCATTTCTTTGTCCCAGGGAAACTGTCCTATTACTGACAGTTGTCAATCAGCCTACAGTCCTTGCTGTTTGACCACATTCTGATAACTAATTAGCTAATCCTTGCTTGATCACTGACTAGGTGTCATTGACTGATACATATATCTAGTTGAAGAGATAATCCCTTTGAACACCTCATCTCTAATGTTGAGAGTTTATTCAGTCAACAGATATTTATTGTGAGCCAACTATATGTCAGGAATCATTTTGTCCCAGAAATGCAACAGTAAACAATGTAAGCAAATGTCCTGGCCTCATGGGGGTTTCTTCTAGTGGAGAGAGACAATAAACAAAATACTTAAGTAAGTTCTGGAGTACATTACAGAGAGAAAAGTGCTGTGAAGACAAAGCAGGGAAGGAGGGGGTATGGATTTTAAATAGGGTAGTTAGAGACAGCCTCTGATATTTGAGCAAAGACTTGAGGAAGCCATGCACATGTGAGGTTTAATTGAATAAAAATTGTTTGTATAGAAGAATTTTTGAAAACTAATTTCATCCAGGCTCCTAATTTTATAAATGAGCAAACTGAATTTTGGTAAAAAGAAGGCAAAAATACTTATGCTTATGGAACATTGTGTCAGGTACTGATACTCCCAAAGTAGAAAGGAGTGATGAAATCTGCTGGTACTTTGAGTAGTTTGTAGTGTAATTAACCAATAAATTTTAATTTGATTCAAATGTGGTAATAAATGTGTGAAAAAGTACTTCGAAGCACAAAGAAGTAACAACTAAGTCTATCTGGGAAGGTTAGGAAAAGGTTTCCCATATTTTAGTTGGGTTTTGAGGGATAAGCAGCAATTCACCAAAATAAGAAAAAGCATTTGAGGCAGAAGAAAAAGCACATACAAAAACACAGAGGTATGAGTATTCTGTATATTTACACAAGTGTTATGCTGTTCATACTGGGATTGTCAAAAGAGAAATCTGAAAAGTAAAAGTAAGCCAGATCATTAAGGGCTCTGCAAGGGCAGCTTTTAAAGATATGCCTTTTCTGTTGTTGGTGAGGAATTAGTGAGAAATTTTGAATATAGAGTTGAGTTATAGATTTGGGTTTATTATAGACTACTCTGGGGGAGGATCACTGTATGGAAGAGATAGATGGTGATTAAGACACGAATTGAAGCAGCTGCAATAATCCTGTGACAAATGATGAGGGTTTGAACCAATGGAGATAGGGATGAAAAATAAGGGCATATTAAAGTGCATGTTAGGTTACGGAACTGATGGGGTTGGTGATTCATAGATGCATGGTGTGAGGGAAAAGAGCAAAAAGGGGAGGAAAGGGCAGAGAATAGATTTATGCTTTCTATTTTGTGGCTCAGAGTAACCCCAGTTGGGTGCTGCTTATCTGTCATGACTTGGTGACAAAGTTAATAAAAGGGAGTTCAAAGGAAGCTTCTGGGCTTTGCTGGCACAGCCTTTGATGAGTTTGTCCCCAGACCACGTTCAGAATGTGGTGAAGCCTAGCACTATGGAGCAGTCTGCAATTTGCCGTGTGAGCTTCAAGAAGCAGCACTGTCACCATCTTGTAGTTCCTGGTAACTGCTACTCATAGTCTGTCATGTTGAAGGAGTGCTCCATATGTCTGGAAGTGTGTGTTCTGACATTAGCTGCTAGGCCATTTGTTGTAATTCTGAGGCATGCCTGCATAGAATCATGACATTACACAGGATCTAGTATAAACCTCACTTTACTCTTTTGGAATAAAGTGATTGGATAGGACCCCATTGACAGGAATAAGAATCAATATGCTGCTGAGAAGGAACCCATGGTGTTGAAGATGTTGAAAAGACAACACAGTCAGTAACGTGGAGAAATGGCCTGGGTTCAAATCTTGGCTCTGACACTTGGTAGGTATGAGACCTTGGAGAAGTTTCTGAACCTCTCCATGCTTCAGTTTTATGAAGGTTTATTGTGTGGTTTAAATTAGAAAACATGCAAATATCTAACAATAGTGGGCAATGAGTGTACGGTAGTCCCTGTTCTGGCTTCTTTTGTGAGGAATGGTTGGGGAAGGGCAGGAGTAATTTTCTGGTAGATTATTAATAGCAAACTCATGTTCTTTGTGCTCTAATGTCACATTCTAATCTCTAGCAAGGTGCCTGGCACGTAGCAGTTGTTTAGTAAAGATGCTGAATAAACAAGTGAATAAATGGATTGTAATCCTATGGACATATCCCTGATAAAGTACTCTGGTACTACTGTAAAAGGAGTCTTGCCAGAATCACTCCAGCAAAAGAAAGGCAAAAAACAACAGTATATTTGTAAGTCATCCGTTTCACTTGACTTCTGGATGGCATTAAGAGTGGCATCATTGGGATCTTTGGCATTGTTCAATAATCTATATCTTCAAGGAATTGTTTGGCAGATGCAGCATTTCTCCCCTAGCCTGCTTCTCTACACTCTGCTTGGCTGAATAGCCCAACAAAGCTTGCTTTTGGGACCCAAGCCGTAATACTTTTCATAGCCAGTACAGGAGCAGTGAGTCAGCCATAGGAACTGAAGCCAAATGGACATGTGTTGAAGGAAAAGGATCAGGTAATCCATCAGTCACCTGGCATTTGCTCAAGTCTTCCGCACTGAGGGAGATGCTAAAGAAGGCAGGGTTCCTTCTCTCAAAGAGTTTATGACTCAGTTAGGGATAAAAGACTTTCAGAATGAAATAATACAAGAAAACCAAGGTAAAATGGCAATTAGAAATAAAAATAAGCCCACACTGAGTGAACACAAACTGATCATTGATGATGCAATCTTCTTTTATTCTCATGTCTAGAATGGGAGCCCTAAGATTCTACTTACTTGTAGACAGAGAAATTCGCATCTGACAGCAGGATTTGAAGTTGAGGCAAGGAAAGGTCCAGGTTCTGTTCCTTCTGACTGGAAAGCATGTCACTGTCTCTCACTGGTTATGAAAACAACAAGCTTCTGGTAGAATTGCCACAATGCATCATTCCTCTTTTTAATCCTTCCACCTACCCCAGGGCACTCATATAGTCTCCAAACTGCCCAGTGTACTGCTCTGTGACCCACTCCCACTTGAAGGGCTGCCCTCTTATATTTAGGTTCATTATCTCTCTCTGAACATTCAAAATGAAAGTGTGCCCCTGTCATAGTAGCACCTGTGACCTACTCCTTATCTTCTCAGGACCATACTCTTTGCAACATTGAGCATGCATATTTGGCATTAATCCGCAATAGTGACTCAATGATTTAAGATAATTCTCATTTTCACAGAAGCCTCCAACACCTTAGGCAGGAGGAGATATTTTGGGGCACAGCTTTGGTTGCAGGAGGGTTGATGTGAGTACCCTTCCAATTCAATCAAGGGAATGACTATTCCCTGCTTAACTCTGCCTTTAGCAGCCAAGACCCAGGACATTTAAGACCTACAGAGTTCTCAGGTCCTGAAAAAAATGTAGCTCCCCAATCTATCCCTGCCATGTGATTTAATATGAAAACGATATAAAAACTGAACAATAAGGAGGTACATGACTAATAATGTTTTAATCTTAACCATGGCAATTATTTTAATGCCTTGTTAAAATAAGTTTTTATATTTTTCATGCTCAGTTTGCCTGATGGAAAACCTAGCTAGCATCAAACAGACCTTATGGAGTGACTTGGAAGCCTAGTGTTGCCTTTAGAAGATCTGATGGCTCATATTATCACTGAGGGACTGGGTGTGGAAAGTTTACCAACCAACCCTCTGAAGCTGCTGAGCTCAGCCCGAAGGAAGGGATATTGCTGGCTTCACATTAACGTGGTCCCTACTGTGCAAGACCACAGGGTCTTTGCAGGCCTGTTTGACACTGATTTCTACACACTTTCATTCGGGTTTGAGGGCCACCTTGGCTATGTGGACCATGAAAAGAAGCTCATTCCTGCAGTCCCTAATCAGTAGGCTTTTTGCCTCTTTGGAGGCCCGAGCTTCTCAGCAACTATTCCAAAGCAATCAGTCATCACTGAATTAGACTGCCTCTGGGTCACACCACCTGTTGGGCCTTCGGTGGAGTCTGCTCAGCCTTCACTATTTTTCCAGGAAGCCATCTGTACAAGATTTTTTTAAAAAGTTAGGGGCTCCAGGAAGGCCCTGTTTCAACACAGCAGAGAATGATAGACATTTGTTCTTTTTCTTTATTAAAAAAGAAAAGCATCAGCATTATTTTTAAAAAGGGACATTTTAGCACATATTATGAACTCTCTTATCCAGACACAAGGCGGGTGCCCTTGTTTACACCTTTTCTGTATCCAGCTAAAACATCTCACTTAACATTCAGAGTAAACTTTCAGGGTTTATTATTCCCATTTTATAGATAAAGAACTGAAGCTCATGGAGATTAAGTAATTTCCCAGGTCATCCATCTAATAAGTGACTGAGTGTGGATTGAATTATAGTTTGCCTAACTCTAAAGCCTCTGCTCTTTCTTCTCCATGTTACCAGACAAAAACACCATCCCTGTTACTTTTTCTTATCAATTTCAAATAAATTATTTCCATGAAACTGTCTAAGCACCCCTTAAAACTCACGTTTAAAACAAAAAACAAAGCACAACAACAATGTATGTAGCTGTCAAGAGAACTTCTTCTAGAGATATAGTACAGGGACCCATTCATATGAGAATCTGAGAGGAGAACAGAAAAGGGAAGGAAGATTGTCAAACCTACTAAATCTATAGGTTACTTGGGCTTGATCCAATACTTAGTGAATCTGAATCTCTAGAGGCAGGTCTCAGGAACTTGTATCTTTATCAAATTTCCCAAGTGATGCCAATACAAACTGAAACCACTGTTCCAGAGGGATGCCTGAAGAGGAAGAATGAGGATCTGGGGAAAAATTTCTGTACATTTTCTCAAGATTTGAATGGGAAACGGCTGTTTTTCAGGACTCTATGGAGTGCCATCCAGTGCAATGCTCTTTAACTATTTTTTTGTTATTGTGGAAAAGAGATGTTGTTTCTCTCTGCGCTTCCATGTAGCAATGGAATTGAATGGAATGACCTAGCTTTTTCAGGTCTGTTCCTTTTTGTTGGTATGAAGGAAACAACAACAAAAAATCTCATGTCCCTCAAATCTTCCTGTAAGAGTCAATAGATCTGGCAAGGTCTCTCCTTCCAAAGACAAGTAAATGGAATTATGCAGATTGGATTGGCAAAGTAATGACTCCTGAAAAAAACCCAAAATCCACAGCCACCCACCAAATTGCATAAAAATGGAGCTGTGGCCCAGAGACAATACATTGCAGTCCCACATGCAGTTAAATAAAATGCTGCCAATACAGCTGCTGGTATATCACTGTAGCCTATAAAATAATCATTTACTTTTTCAGGACTGAAGAAGGTCATATACTTTATCAGAGTACTGTAAATATTATTCTTTTTTAAGAAGCCAAATATAAAGGAAAGGGGAAAAATCAAATAAGGCTTAAGAAGGTAGGGCCATAGCTATCATGTGTTTGAATCAGAGATTTGAACTTTATTATTTAGAAAATGATGTAAATCAGATGATTAGAGACATTTCACTATCATCGAATAACATAAGCTTCCAAAATGATGCTAGGAACATTACATTTATTATTTTTTTTTCACTCTTCACAAAATTCTGTGGGGTAGGGATTGTCCTCACCCGTGTTTTGCTGATGAGGAAACTAGGTGGAGTGAAGGTAAACTACTTGTCTGTAGCCACAAGGGAAGGGCTCTGGCCCTGGAGCCCAGTACTGAGCTGCCACTTCATGTATCTCTATTCTGGGAGATACATTCTATTCTTGCATTATGTCTGCTCTTCCCTTGTTTCTTTGCTAACATCAGAGCTATGCCTGCTCCAAAATGCTATATTTTTCTCTGTGGTTGGCTGCCTTTGTGAATGCTGACTCTAACCAACCTCTCTTGCCACCATTGAAAATGGCCTATAGCAAGGAGTTCAAAATCCTTCCTAGTTCACTTACCCTACTTGTCCTTACTTTCTGATGGAGAATGAGCTCACCAGGTGGCAGATGACCCATTGCTGAATTGCAGTAGAATATGATTAAGAGCATTAGGTCTAGAGTTAGACTACCTGGGTTTGAAACCCCACTTCCATTACCTACTAGCTGTGCGAAAATGATTTGGGGCAAGTTACTTAGCCTCTCTACTCCTCAGTCTCCTAATCTGTAAAACAGGGAGGAGAGTAAAAAGATAATGAATAAATATATGCTTATAACTGTGATTAGCACAAAGTAAATGCTCAACCTATGTTGTAGTTGTGTTTTTTTGTTGTTAAATATTAGTAATTAGAAACTTTGAGCCCAGCTATGTGTTAATGTGTAACAATACCCAAACAATTCACAACAAAAGAAACATAAAGAAACTTTCAGTGACAAAACAAGAAGAAATTCAGTGGCTAAGAGTGTGGACTCCAAAGCCACACCACCTGTCTTCAAATCCTAGCTTGTCCCTCACTAGCTGTGTGACTTTGGGTGACTTGCATAACTTCTCTGTGCTTCAATTTTCCAATTTGAAAATAGTGAAATAGGAATGTTATGAAGACTGAAAACAAGTTAACATTTCCAAATGCTTATAAAAGGCCTGTTACATAGTAAGAACTGCCTAGGTGTTTATTGATAACAAATTTAAACAATACTGATAAAGCCCTTTCTTGAAATGGTGGAGTTTCTAACCACCTCTTATATGTATATGGCCACTATAGCTTTGCCAGGTGTTAAAGCCCAAATTGCTGGTGAATTCTGGTAATGAGCTAAACTCAATTTACACACACCAATTTTTAGCAACCCTTAAGTTAAAGGCCTCAGTGGCTTACTCAGTCATTTATAAAACTCACATCATAAAAATTGATTTATCATAAGAACTGAAAAAAGGACTTGCATTTTTGGATCATTTTTCCGACCATCAAGAAAACTCTTGTAGCCCACTGTAAGCCACAGATGACATGTTGAGAAATTTGGGTCTGTGTAAACTTCCCCTGACAGTGTGAAAATTTCCCTCCCCTCCCTGGGAAACATGCAAGAAGGGCAGCAGCATACACAAGCACTCACTGATGGACACTTGGCACTGCTGTGGCAACTCCGACAAGAACATCCTTCAACAATGTTTCATGCCAGTTAAATGCCCAGTGGAGCTGAGCGTTTGTGTGAGCACCTCTCCAGGACACAGAAGGAAGTATTTGCAGTGCCAAGTGCTTAGACTTTGGAGTCAGTCAGGCCTGTATTAATTCCTGCTCCATCCCTCACCAGCCATGGGACTTGGAGCAATCCACTCAGATTCTCTGACTTTCTCACCCTTAAAATAGGGAAAATAATACCTACTTACAAAATAACTTTGATAAAGCTAACTTTGATACAATTATTTTTGTTAAAAAATGTATGCAGTGCATCTAATACAGCAACTGAAATACAGATTATGTTTCCTCCCGTCAACAATGATAGCTACCACTTATTGTATAATTGCTAAGCACCCAGGCACTGTGTTAGGCACTTAGGATGCATTATTTTCTTTCCTTTCCATGAGGTCCTATGAGACAGGTTCTACTAGTTCCTTTTCCTATAGATGGGGAAACTTATGTTAGGCAAGGGTAAAAATCTTACCTAAAGTCACACGGCTAGAGGCATGTAGATGCATGGTTTGCTACTGGGTTTGTCTGATTCCAAACTCATGCACTTCCTCATCCCTTTTAGGCTACCTTCCCCCCATCATCCCCCATATTTTGTTAATTCCTTTAGCCCTTCAAAGGCAACCACAGGACATCAGAGATGACCTACTCTTAAAGTAACTATATAAACTACAATATTAGTTATCCAAAAATGTAGCCCAGGTTACTTGTTCATCCTCAGGACATTAATAAAGTTCAAGGCAGCTGGGCGTAAGTAGATCAAAGCCAGGCAGCAAACCTGATCGACCCTGTTGGATGCAGTTTATCTTCCAAAGGATAATACATTTGGGGGCCTGACCTTCAGCTCTCCTTATCTTGTGGTTTTTGAAATAACTTGTTTCAGAAACGGTAGGCTGAGTTTTACTATCCACAACTGGTTTGGAGGAATACCATTGGCTTAGTCTGAGATTTCTCATTAAAGCTTTAGCACAAGATCAACACTAATATTTTCATTCATTTTCTCGCAGAATGAGGTCTCCAAACACCCTCCAATATCTCACTAGGCATGTTAGCACTTCCTTGATTTCTAATTGCTTCTTTTTCTATTAGTAAATCCATGGAAGGCTGATGGGCCTCCAACTTAATATACCTGGCTATTCAGTGAAGCATTGCTTTTATAGTTTTACAAGAGTGGCTCATTCAAGCAGGGAATCTTCTTAGGAAATGGGTTTCACCTACCCTAGCTTAGGAGGGATACACAAATAAAACAGCAGCAATTCTAACGCCAATAATATGGGCAATGTTCCCTAATGGGCTTCAGGATGTAAGCCATTTTTCTTGCCCTTGAAACCAGGATTAAATTGGCATGCACAGAACACACACTGGCACATGTCTAATTCTGTGGGATTTTTTGCGTTTCTGGTTAAGAATACCTTTGTGCAGAAATGAGAATCTTTTCTTCCAAATGGTCTGAGGATATTTAGCCTCCCACTCTGGAGGTAGGTAGATATTACTGCCATTTTAAAGAGATGATCTTAGGAATGGTAGATATGCTACCAAGTATGGATCATCACTTGATATCCTAATAGTCTACCACTTCTGTCCCCATTAAATGGGTCCAATACATCCATACAAGCTGGGTGCATATTTCTCAGCAGCAATGCTCTTCAGATTGCTTCAGGCCAACTTCCACTGACTTGTTCTGCTCTTTCTCACTTGGCCCTTCCTTCTGTTCACAACACACTCCATGTTGGCCACATGCTATGGCTCCTGCTCGCCCTTCTAACCTTTGAATACATGACCCTAAAGTTCTAGTTTTGTTACCTATGGCCGATGCTGTCAGTTCCTCTCCACATCCCCTTGACATTTGTATTCTTTACGTGTGGATGCCTCTTACTGAAAGCACCATAGCTCTGCCTGAGCAAGTTCTTAGACTGCAGGAGCGTGCTGAGCTTCCTCCCATAGTAAGCAGAAGTCCCAGGGAGTTAACATCCCCACAAAGAAACCATCACCAATGACAGATTGGTGGGTAAAACCTCCAGCTTCTTTGCCCCTAGAATAAACCAATTCTGAGACGTGTTTTATACAGTCTCCCCAAGATTCTCCTTGACTCAATTTCCCCTCCCTTACTGGTACTTCCTGGAATTTTCTTCTAGATAAATTTTACTTAAGTCCTTATCTCAGCTCCTGCTTCTTGGGGTACTCAACCTACAATACCATGCCAGTTTTATTTATTTTTTATTTTTTTGAGACAAAGTCTTGCTCTGTCGCCCAGGCTGGAGTGCAGTGGCACAATCTCGGCTCACTGCAACTTCTGCCTCCTGGGTTCAAGTGATTCTCCTGCCTCCGCTTCCTGAGTAGCTGGATTACAGGTACCCGTCACCATGCCCAGCTAATTTTTTTATTATTATTTTCAGTAGAGACAGAGTTTCACCATGTTGGCCAGGCTGGTCTCAAACTCCTGACCTCAGGTGATCCACCAGCCTTGGCCTCCCAAAATGCTGGGATTACAGGTATGAGCCAATGCACCCAGCCCCATCCCAGTTTTACATGTGAGCCTCCTCCAATGCATGACTTTATATCTGCATACTGAGACCCAGGGTAAGAGATACCCAGCCCTCAAGTCCTACCATAGTCCTGTGAGAAATGCCCCAGTCAGACCTCATCTTCACCCAGGATCCTCTAGGCAGGAGGATCTTGAGATGTTACAATTAACTAAATTGATGTGGAATTTCGTTATTTATGCAAGTGAATATGTTAAGTAGGCAGTTTGTGAGGAACTTTCCCAAATTACCTGGTCATTTCAGCAATCATTTTTGCAAAAAAATGGCTTGGCATGGAGAGAAAATACAATGTCATGGTTAAGAGCCAGGGCTCTGTAGTCACATAGAACTGGATTCAAATTTTGATTCTGACTCTTGTCACCTGTGTTATCTCAGGGCAGAGTAACTAACCTTTCTGGGTCACAGTTTCTTTATCTACAAAATAGGAATGATAATAATAGAACCTATCTCAGAGAATTATTATAAAACTTAAATTCTATAATACTAAAACCCTTATTATAGAGGCTAGCAAATTGTACATATTCACTGCATATTAGAAATCATTATTCCCTGAGGTATAATATACCATAACATGTCCAAAGGCATAAAATAGGTCATTACTATGCCCTACTTTTAAAAAGAGAAATGTCTTTCAGCATAAACACACAAAATAAAAGATTTCCTGCTACCTAGTAAATGAATCTTGGGTCGGGGGAGCAAAATAGAATCCCTTTGGATTAATGCATCACTCCTTATTTTAGGTTTGGTGCCCTGTAAGCAGAGCCTGACATGGCATTGTTATGCAAGTGATTTATTGCAGGAGAGTGCTCAAGTGAAACCTCAGAGAAAGAAGCTAAGCAAAGATGCCCATTCAGCTGTGCCTAGAACAAGCCTAATCCTTAATCCCAGGGAGCTCTAGAGTATGAATGGCTTACAGAGTTATTCCACCTTGAGGCAAAGGGCAGCCCCTTTGTGTCTCATATTAATCCATCTCTGTGAGTGGCACACCTCCAGGGGGAAGGTACACCCTTCCAGATATTTCCAGGGTAGGTGGCTTCCATTTGCTGAGGATGAGTATCAGCAGAAGGGTCCAGCTGCGACCTCTTAGCAGCTAACACTCCGTGCAGCTGAGAGAAGGACACCTTGCTTGGTAAAGAGAATCTAAGTGGGAATTTCATAGCACTCCTCTATTTCCATAAGATGTATAGGATACGGTTAATTTCAAAATTCTACAGTCATTTGTGCTTTGATAGTTAGAACAAAACTCTACCAATGTTCATTCTGCTTCTTGATCAATTGGTAACACCAGTAGGCTGTTTCTTCCCTCACCAGCTCCCAAGAGTGTGACTTCTTGTTGGACATAGTGGTCATAGGCTATTATCAAGGCATATTTGTATAGATATCTCTTCCTTTGGTATCTCCTATAACTTCCTACTAATTTTGAGGATTCTGAACTTGCTCTCAGATCTCATTTGGTCAGTATTTCTGCATCAGGAAAAGTCTTAAGGTGAGAAGGAAATTCCACTGTCTTGTGGGTTTATGTGAAACCTACCAGCCTGTTTTTAGACAGACTGCCTATATTGCACAGCAACATATTTTGGGTTCAGGAACTAAAATCTTGTTTGAACACACCTAATTATCTTTCTAAAAAGCTATTTTCTAGTAATCCCCTTTATACCCGTGGCTACACTCTGTTTACTTATGGCTAACAGAGTTGGTGAGCAAAATGGGGTAGTTGGAGAACAATGGATATCGAATTAGGAAGCTTTAGTGTGAGTTCTGGTTCATCACTTAGCAGCTGTGTGAGCCTGAGTCAGTCATTTTTCTATTGGCTCTCAGTTATCTTTTTTAATAAAATTGGTTCACACTGCCTGCCTTGGGCCCCTCACAGGGTCATTGTATGATCAAGTAAGAAAACATACTAAATGGCCTTATAAAACATTGTCCCATGGTAAATTATTAACATTATTGTTCTTGTAATTGTTAGTATACCTTTGACTGTCTCTAGTCTTATGATTTTGGTTGATGTGTGGTATAGCCCAAAATAATTACCTATAAGAATACCCGTGAAAGCCAGAGCAGTTGCTCTACCTTTGCCCAAGCATCTATTCTTAGCTGTACGGTGGCCCATTTTCCTCTACCTCTGACATCCCAATAATTCCTCTGGGGTTACAGAGGCAGATATTTTCTCAGGCTCTACAATAGACTCACTAAAGAAAGACCAATGGAGAGATTCGACAAGATGATTGTCTGAGGTCCAGTTACCTAAAGTCTTTTTTCGCTGAAGAAACTACCATCAGAGCGAACAGGCAACCTACAGAATGGGAGAAAATTTTTGCAATCTACCCATCTGACAAAGGGCTAATATCCAGAATCTACAAAGAACTCAAACAAATTTACAAGAAAAAATCAAACAACCCCATCAAAAGTGGGCAAAGGATATGAACAGACACTTCTCAAAAGAAGATATTTATGCATCCAACAGACACATGAAAAAATGCTCATCATCACTGGCCATCAGAGAAATGCAAATCAAAACCACAATGAGACACCATCTGACACAAGTTAGAATGGTGATCATTAAAAAGTCAGGAAACAACAGGTGCTGGAGAGGACGTGGAGAAATAGGAACACTTTTACACTGTTGGTGGGGGTGTAAACTAGCTCAACCATTGTGGAAGACAGTGTGGTGATTCCTCAAGGATCTAGAACTAGAAATACCATTTGACCTAGCGATCCTGTTACTGCGTATATACCCAAAGGATTATAAATCATGCTGCTATAAAGACACATGCACACATATGTTTATTGCAGCACTATTCACAATAGCAAAGACTTGGAACCAACCCAAATGTCCATCAGTGATAGACTGGATTAAGAAAATGTGGCACATGTACACCATGGAACACTAAGCAGCCATAAAAAAGGGTGAGTTCATGTCCTTTGTAGGGACATGGATGAAGCTGGAAACCATCATTCCGAGCAAACCATCACAAAGACAGAAAACCAAACACCACATGTTCTCACTCACAGGTGGGAATTGAACAATGAGAACACTTAGACACAGGGTGGGGAACATCACACACCAGGGCCTGTCATGGGGTGGGGGCTGGGGGAGGGATAGCATTAGGAGAAATACCTAAATGACAAGTTAATGGGTGCAGCACACCAACATGGCACATGTATACATATGTAACAAACCTGCACGTTGTGTACACGTACCCCAGAACTTAAAGTGTTAAAAAAAAAATAGGGAAAAAATTGCGGAAAAAAAAAAAAGCCATCCAACTTTATCCAAGACTAGCTTTCCAGAGAAAGAGCATTATTCTGCTACACCAGTGAAGATGATTTCAAAATTCATTAAAACCAATAATTTAACTTCAAAAATACTTAGTTTATTGCTTTTAATGCAAAGGTTAACTATTTCTTTCAGAGCTTTTCTAGAATCCTCCAGAACCATCATAGCTGAAACATACACAGGACACTGCACTCACTGGTAGGAGCTATGGGTGTTGGCTTATTGAAGGTACCAAAATACATCGAAGGTACTGAAATGTACCATGTGTGGTGAGATAGGGGGTCAGCTGCCCAAAGTCCTTGGTTCACCTTTGTTTGGATATAGGTTATTGAACTTATTGTATTTATCGATAGCTGAAACATTTATTGGCCACATTGGGTGTATAAAGGGCCTTGACCTAGGTGAAAGGATATAATCCCTATATTGAAAGTATTATGCTCTAGGAAATAGGGCTAGAAAGAGAAAGCATAGGAGGAGAACACAAGGATGGTAAGCAGGGAGGAGGACTGTGCTGAATGGGGGCTGAATATGGCTAGTTAGGACACATCAGATCATTAGGCTGCTGCGCTGTTACATAGGGCTCTTTGGGAGTCTTAGAAGGGTGGCATGTTAGAACATGCAGGATATTATCTGGTTTTGAAGGCAAACAGGTAGATCAAATAAAGGGGTTTATTTCTATTATTGAGGTTATATAAAACCTTGCCACTCAGAGTGTGATCCACAGCAGCATTAGTATCACCTGGGAGCTAATTAGTCATGCAGGATTTTAGGCCCCACTCCAGAGACACTGACTCTCATTATAAAAAAGTGAAGGAGAAATAAAATACTTTACAGACAAGCAAATGCTGAGAGATTTTGTCACCACCAGGCCTGCCCTAAAAGAGCTCCTGAAGGAAGCACTAAACATAGAAAGGAACAACCGGTACCAGCCACTGCAAAAACATGCCAAAATGCAAAGACCATCAAGGCTAGGAAGAAACTGCATCAACTAATGAGCAAAATAACCAGCTAACATCATAATGACATGACCAAATTCACACATAACAATATTAACTTTAAATGTAACTGGGCTAAATGCTCCAATTAAAAGACACAGACTGGCAAATTGGATAAAGAGTCAAGACCCATCAGTGTGCTGTATTCAGGAAACCCATCTCACGTGCAGAGACACACATAGGCTCAAAATAAAGGGATGGAGGAAGATCTACCAAGCAAAGGGAAAACAAAAAAATGCAGGGGTTGCAATCCTAGTCTCTGATAAAACGGACTTTAAACCAACAAAGATCAAAAGAGACAAAGAAGGCCATTACCTAATGGTAAAGGGATCAATTCAACAAGAAGAGCTAACTATCCTAGATATATATGCACCCAATACAGGAACACCCAGATTCATAAAGCAAGTCCTGAGTGACCTACAAAGAGACTTAGACTCCCACACATTCATAATGGGAGACTTTAACACACCACTGTCAACATCAGACAGATCAACGAGACAGAAAGTTAACAAGGATACTCAGGAATTGAACTCAGCTCTGCACCAAGCGGACCTAATAGACATCTACAGAACTCTCCACGCCAAATCAACAGAATATACATTCTTTTCAGCACCACACCACACCTATTCCAAAAGTGACCACATAGTTGGAAGTAAAGCACTCCTCAGCAAATGTAAAAGAACAGAAATTATAACAAACTGTCTCTCAGACCACAGTGCAATCAAACTAGAACTCAGGATTAAGAACCTCACTCAAAACCACTCAACTACATGGAAACTGAACAACCTGCTCCTGAATGACTACTGTGTACATAACAAAATGAAGGCAGAAATAAAGATGTTCTTTGAAACCAATGAGAACAAAGACACAACATACCAGAATCTCTGGGACACATTCAAAGCAGTGTGTAGAGGGAAATTTATAGCACTAAATGCCCACAAGAGAAAGCAGAAAGATCCAAAATTGACACCCTAACATCACAATTAAAAGAACTAGAAAAGCAAGAGCAAACACATTCAAAAGCTAGCAGAAGGCAAGAAATAACTAAAATCAGAGCAGAACTGAAGGAAATAGAGTCACAAAAAACCCTTCAAAAAATTAATGAATCCAGGAGCTGGTATTTGAAAAGATCAACAAAATTTATAGACTGCTAGTGAGACTAATAAAGAAGAAAAGAGAGAAGAATCAAATAGATGCAATAAAAAATGATAAAGGGGATATCACCACCGATCCCACAAAAATACAAACTACCATCAGAGAATACTACAAACACCTCTATGCAAATAAACTAGAAAATCTAGAAGAAATGGATAAATTCCTCAACACATGCACTCTCCCAAGACTAAACCAGGAAGAAGTTGAATCTCTGAATAGACCAATAACAGGCTCTGAAATTGTGGCAATAATCAATAGCTTAACAACCAAAACAAGTCCAGGACCAGAGAGATTAACAGCCGAATTCTACCAGAGGTAAAAGGAGGAGCTGGTACCATTCCTTCTAAAACTATTCCAATCAATAGAAAAAGAGGGAATCCTCCCTAACTCATTTTATGAGGCCAGCATCCTCCTGATACCAAATCCTGGTAGAGACACAATGAAAAAAGAGAATTTTAGACCAATATCCTTGATGAACATTGATGCAAAAATCCTCAATAAAATACTGGCAAACTGAATCCAGCAGCACATCAAAAAGCTTATCCACCATGATCAAGTGGGCTTCATCTCTGGGATGCAAGGCTGGTTCAACATACGCAAATCAATAAATGTAATCCAGCATATAAACAGAACCAAAGACAAAAATCACATGATTATCTCAACAGAAGAAGAAAAGGCCTTTGACAAAATTCAACAACCCTTCATGCTAAAAACTCTCAATAAATTAGGTATTGATGGAACGTCTCTCAAAATAATAAGAGCTATCTATGACAAACCCACAGCCAATATCATACTGAATGGACAAAAACTGGAAGCATTCCCTTTGAAAACTGGCACAAGACAGGGATGCCCTCTCTCACCACTCCTATTCAACATAGTGTTGGAAGTTCTGGCCAGGGCAATCAGGCAGGAGAAGGAAATAAAGGGTAGTCAATTAGGAAAAGAGGAAGTCAAATTGTCCCTGTTTGCAGATGACATGATTGTATATCTACAAAACCCCATCGTCTCAGCCCAAAATCTCCTTAAGCTGATAAGCAACTTCAGCAAAGTCTCAGGATACAAAATGAATGTCCAAAAATCACAAGCATTCTTATACACCAATAGCACACAAACAGAGAGCCAAATCATGAGTGAACTCCCATTCACAATTGCTTCAAAGAGAATAAAATACCTGGGAATCCAACTTACAAGGGATGTGAAGGACCTCTTCAAGGAGAACTACAAACCACTGCTCAAGGAAATAAAAGAGGATACAAACAAATGGAAGAACATTCCATGCTCATGGGTAGGAAGAATCAATATTGTGAAAATGGCCATACTGCCTAAGGTAATTTATAGATTCAATGCCATCTCCATCAAGCTACCAATGACTTTCTTCACAGAATTGGAAGAAACTACTTTAAAGTTCATATGGAACCAAAAAAGAGCCCGCATCGCCAATTCAATCCTAAGCCAAAAGAACAAAGCTGGAGGCATCACACTACCTGACTTCAAACTATACTACAAGGCTACAGTAACCAAAACAGCATGGTACTGGTACCAAAACAGAGATATAGATCAATGGACGAGAACAGAGCCCTCAGAAATAATGCCGCATATCTACAACTATCTGATCTTTGACAAACCTGAGAAAAACAAGCAATGGGGAAAGTATTTCCTATTTAATAAATGGTGCTGGGAAAACTGGCTAGCCATATGTAGAAAGCTGAAATTGGATCCCTTCCTTACACCTTATACAAAAATTAATTCAAGATGGATTAAAGACTTACATGTTAGACCTAAAACCATAAAAACCCTAGAAGAAAACCTAGGCAATACCATTCAGGACAGAGGCATGGGCAAGGACTTCATGTCTGAAACACCAAAAGCAATGGCAACAAAAGCCAAAATTGACAAATTGGATCTAATTAAACTAAAGAGCTTCTGCACAGCAAAAGAAACTACCATCAGGGTGAACAGGCAACCTACAAAATGGGAGAAAATTTTTGCAACCTACTCATCTGAGAAAGGGCTAATATCCAGAATCTACAATGAACTGAAACAAATTTACAGGAAAAAAACAAACAACCCCATCAAAAAGTGGGCGAAGGATATGAACGGACACTTCTCAAAAGAAGACATTTATGCAGCCAAAAAACACATGAAAAAATGCTCATCATCACTGGCCATCAAAGAAATGCAAATCAAACCCACAATGAGATACCATCTCACACCAGTTAGAATGGCGATCATTAAAAAGTCAGGAAACAACAGGTGCTGGAGAGGATGTGGAGAAATAGGAACACTTTTACACTGTTGGTGGGACTGTAGACCAGTTCAACCATTGTGGAAGTCAGTGTGGCGATTCCTCAAGGATGTAGCACTAGAAATACCATTTGACCCAGCCATCCCCTTACTGGGTATGTACCCAAAGGATTATAAATCATGCTGCTATAAAGACACATGCACATGTATGTTTATTGCGGCACTATTCACAATAGCAAAGACTTGGAACCAACCCAAATGTCCAACAACGATAGACTGGATTAAGAAAATGTGGCACATATACACCATGGAATACTATGCAGCCATAAAAAATGATGAGTTCATGTCCTTTGTAGGGACATGGATGAAACTGGAAACCATCATTCTCAGCAAACTATCGCAAGGACAAAAAATCAAACACTGCATGTTCTCACTCATCGGTGGGGATTGAACAATGAGAAGACATGGACACAGGAAGGGGAACATCACAATCCAGGGCCTGTTGTGGGGTGGGGGGAGGGAGGAGGGATAGCATTAGGAGATATACCTAATGTTAAATGACGAGTTAATGGGTGCAGCACACCAACATGGCACATGTATACATACATATGTAACAAACCTGCACATTGTGCACATGTACCCTAAAACTTAAAGTGTAATAATAATAAAAAAATTTTAAAAACTAGAAATAAAAATAAAAAGATGCCCAAGTGACCGCACATCCTGCTTGATAAACACTGCCATAAAGAATACAAAAAGCATAAAAAAGGAGTATCTTCCTTAAGGAGACAAGGCAATGGAGCTATTGGAAACGTAATATTTCTGTGAACCAGTTTTATAACAATGGAAGGAACAAGTCTCTGCCTCTAGCCTCTATGCTTCTAAAACCAAGGTTATTTGATGCCTTTTGGAAGACTTTCCTTTATCCAGGGCTCTTGGTTCCAACCCTTACTCAAGATAGGAGCTCTCATCAACATACTGTGACTCAGTATCAATGCACACCTGCCTTTATCTACATGTGCACATGTACACCTTTATCTACATGTGCACATGTACACCTTTATCTACATGTGCACATGTACAGTCTATATCCAGACCTCTTTCATGGTCTGGCTGGGCTTCTGCCTTGTTTCCTTGCACCTCAATCTTAGTCATAATAAATGGGCCATCTCTTGTCAGTCTTACCATTGCCAATTGCTCCACCAAAGACTGAAGTTTGTGATGATTCTAATACTGAGTCTTCTTTCCTGTTCAGAGATCTCTGAGATACTTCCTAGATTTCAAAGGATCACCTAGTTAGAGATTCCTCATTGCAATATTTTCTGATCCCCTTATTACCTTTCTTAGACACCCAATACCAACACCTTGCATTTATTTATTTAAGATGGAATTTCCCTCTGTCACCCAGGCTGGAGTGCGGTGGCACAATCTTGGCTCACTGCATCCTCCACCTCATAGGTTCAAGTGATTCTCCTGCCTCAGCCTTCCGAGTAGCTGGGACTACAGGTGAACATCACCGTGCTCAGCTAATTTTTTTTTTTTTTTTGTATTTTTCAGTAGAGACAGGGTTTCACCATGTTGTCCAGGCTAGTCTCAAACTCTCAACCTCTAGTGATCCACCTGCCTCTGCCTCCCAAAGTGCTGGGATTACAAGCATGAGCCACTACACCTGGCCCCACCTTGCTTTTATTATGACCTATTGTTCCCTTAACCTTCATTACTATGTCTTACTCTCAGCACTTAATATAATTTTACTTTAAAGAAATGATGGAAGAAGAGTTTCTTTCCAGAATGGCTTAGTCAAACCTTACCAGACTGAACTTTAGTTTACATCTATAAACTCTGGACAAAAGACAAAAGCAGCTACCCTGAAGGCTCAGGATACTGAACAAGAGCAGGCAAATTTTGGAGTAAGGACAAAAAAACGCTATAACAGGTGAATTTTCTGTTTTGACAGTTTTCAGCATGAGGGCAGACTGTAGCCAGCAGTGCTTGAGCATCAAAATTCTGATAGAAAGCCCACAAATTTTCTGGCATGAAGAACCAGACAACAGAGTTCAGAGGACTCATGGTTGCTGAAAAACTGAGAGAAGAGGTCAGCCGTGATGGCTAACGCCTGTAATCCCAACACTTTGGGAGGTCGAAGCAGGAGGATCACTTAAGTCTAGGAGTTCGAGACCAGCCTGGGCAATATAGTGAGACCTCGTCTTTATAAACAATTTAAAAAAATTAGCCAAGCGTGGTGGTGCATGCCTGTAGCTCCAGCTACTCGGGAGGCTGAGGTGACAGGATTGCTTGAGTCAGGGGGGTTGAGGCGGCAGTGAGCTGTGATTGAGCCACTGCACTCCAGCCTGGGTGACAGAGTGAGACTAGACTCTGTCTCAAAAAAAGAAAAAAAAAAAAGTGAAAAAGAGTACTGGAAAGGAGAATGTGAGAGAGGTGAAGCTTTTGATTCTTTGTGAGAACTCTTTTCAAATCACAGACTGACCCTGGAACCACTCATTCACAGAGCAAACTCAAAGCACCCTACTAAGGATAAAGAGACTTAGCTGAGATTTGAACTGCCACCCTGAGACAGAGTTTTCTATTTGAGTCCAACCAATTTAATTGCATTCCAAAACAAAAAATAGCAACACTTTTGAGAGAAATATAATAGAATCCATGGTCTTCACAGCATAGCAGTCACAATGACTGGGATATAATCCAAAATTACTTGACATTTGAGGGACTAGAAAAGTTGATTCATTCCCCAAAGAAAACACAATAAGCAGAGGACATACTCAAGGTGACTTAGATGTTGACAATAGCAGATAGGGACTTTAAAGAAGCTGTTACAGTTATGCTGAATGAGGTAAAGAAAAACATGCTCAGACGTATGTAGAAACTATAAAGTATAGAAGAGGGCAAAATAGAAAATCTTGAACTAAGATGAGAAATATATAAAATTTTAAAATTACAAGACAGGCTTAACATCTGAATAAAAGTGATAGGTGAAAGAGGCAGTGAACTTGAAAATAGATCAATACAAATGATCCAATCTGAAAAACAGAGAGAAAAATATTATAAAAGAAAAACAAAACAAAACAGAACAACAAAAAGCACTTAACAAAGCCCAGGGCCCCATGGGATAACATAGAAAAAACAAACATATATGTAATTAGAGTCTCAGAAGAAGAGGGAAGAGATAATGGGGAAGAAAAATGTTTTAAATAATAAGAGCTGAAAATAACTTGTTTGGTGAATCATAAATTTACAGATACAAGAAGCTCAGTTAACTCTAAGGAAGAACCACAAGAAGTCAATGCAAAGTCAAACTTCTGAAAACTGAAGATAAAGAGAAAATAATTGCTTATTTCTGTCTTAGACTTACCTTTTACTTCTTGCATTTTAAAGGGCTTTTATTAGGTACATAGACATTTATTATTGTTTTATATGCCTTTTCAAATTATAAAATGTGTCTCTTTATCTCTAGTAATACTCTCTCAAAATCTATTTTGTCTAATATTAATCTAGCTATGCCAGTCTTTTTATGCTTATGGTTTGCATTTTACATGTTTTTCTATCCTCTTATTTTCAACCTATACCTTAATGTTCAAAGTGTATTTGAACTTAGACAGTTCAAAGCTGTCTAAGTGTAGACAGCACATAGTTGGATCTTGCTTATTTTAATCTTATCTAGCGGACTCCTCCCTTTAGTTACAGCTTTTATTCCATTAAGTTAATGTAATTATTGGTATAATTGGGGCTGAGAAGAGGATATAGATGTCCAGTTTCTCCTTATTGAGATTTTCAACTTTAAAAAAATTTTTTTTTGCCCAATTCTGCATCTCTGTCATCTGAAGAACCCAAGTGTTAATTTTCTGTTTTTCTGGGGTCCTTTAGTAGGAATTGACTTGCATTTTATCAAAATCTCTTTTGGCGGGTTTAGGTATTAGTTTCTTCATTATGGTAAATTAGCTTTTCTTATTCTATCTGCTTTCCTTTTTCCAAATAAGTGTTAACATTTTGTTCAACAAATATTTATTACATGCCTCCTCTACATCAGGCATTGTATTAGATTTTAAATCCAGCAGAAATAAAGTTCCTGAGCACCTGAAGCTTAAATTATAATGAGGGAGACAGAAAACAAAGCCATTAAAATATGATATGGTTTATGGTATGTTAAGTAGGATAGAAATAAGTAGGGTAATCAAGGTAGGGAGTGGAGATTTGGGCTGTCGCTTTATACAGGGTAGACAGGCAGGTCTCTGATAAGGTGTTCTTTCTCATCTGCCATTTTTTCCTGTTTGCTTTAACATTTGGAATTTTTAATTTTTGAAAAATTCTTCATAGTAATTTTAATGAGATTTGAGGAGAAGAACAAAGATAAATACATGTGTTTAATCCACTAAGACTAAAGGAAATGATAATTGCACTTTCTAGCACAGTTGTTAATCTCCTTGTTCTTCTACAGGTCTGTTCAGCTAAATAGACAAAAAATTTAGATATTTCTAACCAGACTCAGTTTCAAGCCAGATCCCATAGTTCAGGGTTTCTCTAATCCTGAGTTCTTTGCCATAGGCAACCAAATTCAATTGCCAGATATTACTCTAAAAGCACACAATACATTCTTCAAATATAATTTATTTAACATTTTGAAATCAGTGTTTCTATAATACCATCAAGCTCTTCATATTTTCTTAATCTTGAAAATAATTCTATATGGAACACTGGTATACAGTCCGCCCAGCATTGTTATCTAGCCTATCTAAATGCAAAAAAAAAAAGTCAAGATTCTATTGTGGAGTTTAAGGTTTTTTTCCCTCCAAGTATTTAGCATTTAAATTTCTGGGATGAATGGCTTACTCCTATTGCCTTCTCACTATAGGCCTCCTATGGAAAATGAATTCTGTTGTATGTTCAGCAAACACTCATAATTTTTAGCTCTTTCCTGAGGGGCAGTAAGTTACCATGAAGAGGGCACATTAAGATGATATATAAATCAATGGCATCGTTATAAATAGGACAGTAATGAGATGTCAGGCTTTAATAGCCTGAAGAGCATGTAATATGAAAGTTAACAGCAGGAGAGCAATGAAATCTTATATCTGCTTCTTATTCTGAAGAAAAATAAGAAAATTACATGTTAAAGCTGCAGCTTCGAAGAATTCTAATAGCATTTCTCTTTGTGGTAAAACATATCTTTTTTGGAAATTATCTTTAAAGTAACAGGACACTACACCATAGGCTTTGGTTATTGATGGTGAAATATGTGCATTTTACTGCGGTGAGTGCCAGGCTTAATGCCAGTTGATAATTTGCTCATTTTCTTAAAAAATACTTATTCCATGCCTCCTTTCACTGGCCCTGTTGGAGTATTGGGGAAAAATTTAAAACATTTTTTCCTCTTCTTTTTTTTTTAGCTTATACCTAAAGGGAAGAGAAATGAATTGATCATTACAAGACACTATGATAGATGGTACAAGTAGAGGTACTCAGTCCCAGGAAAGCCTAACCTTTTCTTTAGAAGTCAGGCAATGATTCCATGGAAGAAAGCATTGTTGAGTTTCTAGAGAAGTGAGCGCATAATGCATTGATTGAAGGCATTCTAGAAGCACTAAAGTTCCACAATGGCAGAGACTGAGTCTGTTCATCCTTCATCGCTCCATCCTCATCACCTAGCACAACACCTATTCACTGTGGACCGTTAATAAATTTTTGTAGAAGGAAGAAAGAACATGGGTCAAAATAGGTCTTTAATACACTGTCAAATTGTGTGTGTGTGTGTGTGTGTGTGTGTGTGTGTGTGTGTGTGTAGGTAACATCCTCAAAGTTACTTGGAACTGTTTTTTCAATGGCAATAACTGATTAATGCTCCATACACAGTTGGTTGCCTAAATAATGAATTTAAAAGTGATTGCTAACCAATTTGATTATAAAATAGGTGATCATTTTTATTTTTCAGATGACTAAGTAGGGCTTTCACTCTTGCTTTCCCTATTGTTTATTGCCCATGTAGCAGAGTAAGCTTTTTAAAGAATAGAATAAAATACAGATAAAATGTAGAAAAAAATTAAATTATGTATTCACCAAAAAATCTATTGAGAGTCTATTATGTGCCAGGCTCTATGAAAAGTCTTAGAGATAGAAAGATAAAAAGACAGTCTCTATGTTCAAGGAGTTTATGGCCTATGAGGAAGGCAGATGCTGAAACAGACAATTTGCATGTGACCTAGGTATTATTATTAAAATATGTGTAAATTATTCTACCATAAAGACACATGCAACTGAATGTTCATTGCAGCACTCTTTATAATAGCAAAGACATGGAATCTATCCAAGTACTCATTAATGACAGATTGGATAAAGAAAATGTGGTACATATACACCATGGAATACTATGCAGCCATATAAAAGAACAAGATCATGCCTTTGCAGGAACATGGAGCTGGAGGCCACCATACTTAGCAAACTAATGCAAGAACAGAAAACCAAATACTGCATGTTCTCACTTGTAGGTGGGAGCTAAATGATGAGAACTTATGAACACAAAGAAGGAAACAACAGACATGGGGTTCTACTTGAGTGTGGAGCGTGGGATGAGGGAGAGAAGCAGCAAAGATAACTTTTGGGTACTGAGCTTAATACCTGGGTGAGGAGATAATCTGTACAACAAACCCTCATAACACGAGTTTACCTATGTAACAAACCTTCACATGTACCCTTGAACCTAAAAGTTAAAAACAAAATAAAATAAAATGTGTGTAAAATGCTAGAGAGTGTATGGGATGAAGGTGGAATTGGTTATCAAGGAATATATTGCAGACAAAGTGATACCTTGGTTGAATATTATAAGGTAAATAAGGGATAGGTAATGAAGAAGAAGGATATTTCTTATGAATGATTGGAGACAACAGATGACGACATGTATTGGTAAAGAAAAGTTAAAGCGTTAGCATGCAAGGTATAGGCAAGGAGAGGAGGTTAAAAAGAGATGGTAGAAACTGGGCTAGAGAGATACGTGGAGTCCAATTATAAAGAACCCTGACATGGAAAAAAGTTAACTTTTTGTACTAGGGAGAATTTTAAGGTTCTGGGAAGGGGAGTAACATGGTCAGATTTGGATGTTAGCAGTATATTATTGGCTGCATAGGAAATCATGCCCACAGGCAGGGAGATGACCTAAAAGGTTGCTACAGTCCTCCATGTGATGCAAGATGATGGTCTGAAGGAGACATATGGGCTGAGTGAAGGGATGTTTTTGAAGTTACGTATCAAGAAGAGTGGGACAGGTTGTAGAGAGGAGGGAGAGAGAAAATAACTGCTGGAGTGAGGTCCCAAAGAGTCAGAAGTGAAGTAAAGGGTCTTCTTTCTCATGGAGTTCTGAGACAAATTTGTCAGCTGTCTGTGAATACTGATAATGAAATGAAAAGCTCATTTTCGTACAGTTTTTCCTGCAAATAAATTTTACGCTATCTCTCCCACTGCCATTCTGACACAATTATAGTATTCCTGTGGGATCTATGTTTTATTCTTTTTTATATACTCATACCTGGTATAGTAAATGAAGCATAGTAGGTAACAAACAAATATGCTTCCTTTATTGCAACTCGGCATGGAGTCAGTATCTCATGTGGATCCAGTGTGTGAGTAAATGTATTTAAGACTCCATGAATGATTGCAATAGCCATTAAGATTAGCTACAGACATAGCTTTTCTTGAGGCACAATTGCATGCAAGTACCAGAAGAAAGGAAACACCCTTTTGTATTCTTTTATGTTGGTTTTCTACTTTACAGAACTTTGGAGAAAGGATAAGTAGGGGGAAGTCTTCTTTGTTGATTTGCAGCTGATCTTGAACTCAGGAATGTGTATGGGATTAATGATAAAAATTTTCTCTATGGGATATGTGTATTATGTTTCCAGCACTTTCTAGCATGTCTGGAGGGCAGAATATCCTCTGCTGGGATGGAAATATAGCAGAGTTGCTCGTGTATATGGAAAGAATTCTTTAGAAAGTCAAATTTAAAGGACTCCTGATAGCATTTTCGATCTCCCAGAACCACTAACCAAAAGGCAGAGCTACAACTTAATGCTTTTCATGGGATTCAATTGAACTAAAGAAAATGTGCATATATATTGAGCACTTACTATGTGCAAGGCACTGCACTCAATACTATTGTGTTTTTGAGAATTTTTTTTTAAAGTCACCACCTCCAGAAGGATAATTTATGAGATAAGCCATTTGGCAGAATAATAAAAACTCATACCTTTATTCAAGCTCTGGACCAAGGCACAAAGCTTGCTCAGTAGAGCCAGCATTCACTTTCAACCCTGACTTACCATTTTCATCAGATACATTTGTGTGCTGCACAAAGTGTATAAGCTTTGTGTAGCAGCTCTGACTGTTTTGGGAACGCAGAATGCAAAACTGAAGGAAACCAGTCCCTGATATCCAAGTACTGACATCCTAGTAGGGAGGAACATACACAGACAAACATCCAAGTGACTCTAACATAAGGCACAGAAGAATAGTGTCCTAATGAGGCCCACACACAGTTCTATAGATATCCCTAAAACAATAGGAAATCAAACAAACATTTATTCCCATAGCAGCATGATACTCTGAGGAGGCTGTCACAGGATTTATACAGCCCACCAGCAAATATAGACATCTGACAATGGAGTGGAACCATCTGTGAAAATATGAGCAGCCTCATGACATGCAAATACTTAGATAATATTTTAATTAGAGTTTCATGGCTTTAGAAGTACAGAGCTAAAAATACATTCTGTGGGGAGAGTATGAAGACATTATTACATGCTGTAGTAAGTGTTGGCTGAGATTGTGAACAAAGAAGTACAGAAAGATTAAAACTAGTTATAGGGATTAGAAATTATTTTCCAAAAAATAATGCTTCATACATTGCATAGTGAGCTATACAATATATACTAACCCCCAGAGATAGTACAGGTCCTTCGATAATGTTTTGTTGTAATGTTGATGAGAAAAAATTGATTTTTTTTTAATGGAGTTTTCACATTTTCCCCATGTCTGTGTAGGTTTTCTCTGGGTACTCTGGTCTCTTCCCATATCTCAAAAATGTGTACGTTAGGTTAATTGGCATCTCTAAATTGTCACAGCCTGAGTGAGTGTGGGTGTATGTGTGTAAGTGTGTCCTGTGGTAGAATGACATCCTGTCCATGGTTGGTTCCCCACTTGTACCCTGAGCTGCCAGGATAGGCTCTAGCCACCTGCAACCCTGAACTGGAATAACTGGGTAAATAATTATCTCATTTGTTTTTATTAATCTTTCTTAAATGTATAAGTAGCTCTTTTTTATTTCAATGTTTAATATTAGAAGTGTTTTGATGCTTACTTAGAAGTTTGATGATGTTTTTGTAACCAGAAATATACCTTAGAAATTAACTCTTGTTTATAGCAATTAGACTATGATAAAAATTGATTTTGTCGATTTTGTTCTATATTATTTCACTTCGAGTTGGAGTTTCCAAGAAGCTATCGATGATGTTGTTAGGACTTGTTGTAAAGCTTACATATAAATATGTCAAGAAAAAAGATCTGTAAATAAATATCTAAAATAGACAGTTTCAAGGACATAAGAATGTCATAGCATTTGTAGTTAATGTCAAAGGTAGCCCTCATTACCTCGTATGATATAATATCTGACGTTTAAATTTGAGATAGAATATGGGGATGGATGGTTATAGATCTCTCCTGGGAAGCATATCTTTGGTTCTAAGATTGATTTTATTGATAGAAAATACCACAAACCATCATTCTCATTCTAACAACTAAAACAATTTTAATAAGCTAAAAATAAGTCTTTATTTTTAATTCATCAAAGAGCTGCAGATATGATATAAAACAAAACCTAAATTAACAAGCTTCTAGAAAATGACAAGTCTTTCATAAAACAGAAGATCCATGGTTAGTCTCATCCCAGATGAAATAATATGAGGAGTAAGCTGCCACTGATTTTTTTAAAATGAGAAATTAGCTGAAACTTTAAGAAACTCAAGAACATGTAGACAGGCATGAAAGATTATAATTCTAAGGAGCCCCAGCCACTGAGTGAACTTGTACCCACCTTCCAACTCTCTCTCAGGGATTCACATAGGTCTCTGGGGTAGTATACTACAGGCTGGAAACAGAACAGTAGAACTGAAAGAGACACCCTCTGAAGCACATGGGGATTTACTTCAAATGCAAGCTATCCACTCTTAATAAGAAGGAAAGGGCATACAACATGAGAGAAATCCATCTGAGGCCCTTGAGGAATTTAGCTACCAAAGGCCTGGGGAAAGGGCAAGAGAGCTGAGAGAACTGCCTTTGAGTCATTTAAAGACCTTTATCAAATGCAAGGTGGCTGTGCTCTGAAGACTGGGTACAGACCAGTAGGGAAGAGGGAGATTCACAAGGTACAGAAAGTTACCAGTCACAGGTACCAGAGAGCAATTAGAATTCTCTAGTTACTTAATAACCTGACAGTGAACTATAATGCAGAAAAAGTGATCTCCTATGGTTAACAAAGCTGGTGGCTCAACTGTAAATCATAATGAGAACTCCAGAAAGTCATCAGTCTCATATCAATAAATGGCCCATGGAAAAGAAAGAAAACAATGAATAAAAGCAGAACGAGAGCTGATACAGAAGTTGCATTATCCAACAGAATATAAAATAACAATAATTGTTTTTACTCCTTAATGTGATAAGCAAATTCAGCAAAGTCTCAGGATACAAAATCAATGTGCAAAAATCACAAGCATTCCTATACACCAATAATAGACAAACAGAGAGCCAAATCATGAGTGAACTCCCATTCACAATTGCTACAAAGAGAATAAAATACCTAGGATTCCAACTTACAAGGGATGTGAAGGATCTCTTCAAGGAGAACTATAAACCACTGCTCAAGGAAATAAGAGAGGACACAAACAAATGGGAAAACATTCCATGCTCATGGATAGGAAAAATCAATATCATAAAAATGGCCATACTGCCTAAAGTAATTTAGAGATTCAATGCTATCCCTATCAAGCTAGCATTGACTTTATTCACAGAATTAGAAAAATCTACTTTAAATTTCATATGGAACCAAAAAAAAAAAAAAAGCCGGTATAGCCAAGACAATCCTAAGCAAAAAGAATAAAGCTAGAGGCATCACCCTGCTTGACTTCAAACTGTATTACAAGGCTACAGTAACCAAAACATCATGGTACTGGTACCAAAACAGATATATAGACCAATGGAACAGAACAGAGTCCTCAGAAATAACATCACACATCTACAACCAACTGATCTTTGACTAACCTGACAAAAAACAAGAAATAGGGAAAGGATTCCCTATTTAATAAATGGTGTTGGGAACACTGGCTAGTCATATGCAGAAAACTGAAACTGGACCCCTTCCTTACACCTTACACAAAAATTAACTCAAGATGGATTAAAGACTTAAAAGTAAAACCTAAAACCGTAAAAACCCTAGAAGAAGACCTAGGCAATACCATTCAGGACATAGGCATGGGCAAATGACTAAAACACTTTGACTAAAATACCAAAAGCAATGGCAATAAAAGTCAAAATTGACAAATGGAATCTAATTAAACTAAAGACCTCCTGCACAGCAAAAGAAACTATCATCAGAGTGAACAGGCAACCTACGGAATGGGAGAAAAATTTTGCAATCTATCCATCTGACAAAGGGCTAATATCCAGAATCTACAAATAACTTAAACAAATTTACAAGAAAAAAAGAAACCCGATCAAAAAGTAGTCAAAGGAAATAAACAGAAAGTTTTCAAAAGAAGACATTTATGCAGCCAAAAAACATGTGTAACAAAGCTCATCATCATTGATCATTAGAGAAATGCAAATCAAAACCACAATGAGATACCATCTCATGCCAGTTAGAATGGCGAATATTAAAAAGTCAGGAAACAACAGATGCTGGAGAGGATGTGGAGAAATAGGAACGCTTTTACACTGTTGGTGGGAGTGTAAATTAGTCCGACCATTGTGGAAGACAATGTGGTGATTCCTCAAGGATTTAGAACCAGAAATACCATTTGACCCAGCAATCCCATTACTGAGTATATACCCAAAGGAATATAAATCATTCTACTACAAAGACACATGCACACGTATGTTTACTGTGGCACTGTTTACTATAGCAAAGATTTGGAACCAACCCAAATGCCCATCAATGATAGACTGGATAAAGAAAATGTGGCATATATACACCATGGAATACTATGCAGCCATAAAAAAGGATGAGTTCATATCCTTTGCAGGGACATGGATGAAGCTAGAAACCATCATTTTCAGAAAACTAACAGTTGAAAAGAAAACCAAACACCACATGTTCTCATTCATAGGTGGGAACTGAACAATAAGAAAACATGGAGACAGGGAGGGGAACATCACATACTGGGGCCTGTTGAGGGGTCAGGGGCTAGGGGAAGGATAACATTGGGAGAAATACCTAATGTAGATGACAGGTTGATAGATGCAGCAAACCACCATGGCATGTGTATACCTATGTAACAAAATGGCACATTCTGCACATGTATTCCAGAACTTAAAGTATAATAAATTTTTTTAAAAAGTATGATTGTTTTTAATGCTAATGAATCTTATGAAAATGGTGAACAAAATGTGTTAACCAATGATAAATTCTGGCAGAGACATGGAAACTATAAAAAATCAAATGAAAATGATAGAAACAAAAAATAAAGTAACATAAGTGAAAAGTGAATCAAATGGACCTAAGACCAGGCTAGATACAAAGGAAACAATTAGTGAACTTCAAATTGATCAAAGAAAATACCTAAAATGAAACACAAATATAGCAAAAAAGAGTTAAAAAATAAAAGAGAGTGCCCGATTTTGTGGAATAATATTTTAAAAGTCAGATCTGCATGTAATTGGGGTTCCTGAAAGGGCATACAGAGAAAATATTTGAAAAAATAATGACCCAAACTTTTGAATATAGATATCAAATCAAAGATGCAAATGCAGCGATCCCAAGGAGGACAAATATAAAGAAATCTACACAGAGGCCCGTCACATTCACATCACTAAAACAAGGGGGAGAAAGCAAACTTTTAAAAAACCAGAGAAAATAAAACACACTATAAACACAAGAAAAATAACATGAATTAAAAATTACTTTTCATCAGAAACAATGGCCACAAAGCAATGAAATGACATCTCTAAAGTGCTGAGAAAAAATTATACTCTCAAGATAAATTCTGTCACTGGAAAAAAAATTTGTGAAGATGGTTCAAATCACTGGTAGTAAAGATAGACTTTTAAATAAATGATTCTGAGACAACTAGTAGCAATTTGTAAAAAAAAAAATAGGCAAAATCATATCTCATACAAGACAAGACTACAAGTCCTATAAAAAAAAAGTAGAGATGAATTATTGCTTAACCTTGGTGTAGGAAAAGACTACCTAAATTTGACTCAAAATCTTAAGCCAATAATAGAAAAGATCAGTGAGTTCAACTACAGAGAACACTGCATGGTTTTTTAAAAAATATAACATTTCAAAAGACATCCAAAAAACTAGGGGAAAATATTTACACTATATGCATCAAACAAAGGATTGACATCCCTAATATACATAGAACTCTTAAAAATATAGGGACCAAAGACTAAAAAACTAATAGAAAAAAAAGAAGATGACATGAAAAGATAATTTGTCAACAAAGATATAAAATGGCTTTCAAACTCACTTGTAATTAGAAAATACAAATTAAAACACCCAGATACTATTAATTTCTTGGTTGGACTGGGCAAAATTAAAAGGTATGCTGATACACTCTGCTGGCAGTGCTGTGAAGAAACAGGCACTCATACATACATTGTTGGTGGTAATGCAAATTGGTTCAACTTTTCTAAAGGAAAATTTGACAATACCTACTAAAACTATATGCGCAAACTTACCTCTGACCCATAAATCTCACTTCTAGAAGTATAATCTGAAGATACACCTCAAACAACACAAACATATACAAACATATATATGCACAGACTTATTCATTGCAGCATTGTTTGTAATAGTAAAATATTGGAAACAACCTAAATGTTAGTGCATAGGAGAGAGGTTGAATAAATAGCATATCCACATAGGTAATCACTAGGCAGTTGTCAAAAAGAAGAAGGTAGCTCTCTATGAACAGATTTGAAATGACATCTAGGATATAAAATTGAGTGAGAAAAACAAAATGTAACAGTATCCATATTATATTATCTTTCAAGGAAGAAAGAAGAGTATATAATAGAATACACGTGCATCCAGTTATTTGTGCAGAAGAGATACAGGAAGGGTATACCAGATGCTAAAGATATTAGATACGTACGGAATTAAGAAGGGTAAGGGGTGAAAATGAATGAGAAATGGAAACAGACTAGTAGGGATGAGGATGGGGTAATAATTCTCAAAGTATAACTTTGTGCATAATTTTGGCTCCTAGAATTACAACAACATCTTGTATGCCCCAGAAAATAAATAGTTAAATTTATCCAGGCTGTATGGGGAGCAAAAAATGAAATCCAAACGATAACTAATTGACCCAAAAATCTTACAAATTCAGTATTTGTAGTGTTGTATTACAAATGAATAACTTAACCACATTGAAGGGGAAAAGGAAAAAAAAGAACTTGAATAATTTTGGAAAGCAGTCTTTGCCTGCATACTATAGGCTAAAGACAAAAAGAACTACACTGAAATACTGTAGATTACTTGTAAGTCTTTTATCACAGTGATATGGGTTACCAATTCTGTAATTACTTTATACATGTACTAGGATTGAATAAATATGTGAATATACTGTATGTAAAAAGAGCAAGGTTTCTCACTGATGGAGAAATTGTTTTAAATAAGGAGCAGGAAAAGCTAAATTAGAACATGTGTTACTGAATTGCAATAAAAGGTATCAGTATATACTATTTATGGTTTAAAAATATATATATAAGAGGAATATATATGGAAATATATGTAACACTATACACACACATATATGTGTGCATGTGTGTGTGTGTCTGTATGTAGCTTAGGATATTTGCACATATTTCATATCCCTATCTGTTGAAAAGGTCGAGGAGCAACCAGAACACTCATAGCCCAGAAACTGAGAAATATCATTCTTCAACAAAGAGAACCAGGGCTCCTTTGATAAGTTCATTGTAGAACTGGGACAGGGAAAATACAAA
Source organism: Homo sapiens (assembly GCF_000001405.40). Lineage (NCBI taxonomy): Eukaryota > Metazoa > Chordata > Mammalia > Primates > Hominidae > Homo > Homo sapiens. The sequence goes on from NC_000011.10 coordinate 109,465,327, forward strand.
ATGAACCAAAAACATCTGGTGATATCAGAATATAAGAAAGTGCTTAAAAATAGATGAAGATAAACTGGATCACTTACATTGCTTGTAGGAATGTAAAATTGTACAGCCACTCTGGATAATTTTTTAATAAAACTGAACATGCAGTTATCATATGACCCAGAAGTTGCACTCTTAGGCATTTATTCACAAGAATGAAAACTTATATTCACACAAAAACTGGCAAATAAATGTTCATAGCAGTTGTATTCACAATGTCCCAAAGCTAGAAACCACCTAGATGTTCTTCAAAACCAAACATTGAACATAGCCCAACTTCTAGCTAGATTAACATACATCTTCATACACAAGTCCTGTTTACGCCTGTTCCTGTTTTTTAGTACAACATGTCTGGCTTTCAACAAAACATTACGAAACATGTCAAAAGCAAAAAAAAAAAAAAAATCTTAAAAGACAATACAAACATCGAAATCAGAATTGGATATGACACAATTGTTGAGCTTATCAGACAGAGAATATTAAATAACCACAATATAAGGTTTCTAATGAAAAAAGTAGACATCATCCAAGAACAGAGGGGTAATGTAAGCAGAAAGACAGAAACTCTAAGAAAGATTGAAAAAGAAATGCTAGAAATAAAAATGACTTCGTCAGAAATAAAGATTATGTTTGATCAGCTCATTAGTAGACTCAATACCATAGAGGGAAAAATAAGTTTGAAAGTAAATAAATAGAAAGTTCTCAAACTAAAATGCAACAAGAAAAAAAGAAAAAAGGACATCCTGAAATTGTGGGAAAATTTCAAAAGATATAACATACACATAATCAAAATCCTGAAGGAGAAAGCACAGAAGAAATACTGGAAGTAATAACAGCCAAGAACTTTTCAAAATTAATGACAGATAATTTCAGATCCAGGAAGCTCAGAGAACAGCAAGAAGAAATACCATAAACAAAACAGAACAAAACAACCCCCAAACCAAACCAAACCAAACCAAAAAAAATTACATGTAGGAATATTCAAGCTACATAAAATCAAAGACATAAAGAAAATATTGAAAAAAATGCCACAGTGTGAAGAACTTATCTATAGAGAAAAAAGGGTAACAACTACAGCCATTTCCTTTAGAAGGCATGCAAGCAAGAAAAGAGGTACTTGTAAGTGTTAAAAAAGATTAAAGAAACACAAAAAGTGGCTCAACAGTCAAAGACAGGTTTATTTCTCCTAAATAATATTTTAACATTTTATAGAAAGGAAACGTTTAGGTTCAAGTTAAGATAAAAGATTGTGGAGATCAATGTTCTTTTGAAGTCTCAGAGTGGCTGTTCTTAGAGATAAAAGATGACAAATATTTCCCATTCAGATCTTTAAAGGGTGCTAGACTCTTACTTAATCTCTTCAGGATTGGGAGGGCCTAGAAGAAAAAGATCTAGCTATGTTAATAGAGATTCTTTACAGATGCCCATTTTCCCTACAAAGAACAGCTTGCAGGACCATTTCAAAACAGGCAAAAAAAAAAAACATGTTTTGGGGTAAAATATTTTGACTTTCTTCTTTGTCACATAATGTTATGTCAGAGTCATATTGGAAAGTAAGTCACAATATATTGGGTTAAATAAAACTCATCTGATGAAAATTTATGGTTTGTAGGACGTAACTCCCAGACCTCTTAGATAGAAGTTTGGGCAAGATAAAAAAAAAAAAAATTCAGAGTTTAGTCATTTGTGTCTATGTATGCAAAGACACACATAGGCTCAAAATAAAGGGATGGAGGAAGATTTATCAAGCAAATGCAAAGAAAAGAAAAAAAAGCAGGGGTTGCAATCCTAGTCTCTGATAAAACAGACTTTAAACCAACAAAGATCAAAAAAGACAAAGAAAGGCATTACGTGATGGTAAACGGATCAATGCAACAAGAAGAGCTAACTATCCTAAATATATATGCACCCAATACAGGAGCACCCAGATTCATAAAGCAAGTTCTTAGAGACCTACAAAGAGACTTAGACTCCCACACAATAATAGTGGGAGACTTTAACACCTCACTGTCAATATTAGACAGATCAACAAGACAGAAAATTAACAAGAATATTCAGAACTTGAACTCAGCTCGGACCAAGCAGACCTAAAAGACATCTACAGAACTCTCCACCCAAAATCAATAGAATATATATTCCTCTCAGCACCACATAGCACTTATTCTAAAGTTGGCCACATAATTGGAAGTAAAACACTCCTCAGCAAATGCAAAAGAATGGAAATCATAACAAACAATCTCTCTCAGACCACAGTGCAATCAAATTAGAACTCAGGATTAAGAAATTCACTCATAACTGCACAACTACATGGAAACTGAACAACCTGCTCCTGAATGACTACTGGGTAAGTAAGTAATGAAATGAAGGCAGAAATAAAGATGTTCTTTGAAACCAATGAGAACAAAGACACACGTATCAGAATCTCTGGGACACAGCTAAAGCAGCGTTTAGAGGAAAATTTATAGCACTAAATGCCCACAGGAGAAAGCGGGAAAGATCTCAAATTGACACCCTAACATGACAATTAAAAGGACTAGAGAACCATCCTGGCCGACATGGTGAAACCCTGTTTGTACTAAAAATACAAAAATTAGCCAGGCGTGGTGGCATATGCCTGTAGTTTCAGCAACTCAGGAGGCTGAGGCAGGAGAATCGCTTGAACCCGGGAGGCGGAGGTTGCAGTGAGCCGAGATCGCACCACTGCACTCCAGCCTGGGCAACACAGTGAGACTCTGACTCAAAAGGAAAAAAAAAAATTGAGAAGCAAGAGCAAACAAATTCAAAAGCTAGCAGAAGACAAGAAATAACTAAGATCAGAGCTGAAGTAAAGGAGATAGAGACACAAAAAAACCTTCAAAAAAATCAATGAATCCAGGAGCTGGTTTTTTGAAAAGATTAACAAAATAGACCACTAGCCAGAATAATAAAGAAGAAAAGCGAGAAGAATCAAATAGACACAATAAAAAATGATAAAATGGATGTCACCACTGATGCCACAGAACTATACAAACTATCATCAGAGAACACTATAAACATCTCTACACAAATAAACTAGAAAATCTAGAAGAAATGGATAAATTCCTGGACACATACACTCTCCCAATATTAAACAAGGAAGAAGCTGAATCCCTGTATATACCAATAACAAGTTCTGAAATTGAGGCAGTAATTAATAGGCTACCAACCAAAAAAAGCCCAGGACCAGACAGATTCACAGCTGAATTCTACCAGAGGTACAAAGAGGAGCTGGTACCATTCCTTCTAAAACTATACCAAACAATAGAAAAATAGGGACTCCTCCCTAACTCATTTTATGAGGCCAGCATCATCTTGATACAAAAACCTGGCAGAGACACAACAAAGAAAAGAAAATTTCAGGCCAGTATCCCTGATAAACATCAATGCGAAAATCCTCAATAAAATATTGGCAAACCGAATCAAGCAGCACATCAAAAAGCTTATCCACCATGATCCAAGTTGGCTTCATCCCTGGGATGCAAGGCTGGTTCGACATATGCAAATCAGTAAACATAATCCACCACGTAAATAGAACCAATGACAAAAACCACATCTCTTCAACATCTCTTTACGCTAAAACCCCTCAATAAACTAGGTATTGATGGAATGTATCTCAAAATAATAAGAGCTATTTATCACAAACCCATAGCCAATATCATACTGAATGGGCAAAAGCTGGAAGCATTCCCTCTGAAAACTGGCATAAGACAAGGATGCCCTCTCTCACCATTCCTATTCAACATAGTATTGGAAGTTCTGGCCAGGGCAATTAGGCAAGAGAAAGAAATAAAGGCATTCAAATAGTAAAAGAGGAAATCAAATTGTCTCTGTTTGCAGATGACATGATTGTATATTTAGAAAACCCCATCATCTCAGCCCCAAAACTCCTTAAGCTGATAAGCAACTTCAGCAAAGTCTCAGGATACAAAATCCATGTGCAAAAGTCACAAGTATTCCATACACCAATAATAGACAAACAGAGAGCCAAATCATGAGTGAACTCCCATTCACAATTGCTACAAAGAGAATAAAATACCTAGGAATCCAACTTACAAGGGATGTGAAGGACCTCTTCAAGGAGAACTATAAACCACTGCTCAAGGAAATAAGAGAGGACACAAGCAAATGGAAAAACATTCCATGACCATGGATAGGAAAAATCAATATCATGAAAATGGCCATACTGCCCAAAATAATTTATAGATTCAATGCTATCCCCATCAAGCTACCACTGACTTTCTTCACAGAATTAGGAAAAACTACTTTAAATTTCATATGGAACCAAAAAAGAGCCCATATAACCAAGACAATCTGAAGCAAAAAGAACAAAACCGGAAGCATCATGCTATCTGACTTCAAACTATACTATAAGGCTACAGTAACCAAAAGAGCATGGTACTGGTACTAAAACAGATATAGAGACCAATGGAATAGAACAGAGGGCTCAGAAATTACATCACACATCTACAGCCATCTGATTTTGGACAAACCTGATGAAAACAAGCAATGGGGAAAGAATTTCCTATTTAATAAATGGTGTTGGGAAAACTGGCTAGCCACATGCAGAAAACTGAAACTGGACCCCTTCCTTACACCTTATACAAAAATTAACTCAAGATGGATTAAAGATTTAAACATAAGACCTAAAGCCATAAAAACCCTAGAAGAAAGCCTAGGCTATATCCTTCAAAACATAGGCATTGGCAAAGACTTCATGACTAAAACACCAAAAGCAATGGCAATAAAAGCCAAAATTGACAAATGGTATCTAATTAAACTAAAGAGCTTCTGCACAGCAAAAGAAACTACCATCAGAGTGAACAGGCAACCTACAGAATGGGGGAAAATTTTTGCAATCTATCCATCTGGCAAAGGGCTAATATCCAGAATCTACAAGGAACATAATAAATTTACAAGAAAAAAAAACAAACAACACCATCAAAAACTGGGCAAAGATATGAACAGACACTTCCAAAAGAAGACATGAATGTGGCCAAGAAACATGAAAAAAAGCTCATCATCACTGGTCATTAGAGAAATGCAAATGAGATACCATCTCACACCAGTTAGAATGGCGATCATTAAAAAGTAAGGAAACAACAGATGCTGGAGAGGATGTGGAGAAATAGGAACACTTTTACACTGTTGGTGGGGGTGTAAACTAGCTCAACCATTGTGGAAGACAGTGTGGTGATTCCTCAAGGATCTAGAACCAGAAATACCATTTGACCCAGCAACCACATTACTGGGTATATACCCGAAGGATTATAAATCATTCTACTTTAAAGACACATGCACACGTATGTTTATTGCAGCCCTATTCACAATAGCAAAGACTTGGAACCAACCTAAATGTCCAACAACGATAGACTGGATTAAGAAAATGCGGCACATACACACCATGGAATACTACGTAGCCATAAAAAAGATGAGTTCATGTCCTTTGCAGGGACATGGATGAAGCTGGAAACCATCATTTTCAGGAAACTAACCAGGAACAGAAAACCAAATACTGCATGTTCTTACTCATAAGCGGGAGTTGAACAATGAGAACACATGGAAACAGGGAGGGGAACATCACATACTGGGGCCTGTTGAGGGGTGGGGGGCAAGGGGAGGAAGAGTATTAGGAGAAATACCTAATGTATATGACAGGTTGATGGGTGCGGCAAACCACCATGGCACGCATATACCTATGTAACAAACTTACACATTCTGCACGTGTATCCCAGAACGTAAAGTATAATAATAATTAAAAAAAAGAATCTAGAAGGTAACAGCAAATCATCATTTCCACCATATCCATTAAGAAAGTAAAAATGAATTTTAAAAATAAAAAAAATTAAAGACATCAGAGACCTGTGGACGAAAATACTATAAAGAAACTAAATGCAGGTATAGGAAAAGCCCTTTCTGGGTAACAGATTGGTGGCTTCTTTCATCATCTGGGCCATGTGCTGAGTCTGAGCATAGAGGAATGGATGATGGGGCTGAATGGGGTAGGCAGAGGAAGAAGTCTACAGTATGTTAATGCTTACAGATCTACTGGAACACACAGAGGGTAAGACTTACCTTAAGATCATTTGAAATCAGGTGAATGAAAACTAAGTTAAACTGCCACTCATTTCTGACCGAGTTCCATTCTTTATTAGATCAAAAAGATTAGCCTTTCACTCTAGCTGCCTTATAAGGAAAGAGCAATGCTCTCTCAGAGGAGAAACTACCAACTTCAGTATCTATGTTTTTTTATACATGATGTTTTCCATGCAATCAAAAAATTATGAAGCATACAGAAAAGCAGAAACACATGATACATAATCAAGCATACAAACAACTCACAATAGGTACAGACACAAGAAAAACATACTAGAATTATAGACAATAAAAATTATTATTATATACATTAAATAAAGGAAAACAAGGACAAAATAGACACATTATTAATAAGTTTATTGGAGAAATTGGTTCTCTGAGAAGAATATAATAAATATTTTGGAAGTGAAAAATGCTATAACTGACGTTAAGAATGTGTTGGATATAGTGAATAGTACAATAGATACATAAGAAGAAAGGTTCATTGCATAATGTATAATAGACATTATACAAACTGAAGCACAAATAGCTAAAAGCATGTCTAAAACCAACAAAGGAAGAGCATGTGACTCTGTTAATAGTCTGACAAATGTGTAACTAGAATCCCTGGAGACAGGAAGAATGGAATAAAGCTATATTTTACCTCAGATGGAAGGACAGAGATTCAGAAACAACAAGAACTTAAAATGATAAATATGTCAGAACACATAAAAGACTATTTTATTATACAAATATTGACTGTTTAAAATAACAACTATATTCATGTGTTTTAGGGTTTATATAGACAAAAGTAATATATATGACAACTGTAGTACATAAAGTGGAGAAAGATACTGTTTTTACTTTATATTGCTTATAAAGTGGTAAAATACTAAAAAAATCAGAGTTTAGTCCTCAAAATGAAATTATATAAAATGTTCAAATAAAACTGGAAAAGGCAGAAAGAGAGGAGAAAAGATAAACGTGACAGAAAACAGTTACAAAAATGATAGATATTAATACAACTATATTAATAATCATTTTTAATGTAAATGATTTAAATAGAGAAAGGAAAAGACAGATCGACAAAATGGATAAAATATGACAAAACTGTGTTTTGTCTACAAGAAATCCAGTTTATTATAGAGAAAGGCTAAAACTAAAGGGATGGGGAAAGATGAACTAACACTCTGACACTATCAAAAGAAAGCTAGAGTGGCCCTAATTTAGACAAAGCAGACTTCAGAACAAGGAAAATTATCACAAATAAGAGCTTACATAATGATAAAAGGCCAATTCTCCAAGAAGAAATAATCTTAAACATATATGTACCCATCAGCATTGTGTCTAAGTTCATGAGACAAAAATTGATAGAACTGAAAAGAGAAAAAGACAAATCCACCATCAGAGTTGGAACTATCAAAAACCCTCTTTAATTGATAGATCATGTTGATTTAAAAAAATAAAAATACAGTTGATCTGATCAGTGCTATTAATCAACTTGATCTAATTGATATTTATAGAATACTCTTCCCCAAAACAGAGGAATATACTTTTACCTCCAGCTCACATAGATCATTAAACAAGACAGACCACATTCTCTGCTATAAACCGTAACTTAAATTTAAAAGAATAGAAATTATACAAAGTATTTTCTCAGATCACAATGGACTTGAACTAGAAATCAACAACAGAAAAATAGCTGGACAATCTCAAAATATAGGAAAGTTAAACAATACACTTCCGAATAACAAGTGAATCAGATAGGAAGCCTCAAGGGAAGTTAAAACAACACTTTGAATGGAGCGAAAGTGAAAATACTACATAAAACAACATACCAAAACTTATGGAACATATATAAAGGCAATGCCACGATGGGAATTTAGAGTTATCAACATATTAAAGAGGAAGAAAGATCTCAAATCAACAACTTAACTTTACAACTTAAGGGACTAAAAAAAGAAGAACAAAGCAAACCCAAGTCTAGCAGAAGGGAGGAAATAAAGATTAGAGCAGAGAATGAAAAATAGTAGAGACAATTCAGTAAAAGCAAGAGTTGATTCTCAAAAAGATCAACAAAATGGACAAACTATTAGCTGGACGGGCAAATTAAAAAGAGAGAAGACCCAAATAACTAAAATCAGAAATGAAAGTAGGGACTTATAGAAATAAAGAGAGTTAAAAGAGAATACTGTGAATTACTGTACACCAATAAATTAGATAACCTGGATGAAATGAACAAACTCCCAAAAATACACAAATCACCTAAACGGATTAAAAAAGAAAAGGAAAATCTCAATAGATCTATAACAAATAAATAAAATTGGTCATCAAAAACCTCCTAACAAAGTCCAGAACCAGATTATTTCGTTGATGAATTACTACCAAACAGTCTTAAAAAATTAACACAAGTCTTTCTTAAGCTCTTCTAACAAATTGAAGAGGCAGGAACACTCTCTAATTTATGAGGCCCACATTACTCTAACATCAAAGCCAGATAAAGACATCACAAGAAAATAAAATTACAGATGAATAACCTTTATGAGTATAGATGTAAAAGTTCTTAACAAAATACTAGCAAACTGAATTCAATAGCATATTAAAAGTATTATACACTGTGACCAAATGGGATTTATCTCAGGAATTCAAGATCATTCAACGTATGAAAATCAATGTAACACATTACTTTAATAGAACAAAGAGTAGGGGAAAAGCACATGATAATCTTAATTGATACAAAAAAGACATTTGACAATACCCAACGATCTTTTATCATTAACAAAAACTCTCAGAAAACTAGGAATATAAGTAAACTTTCTGACCACAATAAAAGGAATTTATTAAAAACAACTCTCAGCTAACATTAAACTCAATGGTTAAAGAATAAAGCTTTGCCCCTAATTAGAAACATAAGGATACCCACGTTGACCAATGCTGTTCAATGTTGTACTGGAAGTTCTAGCTAGAGCAATTAGACAAAGAAAAGAAATAAAAGCCATTTAAATTGAAAAGAAGGAAGTAAAACTATCTCTCTGTTTACACATGACATTGTACTATATGTAAGAAATCCCAAAGAATCCACAACAAAGCTACCAAAGCTAATAAATAAATTCAACAAAGTTGTAGGGTACAAGATAATTACACAAACATTAGTTGTGTTGCTGGACATCTGCAATAAAGAATCCAAAAAGAAAATGAAGAAAACAATTCCATTGAAATAGTATGTGAAAAAATAAAATAGCTAGGAATAAATTTGACCAAGAAGATAAAAGACTTATACACTGAAAACTACAAAATATTGCTCAAATAACCTAAAGGAGTCCTGAATAAATACAAAGACATCCTGCATTCATGAGTAGGAAGACTTAATATTATTAAGATGTCAATACTTCCTAAAGGTATCTACAGATTCAATGCGATTTCTACACCAAAATTCCAAAAGTCTTATTGCAGAAATGAAAAAGCCAAATTCAAATTTATATAGAGTTTAAATGGGCCCCAGTGGTTATTTGGGGCCCATTTCAACTTCATATAAATCTTGAAACAATCTTGAGACATAAGAACAAAGTTTTATGTTATATATGTTTTTTCACCACAATAAAAAATTTCAACTTTTTTGAGCAAAAATCTCAAATATTTAACCAAAGAAAACAAAAGAATGGCCACTAAGCACCTGAAAAGATGTTCAACATCATGTATCATCAGATAAATGCTGTACAAAACTATAATGTGAAATCATCCACAACCACTTGAAGGCTAAAATCAAAGTCTGACAACACCAAATGCTGACAAGGATGCATAGCTATTAAAACTTCCAAACATTATTGGTGGGAATGTGGAAAGGTACAACCACTTTGATGAACTATTTTCCAGATTCTTATAACATTAAACATACATCTATCCCATGACTTAGCAATTCCACTCCTATAAACATACTACAGAGAGGCAGGCATGTCTTCAGAATATGACTTTTACAGCAATTTCATTGACCTGATGTCCTTTGATGAAAAAAGTTAGTTTTGAAAATGTCCAATTTATCTATATTTCTTCTTTTGTTGCTCATGTTTTGGTGTCATATCTTAGAATGTATTGCCAAATTCAAGGTCATGAAGGTTGATGGATAAAATAATAAAGGTCATGAAGCTTGATGATAAAAATAGATAAATTTGGCCTTGCAAATTTGTACATGCACTTTAATAACAAAGAATGTGACTTTAAAGTTTTTGAAGATGCTCAGGAACATGGCTTCAACTATTCAGACTTTGTAGTCGCCTTTGAAAATCTATTGGAACCATAGATTATTGTTTCAAATGGACTATATGTACATTTTATTTTTACTATCAAGCTTATCATATCGAGTTTAAATTTTAAAAATTAATGCAAAGGACCACCAGAAAGCCTTTCCTTTTATAGAACACTGTTTCTCATTCACATCTTCCAATGAAGTGATTATTGTTTTAAATTCTTCTTGATATTATTTTAGATTATTTAGGAAAGATTATGGTGAAAAGGTGAAAGGTGAAGAAAATATTCATTTGGCTTTCTTGAAAATCTCTGTCAGGTCATTGCCTCTATGATGATGTGGTTTAGTTGCCACATAAAAAAAGACCTGGAGCTGGGGCCATTATATTCTGCTGTACTGCTAATTTGTTGGTTAATGAAGCAAATAAGATAATCTCTTATCCAAACTTATTACCTCCAGCTGTGAATAAATCCAGCTTCTTTGGGAATGAGGCTGGATAATCTCTGAGTCCACACTCTAACCTGTGAAACCTAAGTATTTATTTAGGAAAATTTTTATTTCTATCCCAAGATTAGGGAATCAAACTTCTTCAGATAATTATTAATACCTATATGTCTAAACTTTTGCTAGACATTATAAACTGGTGAAAAATCCATAAAAAATTATTATTAAGATCACAACCCTCATTAGCTTACAGTCTAGCTTGGGCTAGACATGTAATATGAAGTGGAGATGATAAACAAGTGGTAAAACAAGATATACAAATATTAAACAGTTAACAGTTTATAACCAGATATAATTAAATGAAAAAAATATGGTATCCAGACAATAAAGCGCTATGGGAAGTGAGGAAGAGAAGAGATCACTGGGAGTTAGAAATACATTTTCTCCCTTAATGAAAGCAGTGTTTCAGTGAGTGTGTGTGGGTGGAAATGGGGTAGGAGGACACTGCAGAGCTTTTTTTTTTTCTTATTGATTACTTGCAATGGCCAAGAGTATCGTTCTCATTTAGTAAGTGAGGAAACCCACTCAGGTTAAATGACTTACCTAAGAGCACAAAACTTTAAAGAGTATAATAGGATTTTAACATAGATCTACTTGATTGCAAAATTTTAACCCTTATATTTATGGTCCTTTGAATTCTCCCAGTTCAAATATCTGGGGCCTGTGGTATTTTGCACTCTCAGTGATAATTTGGAAATAGTACCAAGAAAATCCAAGGCACATGTAACTATAGTACCAAGAAAATCCAAGGCACATGTAACTATCAGGAGTTATTCAAGGATATAAGGCCAGCAAATTACTCTATTTGCAGAAAACCTGGTGGTTGTATTGGTTTTTGGATAACTAATGAGGAAAAGTCTTTCTCTCTTTTTTTCTCTCTCTGTAATATCCCAGGCAGTTAATGACATGAGCACCTGCCCCACTCCTCAGGTCACAGGGCCTAAGGTAAATTCAGACTTTGTAGTCACCTTTGAAAATATCCTCTTTAGGCAGAGCCTAAAGAGGATGAGCTCTAATATGTGCCAAACCATCAAACTATTTAAATCAGTGAAAATTTACCAGATATCTACTCTATATTCCCTCTATATCCCCTTGGTACCTTGTACAGTGTCTGAAACAACAATAAGTCATTGGTATGTCAAAGCTAACTTAATCTCATGAGTCAATTGCTAAATTTTCATGTTTTGTGAGCTGGTTAAACACACTCGCTATAAAAAAATTAAATTATTTAAACTTATAATTAAGTTATATTTTAAAAAATTAAAAAATCGTTTCCTAATCATTGTTCTACATTTTACTATTATCTGTGTTCTTGAGGTTATTTATAGCTATTGAATCTCTATAGTGGAAATCATAGTGTGCTACTATGCATCTCTTCCCAATGTTGTATTGAGTGACATTATGTCAGCAGTTTAAAATCTGCCAGGGTGGGAGTGTTTACACCATGGAAATAGGCAAACACAACAAATTAAGGTGTGATTTATTGATTTTTGATTGTCCAGATTTAAGAAAGTAATGAAGAAAATGTTATGATGCAGATTAAACTTGAAAGCATGTCATATCTGTAACTGATACATTGTAAATAGTACAAAAAATTGAGAAAATATTATTCTAAACTATTACCCAAATCAGCAAAGAAGTCATTCATATCATTGAAAAATAAGTTCTAACATACATCTACCTTGTTTCACATTTATTTTGCTTACTAACACAAAATAGCAAATGTCAGAAATACACTTGGTCTGATCCAGCAATCCCACTTCTGGAAATAAACCCAAAGGAAATGAAATTAGTTTGTCAAAGAGACATGTGCACTCCCACATTCATTGCAGCATTATTCACAATAGCCAAGATATGGAATCAACTTGTGTCCATCATCGAATAAATGGATAAATAAAATGTGGTATATATACACAGTGGAACATTATTCAGCCTTAAGAAAAAAGGAAATCCTGTCATTTGTGACAACATGGATGAATCTGAAGGACATTAGGTTAAGTGAAATAAGTCAAGCACAGAAACACAGATACCACATGATCTCACTTACATGCAGAATCTAAAAAAGTTGAACTCATAAAAGTAGAGAGAAGAATAGTGGTCACCAGGGTCTGAGGATAGGAGGTGGAGATTCTAGAGATGTTGGTCAAAGGATACAAAATTTAAGTAAAATAAGTGGAATAAGTTTATGAAATCTATTGTACAACCTGGTAACTATAGTTAATAGTAATGTGTTGTATTCTTGCAAATTGCTAAGAAGCTAAACTCTGAGTGTTCTCACAAAAAGAAAAAAGAAAAAAATAGAAATAACACTTGTTTGTCAATTTCAAGTGTAGTTGGGTTATGGATACAAGAGTTTGGTAAAAATCAAAGTATTTTTGAGAATTAATAGGCAATGTGAAATTCATAATAAGGTTATATATTTTATTAGTTTGTAGATTATTTGTCCTATACTCTATATATCAGTAAAATTTATAAACTTATAGGTATATATACAAGTGTGTATATATAAGCACGTATCTCTATATATATCTGTATCTATTAATAGATATATAGCTATTTTTTACATGTATAGATAGACATACATTTTTTTCCTCCAGAGAGACAGTTGTTCATTACTTATTAGCACCCTATTAGGTAAAACCCAAACTTAACCCTCAATACACATGTAAGGTAAGGGCATAAAACTATATGTCATATTAAAGAAACCTAATATTTTGGGGTTCCAATGAGAGAGAGAGAGAAAGAGAGGAGACAGAGAAACATCCAATTGGAAGAATCAAGACGGATATAAACACATGAAGATAGTGGCCTTTTGGATTCATTTTTAAGGATAGGCCAGAATTTATAGGCAGAGTCCAAACACAGGACTTGAGCAAAGCTGCCAGGGCAGGAAGCAGTAGGATTTCTGTATCAATAAGGGTTCTTTTGTTGCAAGAACAGAAACTGATTTTGCACGATTTAAGTGTAAAGAAATGGATCAGGCAGAGAATCTCTGGGAAGGCTGAAGGGTCAGGCTAAGAGGCAACCCCAAATCACACTACAAACAGCCTCAGCACATTTGGCATGGCAAAATATATACGGCTGCAGCAGGCACAATGGCCACTGCTATCCTCAAAACCGTATCTTGTATATAGCCCATGGCTCTCAGAGAAAGTTCTTCCCAACTCTTTCTCCTTTTGAAGTCCAGAGTGAGTCTCAGATTAGTGGAATCTGAGTCATAGGCTATACTGTGGTATCAGCGTGAACTGGGAAATAAAGTCAATTTCAACTTCAATAAATAAAAATACACTCTATTTCCCATACAGATTCTTAGGGCGGGAAGTTCACCCAGCATAGGAAGTATTTTCAGATACAGGAAATTAATTGAGTAAACATTTATTAAATACATATTATTTGCTAGGCAATGTGTTAGGTACTGGTGATTCCAATGAATGAGGCAGCTTGTGAATTCAAGGTGCTCACTTTTAGAAGCAGAGATACACATATACATAAATAACTAAATACAATATGGTCAGCTTCACAGTAGGAGAGATAAGCTAGGCTGGGCTTTGGAATCTTTCAGGGAAAGAAATAGACAAAAAAGTCATGTGAAATGAGTCTGGAAGGGTGAGTAGGGTATTTTTTGATTTGCAAAAGAGAAAAGGAAGTTTCAGGCACATTCAAGCTGTAAGTAATCCAGTTTGGGGAGAATTTAGGATAGTGAGAGATTATATTAGAATGTGAAGATATAGCATGAAAGAATAAAAAGAGTCATCAGGAAATCATGGAAAATTTTTGGGGACAGATATAGAGTGATCAGAACGTGCAGCATGAACTTTAATAAGATAATACAGCAGTTGTGTGGAGGGCAGTTTAGAATCAAGAATAGAGGCAGCAATGTCAGGAACATGGCCATCTCTCACATTCCAAACAAATAATTCAAAGAAAAGGTAATGAAGGCCTAATCTAGGATGATGGCAGGAAAATGAAGAAAAAAGTAAGGATGTAAGAAGCACTGTGAGGGACGGAGCAAGATTGTGTAATAGAAGCCTATGCTGTTTGTCACCTTCACCCCCTACCTGCTCCCTCCCCCCCGCCCCCGCCCCCCGCTCAAACACCGAATTTTAACAACTACCTGCACACAGAAAATCACCATCACAAGAACCAAAAACCAGGTACCAGCTGAGCCACAGTGGGACAGAGCAACAAGCAGGCTCTTGGAGTCAGCCAGTCTGTCCCTAGGCTCTCAAACAGCATTTCTAGATCTGCCCTGGGCCAGAGGGGAGCTCACTGCCCTGAAGAATGAGTCCCAGGCCTGGTAGCAATCACCATAAGCTGACAGAAAAGCCCTTGGGCTTTTAGTGAACATCGGTGTGACCTGGCAGAATTCTCCGTGGACCAGTAGTAGTGGTAGCCACAGGGAGAGACTCTGCCTG
This sequence comes from Homo sapiens, assembly GCF_000001405.40. Lineage (NCBI taxonomy): Eukaryota > Metazoa > Chordata > Mammalia > Primates > Hominidae > Homo > Homo sapiens. The sequence goes on from NC_000011.10 coordinate 109,480,615, forward strand.
TAGTAAGGGAAGAGAAGAGCAGGAAGGACTTCATATTGTGGTTTGAGTGCCAGCTTAGCCACAGTAGAATACAACATCAGGTAAATTGCTAAGTTTTTTTTACTCTAATCTCTGGCTCCCAGACAGCACCTCTGGAATGCCTAGGACCTGGGTGAACTTGCCACCCTGAAAGAAAGGGCCTTGAACAAGTCCCAGTGCTATGCTGGCTTAAGGTCTGACGCCGCACAGTTCCAGTGGTGGTGGCCATAGGGGAGCTTGCATTACCACACCCCCAGTTCTAGGTGGGGCACAGAGAGAGAGACAGATTTTATATGTTTGAGAGTAAGGGAAAAGAACAAGAGTCTCTGCCTGGTAATCCAGAAAATTCTTCCAGATCTTATCCAAGAGCACATGTTGGATAAGATCCTGGATCTTATCCTTTATGGTAAGTCTGCAAAAATCACAGTGTTACTGGGCTTGGGACCCAAGTCCCTTTGAATGTCTGGAAAGCTGTCTCAAGGACAAGCACAAATAAACCCAGACTGTAAAAACTACAATAAATACTTAACTCTCCAATTGCCAGACGGTGAAGAACATCTACAAGCATCAACATCATCCAGGAAAACATGACCTTACCAAATAGACTAAATAAGGCACCAGAGACCAATCCTGAAGAAAGAAAGATATATGACCTCTAAGAGAGAGAATTCAAAATAGCTGTTTTCGAAGAAACTCAAAGAAATTCAAGATAGAAATTTAAAAAGATACTCCATGCCAACAGAAACTAAAAAAGAACAGGAGTAGCTATACTGTCAGACAAAATAGATTTCAAGACAAAAACTCTAAGAAGAGACAAAGAAGGTCACTATATAATGATAAAGGGGTCAACTCAGCAAGAGGATATGATGATTTTAAATATATATGCACCTAACACTGGAGCACTCAGATATATAAAGCATATATTAGAACTAAAGAGAATACTCCAATACAATAATAGCTGGAGACTTCAACCTCACTTTCAGCATTGGAAAAATCTCTCAGAGAAAAACATCAAAAATGAAACATCGGACTGAATCTGCACTAAAGGCCAAATGGACCTAATAGATATTTACAGAACTACAGAACATTTCATCCAATGGTTGTAGAATACACATTCTTTTCCTCAACACATAAATCTTTCGCAAGGATAGACCATATGTTAGGTAACAAAATGAGTCTTAAAACATTCACAGTTTGGGCGCAGTGGCTCACACCTGTAATCCCAGCACTTTGGGAGGCTGAGGCGGGCAGATCATGAGGTCAGGAGATCGAGACCATCTTGGCCAACATGGTGAAACCCTGTCTCTACTAAAATACAAAAAATTAGCTGGGCGTGCCTGTAATCCCAGTTACTTGGGAGGCTGAGGCAGGGGAATCGCTTGAACCTGGGAGGCGGAGGTTGCCGTGAGCTGAGATTGTGCCACTGTACTCCAGCCTGGTGACCACAGCGGAATAAAACTAGAAATCGATAACAAGAATAATTTTGGAAACTATACAAACACTAGGAAATTAAACAATATGCTCCTGAATAATAAGTGGGTCGATGAAGAAATTAAGAAATAAATTGATAAATTTCCTTAAGCAAATAATAAAGGAAACACAACATACAAAAACCTAAGGGATACAGCAAAAACAGTACAAAGAAGAAAATTTAGAGCTATAAATGGCTACACAAAAAAGAAAAACTTCAAATAACCTAATGTTACATGTTAAAGAACTAGAAAAGCAAGAGCAAACCAAACCCAAGATTAGCAGAAAAAAAAGAAATAATAAATATCAGAGCATAAATAAATTTGAAATAAAAAAGACAAAAGATCAATGAAACAAAAACGTGGTTTTTTAAAAAGATAAACAAAATTAACATTTAGCAAGACTAATTAAGCAAAAAAAGAGAGAAGACCTAAATAAATAAGACCAGAAATGAAAAAGGAGACATTACAACTGATACCATAGGAATTCAGAGGATTATTAGTGCAAGCAACTATATGCCAACAAATTGGAAAATCTAGAAGAAATGGATAAACACATGCAAACACAAAGAATCAACAAGACTGAACCATAAAGAAAACATGAACAGAAAAATAATATGTAATAAAATCTAAGCCATACTAAAAAGTCTCCCAGTAAAGAAAGGCCTGGGATCTAATGGCTTCACTGCTAAATTCTACTAAATATTTTAAAAAGAACTAATGCCAATCTTACTCTAACTGTCCTTAAAAATAGAGGAAAGGGAAATACTTCGAAACTCATTCTACACGCCTAATGTTACCCCACTACCAAAACCAGAAAAAGACACATCAAAAAAAAGAAAACTACAGGCCAATATCTCTGATAAACATTGACATGAAAATCCTCAACAGAATACTAGCAGATTGAATTCAACAAAATATTAAAAAAAAATTCATCATGAGCAAATGGGATTTATCCCAGGGATGCAAGGATGACTCAACATAAACAAATTAATCAATGTGATACATCATATCAAGGGAATGAGGGAGAAAAACCATATGATCATTTCAATTAATGTTGGAAAAGCATTTGATGAAGTTCCACATCCTTTCATAATTAAAAAGTCTCAAAAAACTGAGTATAAAAGGAAAATGTCTCAACATAAATAAAAGCCATATGTGACAGACCTATAGCTAGTATCATAATGAATGGGATAAAACTGAAAGCCTTCCCTCTTACATCTGGAACACAAGAAGTTTGCCTACTCTCTCTGCTGTTATTCAACATAATACTGGAAGTCTTAGCTAGAGCAATCAGACAACATAAAAATAATAAAGGGCATCCAAATTGGAAATGAAAAAGTCAAATTAGCCTTTTTACAGATATGATCTTATATTTGGGAAAACCTAGATTCCACCAAAAACTATTAGAACTGATAAATTCAATAAAGTTGCAGGATACAAAATCAACATACAAAAATCAGTAGCATTTCTATATACCAATAGTGAACAATCTGAAAAAGAAATTAAAAAGTAATCCCACTTTTCATAGCCACGAATAAAATTAAATACCTGAGAATTAACCAAAGAAGTGAAAAATCTCTACAATAAAAACTATAAAACACTGATGAAAGAAATTGAAGAGGACACAAAAAAGGGAAAGATATTTTATATTCATGGATTGGAAGCATCAATATTGTTAAAATAGCTATACTACCCAAAGTAATCTATAGATTCAATGTAGTCCCTATCAAAATACCAATGATATTCTTCACAGAAAGAAAAACAACAATTCTAAAATTTATATAGAATCACAAAAGGCCCAGAATAGCCAAAGCTATCCTAAGCAAAAAGAACAGAACTGGAGAAATTGCATTACTTGACTTTATACTACAGAGATATAGTAACCAAAATAGCATGGCACTGTCATAGAAACATACACATAGAGCAATGGAACAGAATAGAGAACCCACAAACAAATCCACACACCTACAGCGAACTCATTTTTGACAAAGGTGCCAAGAACATACATTGCGGAAAACACAATCTCTTCAATAAATGGTGCTAGGAAAACTGGATATCCATATGCAGAAGAATGAAACTTGAGCCCTATCTCTCTCCTTATAAAGGAAATCAAATAAAAATGGATTAAAGTCTTAAATATAATATCTCAAACTATGAAAGCACTATAAGGAAACACTGGGGAAACTCTCCAGGACACTGGTCTGGGCAAAAATTTCTTGAGTAATACTTCACAAGCATAGGCAACCAAAGCAAAAATGGACAAATGAGATCACATCAGGTTAAAAACTTCTATACAGCAAAGAAAACAATCAACAAAGTGAAAAGATAATTGACAGAATGGGATAAAATATTTGCAAACTACCCAACTGACAAGGGATTAATAACCAGAATATATGAGGAGCCCAGGAAAAAAATCTAATAATCTGATCAAAAAATGGGCCAAAGACTTGTATAGACATTTCTTAAAAGAAAATATACAAATGGCAGGCAGGGATATGAAAAGGTGTTTAACATCACTGATCATCAGAGATATACAAATCCACACTACAATGAGATATCATCTCACCCCAGTTAAAATGGCTTTTATCCAAAAATCAGGCAATAGCAAATACTGGTGAAGATGTGGAGAAAAGGGAACTCTCCTAACACTCTTGGTGAGAATGTAAGTTAGTATAACCACTATGGAGAACAGTTTGGGGGTTCTTCAAAAAACTGAAAGTAGAGCTACCATGTGATCCAGCAATCCCACTGTTGGATATATACCCAAAAGAAAGGAAATTAGAACATTGAAGAGATATCTGTACTCCCCTGTTTGTTGCAGAACTTTTTACAATAGCCAAGATTTGGAAGCAACCTAAGTGTCCATCAACAGATAAATGGATAAAGAAAACCTGGTACTTATACACAATGGAGTACTATGCAGCCATAAAAAGAATGAGGTTTTGTCATTTGCAACAACATATATGGAACTAGAGGTCATTATGTTAAGTGAAATAAGCCAGGCACAGAGAGTCAAACTTTATATGTTCTCACTTATTTGTGGGAGCTAAAAATTAAAACAATTTTGTCAGTTTTATCTAAGATTAGATAGTTGTAGGTTTGTGGTCTTATTCCCAGGTTCTCTATTCTGTTCCATTGGTCTACGTGTCTCTTTCTCTACCAGTACCATGCTGTTTTGTTTACTATAACCCTGTGAAATAATCTGTACAACAAACCTCCATGACACAGTTTACCTATGTAACAAACCTGCAGTTGTACTCCTAACTGAAAATAAAAGTTAAAAAATTAAAATAATTGAACATGTTGGGATAGAGAGTAGAAGGATGGTTACCAGAGGTTGGGAAAGGTAGGGTAGTGGTGGAGTGTGGGAATTGTTAATAGCTAAAAAACAAATAGAAATAATGAATAAGATCTATAATTTGATAACACAATGGGGTGACTATAGTCAATAATAACTCTACATTTAATTTTTTATTTTGTTGTTGCTGTTTTGAGACAGTCTCTGTCACCCAGGCTGGAGTAGAGTGGTGCAATCTCAGCTCACTGCAGCCTTTGCCTCCCAGGTTCAAGTGATTCTCCTGCCTCAGCCTCCAAGTAGCTGGGACTACAGGTGCGCTCCACCACATCCAGCTAATTTTTTTAATTTTTAGTAGAGATGGGATTTCACTATGTTGTCCAGGCTGGTCTTTAATTCCAGACCTCAAGTCATCTGCCTGCCTCAGCCTCCCAGTATGCTGGGATTATAGGTGTGAGCCACCATGTTCAGGCCTTTAACTGTACATTTTAAATAAATAAAAGAGTATAATTGGATGGTTTGTAACACAAAGGACAAATGCTTGAGGGGACTGATACCCCGTTTTACATGATGTGATTATTACACATTGCATGCCTGTATCAAAATATCACACATACCCCATAAATATATCTACCTGCTATGTACCCACAAACATTAAAAAGTTTCTTTTTTTTTTTAAAGCAGCGCTGAGAACTTGAAAGGATTTAGAAATTTATTGGCCCATTGGTTGAGACAAATGAATTTAGCTCTGCTGTTTTTGTACTAGGAAGTGAAGTACCTGCTGTAATTCCTAAATTTGCATGCCTGTGTCTCGCTATTTGCTTGTGGGTTCTCCAGAGCCCAGCAGATGTTTCATTTATAATAGAGCTCAGATGATTGCTCTTATGCAAACACATTGGCTCCATAAACTTCAGGGTAGTTGTGATCAATTATATCACATCCCTTTTATGAAGTAGAATGATTGTTTGCTTTGCTGCTAGGCTCACAAAGAGCAGTTCCTCTGTGTTTTCTGTAAGGTTGTACTGATCAGGATATAGCCTTACCTGATGTGTATACACAAGCATACCCTGTGAAGATCTGCATTAGTTCTTCCATCCAACAGGAGCTAGCAAAGACCATCAGAATTTTGTGATGAGCTTCTTTAATATTGTAGTTGATATTGGCTCATCATGTAACTAGGTTACATGAACTGAAATATAACCTAATTTAATTAAAATTCAATGGGCAATAACTGAGAGGCAGTTCTAGGGTTTTAAACTGTTTTGCACGCAACACATAATAATTAAACAGCTAAGTTACAATATTTCAAATAAAAATTTAACACAATAATGGAAGACTTGATTTTTTTCTCCCATAGATGAAAGCAAGTTAATTTTCTTGTTTTCTTCTCTACAGGTAATGAGACTATGGAGTTTAAACACAAATATAATCTCGTCTTGTCGCACTAGTCTTCAATCAGAATATCTTTTCTTCAACTCTTAATTACTTATCATTTCATTATTTCAATGTATTGAAGGGTGTAGGCTGCTTATAAAATTTATATTAGTCTTTACTGTAAGTCACAAATTTTACCAGTCCAAGTAACTCTACCAGAGCTAAGATACCTTAACCTGTGGTCACAAGAGGGCTATGTCACAAAGAAGATAAACAAGAAACTGCAGAATGATTATGACAATGGAAAAGCTATCTTAAACATACAGAACTACAGATACAATATGCTGGGAGGAATTACAATTAAACGAATTGCAGAAGTATTCTTTATTAAATATTTACCTGAGATGAAAAGAATGGTTGAACAATGACAACCACAGTGAGTCCAGAAATAATTCAATAATAAAAATAATGGTTTTCTCACCCTATTGGATTTATAGTGAAGTGTCACAAATTTGTCTTTAATACATAAGTACAGCTAAAATTGGGAAAATAACAATGAGGCTACTTACATTTGGAGAAAGCCATGAAACAACATTGTGTTTTAGTTCTGAGATTGTTTTGCCTTTTCTGCTTAACTTTGTTACTTCATAAATTCGGCTCCCAATTGTCACAGTATATAGTCCATTTATTTCCTCTACTGTTCTCTACCATTTCCAATGTCATATATCCTTTCAATTTACGTGTACAATGTCCCTCTTTATTTTTTATGGAAGATTTATATTGTAATCTCTGTTTCTTAAGACAGATATAACATATAAAACTGTCTAGGCTTGGTGTTTGCTTTGTTGGCAGATTAAAAACTACACATTCAGTATCTGTAATAGTTATCAGGATTTCATCAATTTGATACAATTTCTTTGCATTTTAACACTCATGTTTCTCTTTGTCTCTCGTGTTGCATGCTGTATAATTTTTTTATTCACATATTTCTTCCAGTTCTTTACTTCTCTTTCAATTGTATTTCTTCTTTAAAACAATCCACTGTGCTTTGTAATTTTAACAAATATTTTAACACACATTTAGAATAATGCACAACTCATAAGCATACAACTCCCTTAATTTTAAAAGCATGAACACACCAAATGCAGCCAAAACCCACACCAACCACAACAAGAAATAAAACATTTACAGACTCTTAAGAAGCTTTCCTTCATGCTTCTTTTCAATCACTATCACAATCATTCAGAAAGGCAATCATTAGCCTTACTTCTATCACTGTGGATAGTTTCACCTATTTTTAAACTTTATATAAATGTGGCTTAACTTCTTCACTGCTAGCTAACAAAAAAGTTGCATAAATTTTATTGGTCTTTTCAAAGAACCAACTTTTGATTGCTTTGATTTCCTTTTATATCCCTCTCCTGTTTCGTTGATTTTCAGCTTTGATATTCATATTTTTATTCTTCTTTTTGATTTGGGTTTGATTTGCTTTTTCTTTTTCTAAAGATGGATGCTTAATTATTGATTTTCTTTCATCCTAATATAACCATTTAATATTTTACATTTCTGTCACTTTCTCTTTCTCTTCACTTCTTCTTTAGGGACTTCCATTACATTGTCTTACAGGTCTCTAAAGCTCTTCAGTTTCCTCCAATATTTTTCTTGTTAGTCTTCATGGTGGGTAATTCCTGTTTATCTTCCTTCCTGCATAATAATTTTTTCTTTGCCATTTGAAATTTTTTATTTAACCTATCTAGTGAATTTTAATTTCAGTTATTGCACTTAGCAACTTTAGAATTTCTATTTTGTATAATCTCTATTTTCTGTTGAGGTTCTCTGATGAGATATTGTGATTATATTTTCCTTTAATTATTTGAGCACAGTTTACTTTAATCCTTTTGATATATAATAGTATTTTTGAATTCCTTGTCTACCAAAAAGCCAATATCTCAGCCCACTTAACATCAATTTCTAATTGTTTTCCCCCACATTTTGAGTATGGGTTATACTTTCTAGTTTCTTTGAATGTCTTTTTTTTTTTTATTTTTTGGGCTGAAGATGTGACCTTTCAGATAATAAAGTGTATTGACTCTGAATTCTGATTTGTTTTCCTAAGACTTTTTTAAAAATAAATTTCACATTTTAGAGTCTTAATTTTACAGCAAAATTGAGCATAAAGTACAGACATTTTCCATATACCCCCTGTTCCCACACATGCATAGGCTCCCACATTATGAATATACCTCATCATAGTGGTACATTGGTTCCAACTAATGAACATAAATTGACACATTATTATCATCCAGAGTTGATAATTTATATAGAGTTTACACTTGGTGTTATATGGTCTATGAGTTTGGACAAATGTATAGTGTATAGTGCCATGTATCCAACATTACAATATCATACAGAGTAGTTTCACTACTCTAAAGTCCTCTGTACAGATACATATTTTTAAGTAACTAGCCTAGACTTAAACTTCAAAATCTATCTTCACTGTAGTGTGTGGCTGTTGATGTTTCTGCTCAACAATTTAGGCAGAAATTGTGTCCAATCACCCCAAGCCCATAAGGCTTCTACCCTCAGCTTGTTGAATTTTGTGTGGATTTGGGAGTACATTCAAATTCAGCCTGTTTTTAAGTCCCCCATGACTTCTTCTGTCTTACAGGCTCTTCCCAGTATTTTTTGTACATACATGCAGTTTCTTAGTCAGTGAGGGATATGAAATACTTGTTCAGCCTTTCTGTGGCTCTCTTATTTGCAGGGTCTCCCTGTTAAAATAATTACTGGTTGGTATGCCACTTTCACCAACCAGAGCTACAAACTTAGGAGAGTAAAGATGAAGATTTTCCTATGTGTTTCTATCCAATTCACCAGTTTTAACTGATAAATCTGTCAATCACTTATCCTATTCTACTCCTCAGATCAAGAATGCTCACTTTCTCAGCAAACATTCTTGGTTTCCCAAGCATTCACAAACTACTAAAACTACTGTTGCCATTGACTGTGCTAGAGAGTAGGCATGGAAGTGACAGAAATGGCGCAGCCAAGAAGACCACAAATAGTCACTCTTCAAATAGTCACAGCTTCTCAATTTGTTGTCTGCCTTTTATTTCCAGAGCCCTAAATTTATTGTTTTAAACAATTTTACACAGTGTTATTCTGCTTATTTTTTGGAGAGGGTTTACCTAGCCAATTTACAAGTTCCTCTACTTCATAATTCTTGAAAATCTCTTGTATCATAGTTTTATGGAATTGTTTCTTTTTCAGATTAATTGCAGATCTTTTCATCTTTATTTACTCCTTAAATGTTGAGATTTTCTATGGGTCTATTCTCAACATTCTTCTCATAAAACTCAAACTCTCTGATTGTTTGTGGAAAGGAAGGATGGAGTAGTTTCAAACCAGAACAGGCTGGAAGAGGTGCAGAACATGTAGAATAGGACAGAATGGCTGGATCAGAGAGAGTGTGGTATCTTAGATGTGCTGGCATGGGAAGGAGACTCAGGTTGATATGGTACCTGGTGCTTCAAAGTTACAGCATCAGTGGTGCTATAAGGTATAGAATAGAAGAGTGCTGCTCAGCATTATAGATTTCAATGATTCTGGAAGTAGCAATCTACATGTACTTGGCAGAGAAATGAAGACAATGGAATATTGTGCACAACCACATTTAATTGACCTGAAAGCATATATATCTTTTTCTTCTCTTCTGATACCATATAACTAAACCTATAATTTAACCTTCTATTCCTATATTTATCTACAATTAGCATCTAGGTAGTAAAAGAAACATTTAAGTAATTACAACTGTAATCAGGGCTGAGGAGAAGACCTACTTATGTTTAGATTAAATAGGGCAGAGTGTTAACAAATATCTGAAGAGGATGAGTATTAGAGATGGAAAGGGAAATATTAATTAACACACAAGGGAATATAAGTAGGAGTAATAAGATGACAGGTCAAAGGGAGTAAAGAGACTTGAGCAGGTCATAATCCAAATGAGAAAAAAAAAATCACCAAACTCTAGAAGCCCCAAATAGGATCAGAGTATTTCTCTGAGAAGAATATTTTATGGGTCTGGGGGATTGTCAGCCATACACACAGGAAAGCAAAAGTTAAATACACCTTTATGAGCATGGTATCTTCTTAGAGAGTATGTCATACTTTATTTAATATTTTTATCTGTGCAGATAAAAAACCATCAGTGTTGACAGAAAATTTCTAGTTAAACAGAATTAATTACTTATTTCTCAAAGATCTCAGGTCTCTGCATGCTACACCATATATTGCTGCCCAGAACATCCCCAGTGTCTGTTCCTCACAGCCAATTTGCATAGCTATGCAAGGGATGGGGAACTAGAAGAGAGTTACTTAACTCAGGCTAACATATGTCTTCATAAGCTACGTAGTAATTGAGAGCATGCCAAGCTGGATTAAGCATTTTAAAATAACTTATCTAATCCTCAAACTAATCTTATAAAATATGTCCCCTTATGTGGTAGATTAGATTGATTTATTATTCCCAATTATTTGCAGTTTTCCCTGAAAGAGCACAGCCATTGACATCAAGCTTGGCCATTCGACTTTCTCCCTTGTTCATTTCCCTGTGCTGTGAATATAACATTTTCCAGTTATGGGCTGCTCCTTTACCCTGGATCTAAGAAAGAAAAATTCATGTCTTGCATAACCACAGAGGCATAGTTTGAATATTTATCCCTGCCCAAATATAATGTTTAATTGTAATCTCCAGTGTTGGATGTGGGGCTTGTTGGAATGTGTTTGGATCATAGGGACAGATCCCTCACGGCTTGGTGCTGTCTTTGTGATTGTAAGTTCCTGCAAGATACGGTCATTTAAAAGTATGTAGCCCTCCCTGACCCCATGTATTCTCTTTCTTGCTCCTACTCCCACCATAGGATGTGTCTGTTTCCCTTTGCCTTCTGCCATAATTGTAAGCTTCCTGAGACCTCTCCAGAAGCCAAGCATATGTCACCACCATGCTTCCTATAAAACCTGCAGAACCATGAGCCAATTAAATTTCTTTTCTTTATAAATTACCCAACCTCAGGTTTTTTTTATATACTTTAAGTTTTAGGGTACATGTGCACATTGTGCAGGTTAGTTACATATGTATACATGTGCCATGCTGGTGTGCTGCACCCACTAACTCGTCATCTAGCATTAGGTGTATCTCCCAATGCTATCCCTCCCCCCTCCCCCCACCCCACAACAGTCCCCAGAGTGTGATGTTCCCCTTCCTGTGTCCATGTGATCGCATTGTTCAATTCCCACCTATAAGTGAGAATATGGGGTGTTTGGTTTTTTGTTCTTGCGATAGTTTACTGAGAATGATGATTTCCAATTTCATCCATGTCCCTACAAAGACATGAACTCATCATTTTTTACGGCTGCATAGTATTCCATGGTGTATATGTGCCACATTTTCTTAATCCAGTCTATCATTGTTGGACATTTGGGTTGGTTCCAAGTCTTTGCTATTGTGAATAATGCCGCAATAAACATACGTGTGCATGTGTCTTTATAGCAATGCAGGAATGGCCTAATGCAACATATAAGGCACAGCTAATATGTAACATGAGCAAGACATAAACCTTTGTTTCTGGACTACTAAGATTTGGAGGTTATTTATTATACATTATAACCCAATGGGAACTAATACATCTAATTATCTTCATTTTATATATGAGAAAACGGAGAGGAAGTCATACAAGATTTATAATTACCTGCGAATGTATAATTAGGGAGTGATCAACCTGAGATTCAAACCAATAGAGCCTATACAATTCCTAAGCTCTCCTACTTCTTTTTCCTTTTTTTAAACACAAATGTTAATGTTTATTATATTCAACACATATAAAATTATATTTCAATTAATACAATAAAGAGCTGTGTGCAGTGGTATGCATCTGTAGTGACAGCGACTCAGACAGCTAAGGTGGGAGGATTGCATGAGCCTAGGAGTTCGAGGCCAGTTGAGCAACATAGACTCCCATCACTAAACAAACAAAAACCAAATCACATAGGTAAAAGCAGAGAATTACAAAGCTTTATATACATGTACCCTAGAAATTAAAGTATAATTTACAAAAAGAAAAAAAAAAGAGGGCACAATGGAAATTTCTGGGATGTTGAAATATCCTATATCTTGATTGGTTACATGACTTTACACATTTGTACTTGTCAAACTGTGCACCTAAAAGGGGTGGATTTGCTGGCAAATTATAATGTAAATTATAATAAACATAAGTTATACCTCCTACTTCTTGTTATTTGAATTTAGCACATCTTGTGTAGGTTGATTCTACCCTAATTATTCATACTCAGTTCTCTTCAATCCCAAATAACCCATAGATGCCCTTGATGGGACATCAGCCCTGGATTTCATTACATGGAAAGCTGGAATGAAAAAAAGTAATTGTTAATTGGGTTAACCTACATGACCACTTTCTTCATTGAAAATATAAAGGACATTATTTGGTTTACTGAAAGGTTCCTGGGAACATTTTTTTTCTGTTATACTGCACTTTATTTTATAGAGTTACACAACTGTTTAATGACCAACATTTTCTAAGCCAGTATCCTTTTGCCTTATGATCCTACTTGTAATAAGAACATTGAGAATCAGAAGAAATAGCTTCAAGCCCTAACAACATCACTTATCAAGGTTCAACCTGGAATAAACCATTTAGCATTATTCATTAAATAAAAACAGTTATTTCTGTAATACTCTCTAAGATGATTGCTAAAGAGATTAAATGAGATATGTGAAATCACTTTATCAATTATAAAGAGCCACACACAAATATAAAGCATTATGCTTCTCATTAGAATCTCAGTATGAGAATGATTTTCAAAGATCATTTACAGATCTGTAACTTGAAAAGAGATTCCAGGTAAGGGTAGAGAGTGAGATAAAACAGTATTCTCACCTTTACAAAACTTCACAAAGTGACTACATATGTTTTGTTTAAGTCTATTCTCCTTTTTATGGTGGGGAGAAAAAATTATTCTGTGACTAAACCTAGTTGAGATAAGCTGATAGCTACATAAACATAAGGGAGAGTAGACTACTTAAGATAAGGGGAAATATTATTTACAACACACAAGGATTCTTATATAGTGACAGGTCTTCAGTGATATGAATTCACAAAATAAGTAAAATTTTGAGACAGTTCAAGAAATCATCTTTTCATTCATCCAAAAACATTTATTGAGGGTCTTCTATGTGCCAAGCATTGTTCTAAATATTAGAGATGCAACAGAACAGGGTCTCTTATGTAATTTAGTGAAAAGAGACAGACAATAAACAAGAAGCAAACAAATAAGCTATAATAAGTAAAATTGCAAATAGTAATACTTTCTAGGAAGAAATAAAATTAATAGAGACTGAGTTGAGGTGAGAAGTTGGACAAAGGCAGCTAATATAGCCTGGGAAGATATTGTTAAGGAGGTAATGTTTAACCTGAGATGTAAAACAAAAGATGAGGGAAAAACTTTCTAGACAAAAGAAGTGCAATTGCAGAGACACTTAGACAGAAATGAAAGAAAATAAATATTGGTCAAGCACAGAGAATTTGGGGGGCACCTACTAAGATATGAGCTCAAAAAGGCTGTTATGTAGCCCTTCTTTTTTTTTTATTATACTTTAAGTTTTAGGGTACATGTGCACATTGTGCAGGTTAGTTACATATGTATACATGTGCCATGCTGGTGCACTGCACCCACTAACTCGTCATCTAGCATTAGGTATAACTCCCAATGCTATCCCTCCCCCCTCCCCACCACAGTCCCCAGAGTGTGATGTTCCCCTTCCTGTGTCCATGTGATCTCATTGTTCAATTCCCACCTATGAGTGAGAATATGTGGTGTTTGGTTTTTCGTTCTTGCGATAGTTTACTGAGAATGATGATTTCCAATTTCATCCATGTCCCTACAAAGGACATGAACTCATCATTTTTTATGGCTGCATAGTATTCCATGGTGTATATGTACCACATTTTCTTAATCCAGTCTATCATTGTTGGACATTTGGGTTGGTTCCAAGTCTTTGCTATTGTGAATAATGCTCCAATAAACATACGTGTGCATGTGTCTTTATAGCAGCATTATGAAAGAAAATAAATATTGGTCAAGCACAGAGAATTTGGGGGGCACCTACTAAGATATGAGCTCAAAAAGGCTGTTATGTAGCCCTTCTAAGCCAGGAGAAGAATTTTACTTTTAAGTGTAGTTGAAAATCACTGGAGAGCTTTATTTAGTAGAGCTGTATACACTTGTTTATATTTTTAAAAGATCATTTTGATTCCTGTGGGGGAAAATAGACAGTACTTGATAACAAAAGAGACAGGGAGACCAATGAAGAGGCTATTGCAGTAATCAAGATGGGGTAGGCTTATGGCTTAGCAGTGAATTTAGCATTTAGCATTTAGCGGTGAATATATAGAAAAGTGTTCAGACTGATGCTATGTTTCGGCAATAGATCCAAGAGAATATTCTGAAAGTTTGGATCTGCAGTGTGAAGGAAAATAAACCCATGAGGATTCCAAGGTTGTTATACTCATTATTAGGATGGATTTGGGATTCTACTAGATTAGAAAGGCTTGTAGAGGAGACAACTAGAGTGGGAAATGATAAAGATATTCCTTTTGCATACCATTCTAGATGACTACTAGATACTGTGATGGTTAATTTAATGTGTCAACTTTACTAGGCCGGGGTGGCCAGATATTTGATTAAACATTATTCTGGATATTTCTGCAAGGCTGTTTCTGGATGCTATTAACGTTTAAATTGGTAGACTGAGTAAAGCACATTGCCCTCCCCAGTGTAAGTGAGCCTGAATAGAACAAAAAGGTGACTAAGAGAGAATTTGCTCTCTCTCCCTGACTGTCTTTGGCCGAGGCACTGGTCTCCTATCTTCAGACTTGGACTTAGACTGGAACTTATACTATCAGCTCTCCTGGTTCTAAAGACTTTGGACTTATACTGGAATCATACCATCAGTGTATCAGTAAGGGTTCTCTAAAGGGACAGAACTAATGAAAAAAAATATATAGTAGAGTTTTATAATATGTACATAGAAATATAGATAATATATAATATATATACAATATATATGTATATTATATATATATATAGCAGAGTTTATTAAGTATTAACTCACACAATCACAAGGTCCCACAATAGGCCATCTGTAGGCTGAGGAGCAAGGAGAGCCAGTCGGAGTTCCAAAACTGAAGAACTTGGAGTCCAGTGTTCGAGGGCAGGAAGTATCCAGCATGGCAGAAAGATGTAGACTGGGAGGCTAGGCCAGTCTCTCTTTTCACATTTTTCTGCCTGCTTTATATTCTAGCTGCACTGGCAGCTGATTAGATTGTGCCCACCCAGATTAAGGTTGAGCCTACCTTTCTTAGCCCACTAATTCAAATGTTAATCTCCTTTGGCAACACCCTCACAGACACACCCAGGATCAAAGCTCTGTATCCTTCAATCCCATCAAGTTCACACTTACTGTTAACCATCACAAGTCCACCCCTTGTCAACTTGAACCCATACACATCTCCTGAGATCATACATAATCTTCAAATAAAGACAATAATGTCATAATTACGCCTAACATAATATAGCTATCCTTCATGCAACTGGAAATGCACCAATCCCCAACTCAAATACAATTACACAAAGTTAACAATACTTAAATGCTGATGTGAAGTCAATAAATCTTATGTCACATGATAAAGGAGAAAGGCAATAAAATGAAGATATTTCTTGGTACAAGTGTATACATGCACAAACACGTTTTTAACAAAAGAAGGAGGAAATACTTATGACAATTACAGTCCTCATTTCTGTGGCTGGTCACATGTTCATAGCTGGTATTGATGCCTAAACCTTCTTCCACTACCCATTCTGTATTACCTTTGCCTTCAGCAAGCACCTCAGCAGGTTGTGTGGTTTTTTTTTTTTTCCTTGTGGAGTGACCCAAACCTTCATTCCTGAAGGGTCTGAATCATTTGTAGCCCTGCCTGGACTGGGCTGTTGTAGTTTCCCACTGACCGTAATCACAGGGCATGGTAATACTAAGAGACACCCTAATGGATCTCCTGTATTCCATGCATACTCTTCCTTACCTCCATTGCAGAGTAGTAGACTGATTTCATCTTGATAGCCTGGGTCAATCACCCCAGCCAACACTGTAACTCCCTTCTTAGCCTGTTGACTTAAAGGTAGGGGGAGCCCAAAATGTCTGGGTGGCAATCTTAACTTCTAGTTTAATGGAACCGTTTGTTGTGTCTCCTGGTGGCAGTGTTCCTTCCTCTGGAACTAGGACATCTAGGCCAGCAGCCCGTAATGTTGCGGGAACAGGAATCAAAAATTTTGCTAGTGGATCACTAGGGGTAATGGTGAGTGGTGCCACTTCCACTTCCACCCCTTGATTCCTGGAGCTGTGAATCCTGGCTATGGGAGAAAGAGTATTATATATTGGACGCTGATTCAGCACACACATGACCTTCTCTAGAACTTTGCCCCAGCCCTGCAATGTATTGTCACGTAGTTAGCATTGTAATTGTGACTTCAAAAGGCCATTCCATGATTCTAGCAACCCAGCTGCTTCAGGATGATGGGAACATGGTAAGAACAATGAATTCCATGAGCATGAGCCCACTGCTGCACTTCTTTAGCCATAAAGTGAGTGCCTTGGTCAGAGACAATGCTGTTTGGAATACCAGGAGAATGTATAGGGCATTCCATGAATCCCCAGATGGTAGTCTTGGCAGAAGCATTGCGTGCAGGATAGGCAAACCCATATGTGGAGTGTCTATTCCAGTGAGGACAAACCTCTGCCCTTTCCATGATGGAAGAGATCTAATAGAACCTGCCACCATGTAGTTGGCTGATCACCCCGAGGAATGGTGCCATATCAAGGGCTCAATGTTGATCTCTGCTGCTGGCAAATTGGGCACTCAGCGGTGGCCATAGCCAGGTCAGCCTTGGTGAGTGGAAGTCTATGTTTCTGAGCCCATGTGTAACCTCCATCTCTGCCACCATGGCCACTTTGTTAATGGGCCCATTGGGTGATGGCAGGGGTGGCTGGGGAAAGAGGCTGAGTGGTATCCACAGAACGGGTCATCCTATCCACTTGATTATTAAAATACCTCCTCTGCTGAGGTCACCTGTCGGTGAGCACTCACATAGGATACAAATATCTTCACAATTTTTGACCATTCAGAGAAGTTTATTCACATACCTTTTCCCCAAATTTGTCACCAATTTGCCATTCACGCTTCTTCCAAGTCCCTGACTATCCAGCCAAATCATTGACTACAGCCCATGAATCAGTATATAACCACACATCTGGCCATTTCTCCTTCCACGCAAAGTGCACAACCAGGTTCACTGCTCAAAGTTCTGTCCACTGGGAACATTTCCCTTCACCACTGTCCTTCAAGGATGTCCTAGAAAGGGGCTATAGTGTTGCAGCTGTCTACTTTCAGGTGGTGCCTGCATATAGGGAAGAACTATCTGTGAATCAGACCCTAGTCTTCTCTTCCTCTGTCAACTGATCATAGAGAATTCCTCATGAGGTCATCGGTGCAGGCTGGGGGAGAGAAGGGAGGGTGGCAGGAGTGGACACCATAGGCATTTGAGCCACTTCCTCATGTAACTTACCTGTGCCTTCAGGACCTGCTCAAGCCTGATTACGTATACACCACTTCCATTTGATGATGGAATGCTGCTGTGCACAACCCACTTTATGGCTAGATGGGTCAGAAAGCACCCAGTTCATGATAGGCAGTTCAGGTCACATGGTGACTTGATGACCCATAGTCAAACGTTCAGTTTCCAACAAGACCCAGTAACAGGCCAAGAGCTGTCTCTCAAAAGGAGAGTAGTTATCTGCAGATGACAGGGCTTTGCTCCAAAATCCTAGAGGCCTCTGCTGTGATTCACCTATGGGGGCCTGCCTAACAGCATCCCTATCTGCCACTGATACCTCAAGCATCATTGGATCTGCCAGGTCATATGGCCCAAGTGGCAGAGCAGCTTGCACAGCAGCCTGGACCTGTTGCAAACACTTCTCCTGTTCTGGACCCCATTCAAAACTGGAAGCCTTTCAGGTCACTTGATAAGTGGGCTGGAGTAACTCACCCAAATGAGGAATGTGTTGCCTCCAAAATCCAAATAGGCCCACTAGGCACTGTGCCTCTTTTTTGTTTGTAGGAGAGTCCGAATGCAGCAACTTATCCTTCACCTTAGAAGAAATATCTTAACAGGTCCTACACCACTGGACCCCTAGAAATTTTTACTGAGGTAGAAGGGTCCTGAATTTTAGTCAGATTTATTTCCCATCCTCTGACATGCAAATGTCTCACCAATAAGTACAGTGTATTTGCTACTTCTTGCTCACTGGGTCCAATCAGCATCATGTCATCAATATAATGGGCCGGTGTGACATCTTGCAGAAGCTAAAAGCAATCTATGTCTCTCTCAACAAGATTATGACACAAAGCCAGAGAGTTGATATATCCCTGAGGTAGGACAGTAAAGGTATATTGCTGGCCTTGCCAGCTGAAGGCAAATTGCTTCTGGTGGGTCTTATGGGCAGGAACGGAGTAAAAGGCATTTACCAAGTCAGTGGCTGCATACCAGGTAACAGGAGATGTGTTAATTTGCTCAAACAATGAAACCACATCTGGTACAGCAGCTGCAATTGGAGTCACCACTTGGTTAAGCTTGCAATAACCCACTGTCATTCTCCAAGATCCATCTTCTTCTGCACAGGCCAAATAGGAGAGTTGAATGGGGATGTGGTGGGAATCACCCCCCCTGCATCTTTCAAGCCCTTGTTGGTGGCACTAATCTCTGTAGTCCTTCCAGGGATACAATATAGTTTTTGATTTACTATTTTTCTAGGTAGAGGAAGATCTAATGGCTTCCATTTGGCCTTTCCCACTGTAATGGCCCTCACCCTATCAGTCAGGGAGTCAATGTGGGGGTTCTGCCAGCTGCTAAGTATGTCTAAGCCAATTATGCATTCTGGCACTAGGGAAATGACCAAAGGATGAGTCCAGGAACCCACTGGACCTACTGTAAGTCAGATCTGAGCTAAAAGTCCATTAATTACCTGAGCTCCATAAGCCCCTACTTTTACTGGAGGACCACAATGACATTTTAGGTCCCCTGGAATCAACGTCAGCTCAGAGTCAGTGACCAGTAGTTCCTAAAACGTCTGATCATTTCCATTTCCCCAATGCACAGTTACCCTGGTAAGAGGCCAAAGGTCGCTTTGGGGAAGGATGGGAAAAAGATTGAATGCACAAATTGTTGGTAATGTAGTGGGGTCCTTTCTTAAGGGAATCTGGCCTCCCCTTCATTCAAGGGGTTCTGGGTCTGTAAACTGGCTCAAGTCTGGAAATTGATTGAGGGGCCATGATTCTCTGTTTTTATAATTCAAATTAGCCTTTTGTCCATTTGACATAGAAGTTTTCTGGTTATATAAATTAAGTAGGAATGTAGTAGGCTTCCTATAAATTTCTCTTCCATGAACACCATGATTAATTAGCCAATGCCAGAGCTCTACACAAGTCGGACTATTCTGATTGCTGCTTTGCTTCTTCTGTCCATTACGGTAGCTCTGCCCACCTTGCCTTTGAGAGTTGAGTGCCGCCATTTGGTCCCTGCCACCTCGGGATCCAATTATTCCCATTGTATTTAAATTTCGTACTTGAGTGGCTGTGCTTCCCACTGTTACATCTGACGTACAGAGAAGAACAATTATAGGGCTCTTCAAAGATGCAGGTGCTGATCTCACAAATCTATTTCACAAGCCATTGGTCAAGCGTATATCTTCTGGACCCTCCCAGCAGGGATGAGTAGGTCTAAGGTGACTAATCCACTCCAGCATCCCATTCTCCCTAAGCCTTTGGGTCCCCCTTCCTCTACATTAAACCAAGAGAGATCAGGCATTTCCAGTTTACTCACAGTGGGCCATTTTTTAATCCACATTTCAGCTAACCAAAAAAATAAACTATTAGAACCTTTTTTAACTTGCTGAGCTGCAACATTAAATGCAGAGTCTCTACTTAGTGGGCCCCAAACAATAAATTCAGGCTGATCCAACTTTATGTTCCTTCCACCATTATCCTACACCCTTAATATCCATTCCCATGCCTGTTTTCCAGATTTCTGCTTATATAAATTAGAAAACTCAAAGTAGTTTTTATCAGGTGTAGTGTACCTCCTCATGGGTCACATTCTCAATCTCACCTCTAGGGGCCCACTGAGACTTTAGTCTAGTTATAGGTCTAGAAGCAAACAGGGATGTTGGGCGTAGCTTCTGAGGATAATCAACATTATCTTGCCTGGCAACTGCCTCAGGGAAGGCCATCACTGTTACCTCAGGCAGTGCAGGGTTTATCTCCTCAGACAAAGGTGGAAAGGCTGATGGCAGCATGAGTCAGGGAAGGGATGTTGCCACTACTGGGGATGGGAAAGCTGTTTCTTCTGTCCAAAAAGTTTCATCAGAGTTTACAAAGTTAGTTTCCCCAGCTTCATCAGGGTCCTCCCACACGTCCCCATTCCAAGTTGCAGGGTTCCATTCATTTCCAATTGATGCTCTCACTTTAACAGTAGACACCTGGCAAGGCTTTTGTTGCAGGTCAGCCACTAACATGATAAAAGTTTGTGTCTGTTTTTCCACAATTTCAGAGATTTCTCTACAGGAGATAAGACCTTCACTCAGGGCAATCTTAGGAGATTTGAGGCTCAGTATCTGCTTCTGAAGCTAGGAGATAGAATCTCTGAGTTCATTTTTTTTCATCACTTTGTCCACTGAACTTAGGAGCAACCAACCAGCTTCATTATGTTCCTTGGTTCTCCACATATGGTCAAAGGTATTACGTATAGAGTCACTAAACTCCTGGCCTCTCATAAGCAATGAATCAGGAGTGTCAAATGCATTTGTTTTGGGTAACTCTCTAAATAGTTCATTCCAAGGACTATCAGTTCTTCATACTATTAGAAGTAGAGTCCTTAGCATTTTGATGTCTAATCATATTAAGCAGCCAACTCTAAAACCCCAAAACCAATGAAAGACCTCCATCCTCAGTATTCTGTTACTCTAGAACCACTCCTGGTACCAAAATCTGTATTAGTTAGGGTTCTCTAGAGGGACAGAACTAATAGAATATATATATGGAATGTATACACACGGAATACACACACATGGAATGTATACACACGGAATACACACACATGGAATGTATACACACGGAATACACACACATGGAATGTATACACACGGAATACACACACATGGAATGTATACACATGGAATACACACACATGGAATGTATACACATGGAACACACACACATGGAATGTATACACATGGAATACACATGGAATGTATACACATGGAATACACACACATGGAATGTATATATATGGAATATATATATAATATATATATGGAATATATATATATGGAATATATATATAATATATATGGAATATATATATGGAATATATATATAATATATATGGAATATATATATAATATATATGGAATATATATATATGGAATATATATATATGGAATATATATATATGGAATATATATATATGGAATATATATATGGAATATATATATGGAATGTATATATGGAATGTATATATATGGAATGTATATATGGAATGTATATATATGGAATGTATATATGGAATGTGTATATATATGGAATATATATATGGAATGACTATACATGGAATACATATCTATGGAATATCAATATATGGAATAACTATATATGGAATATATATATAAAAGGGAGTGTAGTAAGTATTAACTCACATGAGCACAAGGTCCCACAATAGGCTGTCTGCATGCTGATGAGCAAGGAAAGCCAGTCCAAGTTCCAAAGACTGGAACTTGGAGTCTGATGTTTGAGGGCAGGAAGCATCCAGCACAGGAGAAGGAAGCAGGGTGGGAGGTTAGGCCAGTCTCTCTTTTCATGTTTTTCTGCCTGCTTATATTCTAACCCAGCTGGCAGCTGATTAGATTGTGCCCACTCATATTTAGGGTGAGTCTGCCTTACTCAGCCCACTAACTCAAATGTTAATCTCCTTTGGCAACACCCTCACAGACACACCCAGCATCAATACTTTGTATCCTTTAATCCGATCAAGTTGACACTCAGTATTAATCATCACAATAAGCTTTCCTGGGTCTTCAGTTTGCTGATTGCAGATCTTTGGACTTAGTCTCCATAACCACATGAGCCAATTCCCTATAGTAAATCAATCAATCTCTCTTTCTCTCTCCATATGTGTGTGTGTGTGTGTGTGTGTGTCTATATATATATATATATATCCCAGACCAATACAGAGATCCAAATGGGAATATCAAGTAATCAGTTAGATATGCAAGTCTGGAGATAAGAGGTAAGCTTTATATTAAGGGTATCTATTAGATATTCATCAGAGTATGTATTAAGTTTAAACTCTCAAACTTGATGAGACTGTAAGTGAAGAAAAGAGACAACCACAGAAAACACTCTGGAGCTGTATAGTATTTAGACCCAGAAACTTCCTCCTATCTACACAGAAATAGCACATTAGCTACTCAATATATATTATGTAAATGAATAAATTTGTTACCATAGGAACTGCCTAATTTATTAGAAAATAATTACTATGCCAGCCTGGTCAAACACACCTAATTTGTGTACTATATATGTAAGCTTTATCATCCTGACTTTATGCTAACAAATACTGGGGATCAGTAAATTTTAACTCTCCATTTTATTATATTTATTTCAATATATTTTACCCACTCCCAGACAGTCTTTCTATAATACTTGTGAATTTCACAATACTGGCTTGGGTCAGGGGAAATCTTGAGTTGATTCCATCTAGTCCCCATTCAATTAGGAATATGAGGTGGAAGCTTTTCCTTCCATAGTGCCCCTGTCTATTTTTTACATCCAGGTGATCAAACCATTGTTTTGAGGAGCTTATGACTATCCTGATTCACCATAATTCGTAAAGGACTGAACAAAATATTAACAGACAAATGGCACTCCTTCTTATTCATTGATGAGCCACAGGGAGTCAGATGTTAATGGGGCACCCTCACAGGAATTATTATAGTAGGTTAATGAAACTCTATCCTGCAGGAAGTTCACAGTGTTTATTTGAATGGCAACAGAAGGCCTGTTGCACATTGACTTGTTTCCCACTTTTGATTAATGGGTTGCATTTGGATATACTTTGGGCTCTCTTTAGTAGATAATTCCTTTCTGTTCCATGAAGTACATCCTAATTTAGCATCTCCCTTTATAGTTATGGCCCCTCTAATTTTCCTCCCCAATATCAGCTTTATAAATTCTCATCTATTCTCATGTTTGGAGTTTTATGGCTCTTGAATTACTGTCTTTCCAATGGTTATTTATAGGTAAATATTGTGTCCTCTTGCTTTAGGTTATTTTGCTGTTGTTGTTACTATTTAAAGCTGAACTCACAGTATTCAAGAAAATTACTTCTCTTTCAGGAGCTGTCTACTAACTTATTTCTTTTACGTAGTGACTTCTCTCTTACTAAGGCAGTTAGTAAAATTGAATCAATGGCTTTGGAGGTTGGGGAAGGCAAAGGGTAACTAGAAAAATGTGGAAAGAAAAACCTTAGATAATCTTTGGAAAGAGTATTCATTGGTAAACTGTTTCAGATAAGGGATATTCAATGTTATACAATTAGCTCTTCATTTTAAAATTGTGTATTGTTCAAAGGAAAGTTCTAGAGCAAAGTATATAGCTTTTGATATACAGAGAGCAGAAAGGCTTTACCACCCGTGTACATTCTTTTATCTGGGTATGAAATTACTATCTGTGAGCTATGACCTTAATTGGCTCCAAGGGGTCATACTTTGGGTTCCTGCAGGAGACCCTGAACAAAGGATTTGAGTACAAGTTTATGTAGAAATATCCCAAGAGGTGGGAGTGGAGCAGTAAGAGAGGGAAAAGAATGAAGCCAATCCTGGCACATTAGTGAGCAGGTTAACACTATGTGCAACTGGGGCTCAAATCCTGCTGGAACTCTCTGGGAGACTGTACAAAATGCACTTCATAGGGGCCTGGAAAAGTAAGGAAGCTTGTGGGTTTGTCATTCAAAGCTTACTTTTCACTGGCTGAGTTCTCCTCTGGGAATCAACTTACTACTAGTCTGGCCTGCCTCACATGGACCAATCATATAAAAAAAAATCTTTAAGCATAGCAATGCAGGGGCTTGCAGTAGAAAGCTATTAACATTCTTAATGCAGAGACAGTATGAGTAGGGCACTTCAACAACCTCCAAATCTTAATGGCTTAAAAATGACAACAACAACAACAAAAAAAGGTTTTTCTCACTAACACTACAAGTACATCACAAGTTGGCAAGAGAGTTTGTTCAGTGACATCCTTACTCTAGGACTCAGCTGATTGGAAATGGGCAATCCTTGTGCAGAAGGAAAGAGAGCTGTGAAGGATAGAACACAAGTAATTAAATTCTCCTGCCTAAAGGCAACACACACCATTTCTGACAACTCATTGTCTGGAAATAGTCACATGACTTCTCTCAAAACCAAGAGAGCCAGGAAATTCAGTTCTGCATGTGTATGGTTAAAAAAAAAGAAGAGGATAACTTGATATTAATGAGCAGCACAGTTTACCTCAGTTTCCCTTCTAGTCACCAAATACTTGGTTAAGTTTCCTCACATGCAAAATATACTCACCCTTTCCCTAAAGAAGCCACCCAAAGCTTCCCTCAGGTGACAGATTCAGATTACCCATCCCCTTTCCTGTGAACCCAGTAAACAATGGCAGAACAGGAATAGGATAATTGTAATAAACAGTTTCATTTGGAAATGGGAACAATGAGAGATACAAAACAGATACCAATCTGTGGCAGTTCACCTGTCCTACTTGTCAGATACTTTGAGAGCCACCTATGGGGGAAAGATATATTCCTTGACTAGGCTCCAATCCTGCTTTAAAGAGCAGCTCCCTTGTTTGTTTTCTGCATGGACCAGGGCTTTATATTATGGAATATCATTCATTTTCCATTACTGTTTTAGTCAGATCTAAATGGAGTGTTGAGGTATTTCCTCCCTAGGGACTGAGTAGGCTTTGTAGTCTGTTGCTTACCTATAGAAGGGTGAGGGCCCACAGGTTATTTTATGTCTTGAGCAAGCACAGTTCCCTTTAGTCTAAAAAATGATTCCTTTGTCAAATGACTCTCCTAAAAATGTAGAAAGTTACTCATATGTATTTGATTCTACCCTGTTCCATTTGTCAATCATCACACTCAAAATTCTTTTCAAGACTCATCCTCATGTATGATATATTTTTTTCCCAGCTTACTCCATGCCTTTGCCTTTCCATTTGTTTGGCTTTGATGGGGGAGTCACACTGTTAGTCTTTTTTTCCCCTTTGAGGTATTTTCTCTAACTGAAAGGACTTGCTGGGTGTTACTTTAATTCATTCGGAGGTTTTTAAATAGTGTAATAGCCACACCCTTGATTTGACTCTTGCTGCAAATCTGTTTTAAATTTTTGTCATTCAAAGCCATTCTCAATTTTTTTGAGATCGAGTCTTGCTCTGTTGCCAGGCTGGAGTGCAGTGGCATGATCTTGGCTCAGTGCAACCTCCACTTCCTGGGTTCAAGCGATTATCCTGCCTCAGTCAGCCTCCTGAGTAGCTGGGACTACAGGCATGTGCTACCATGGCCAGCTAATTTTTGTATTTTTAGTAGAGGCGAGCTTTCAACATGTTGGTCAGGATGGTCTCAATCTCTTGACTTTGTGATCCGCCCGCCTTAGCCTCCCAAGCCTTTCTCAGTTTTATTTGTCATTATTTGAGGCTAAGAAGCAATTGTTTCCAAGATACTTAGAAGTTTCTAAAATTGTGAGCCCTCCTTATTCTATTTTGTTCCTTTTTGAAACCTGGCCAATTCATTTCTCTGCTCTTTTCTTTTTTTCTGATACCTTGCTGAGCACAGATATTAGCAAGCAATACATACTGATGACATTCTGTTTTTCTACCTCTTTCCCGTTGCTAAAATTTCATTAAGTGCATGATTGGACTTCCAAGTTGTTATAGACATCAGTTCTACCAAATGTTTTGCCAGCATACAATATGGCAACTATTCTAACTCCTCAGAATAGTTTCCTTCCCACCCACCACCTGACCCCTAAGCTAATGGCACTTATTTTAGGCTTTTTTTGTGTGTTGTCACCTCACTTCTAGGCATATACTTCTGTATCAGTCAAGATATAATAAATTATGCTGTGATAAGGAACAGCCTCAAAAATCTCAGTGGCTTAAAATAACAAAGATTTATATGTAAATCATGCTGGGAGCTTTTCTTGGTGTCATCTTGCTCTAATAACGTGCTAATTGAGAAGCCATTATCTTAAAATTTGCCATCACAGAGTGAAAATATATTCTGGAAAGTTTCACATAAGTAATTAAATACTCCAATTCCGAATGGACACATCACTTTTGTTCACAACTCATTGGCCAGATATAATAATATGGTGCCACCCAGTCACCAAAGGGTCGTAGAATTCAGATTCCCCAGTACTAGAAGGAAAAAAAGACCAGATACTTATTAAGCATAGTAATGAATACCAGAGCCAATCACTAGGCGTAGAGCCTGAGTAGAAGAGACTCACACAGTGCCCTCCCACCTCCGGGGACCTCAGATAGGGAAGCAATGATTCTCGCCATCTGTGTATGCTCAGCAGGCATTACCCACTCATGCAGCCATATGTGCATGGTTCCAATCTTTTGCCACTTCCTAACTACTTGGAAATGTAGGATTTAGGGACCATTAAAATTGCAGAGACACAAAATGTCAGTAGTTGAGAAAACTTTTGATATCATATACTCCAACTCTTATTTTTAGAGATAAGAAAACTGTATTTATTAATGTTGACCACTAACAATTTATACCACTAATAATGACCAGTTACTGAACATTTGCTATGTTCCAGGAAGGTTGCTAAGCAATCAACATGTTTTCTCATGTAATTCTCCAAGCAAATCAATGAAGAGTTATTACTATTTTTAGGTTCTCTTTCTATATTAAAAAACTGAGACTGGAGGATGTCCAAGGGCTTACCTAAGATAGCACAGACAACAAATGCTAGGGTTTGGAATAAAATGCAAATCTGCCTGGGTCCAACATGCTTGTTGTCAAACATTGCATCATACCTCTTCCTATGTCTGGTAATTCATTTATCATTATTAGATTTTCATTTTCAGCACCTTATATTGTCAAGTCCACTTTTCCCCTTGATATCAAAATGCAATGTTTCTGAGTTATGGCATAACTATACAGAAATACTTTTGCTGAACTGATGCCAATAAAAACTGAATCCCCAAATCCCAAGATGTTTAATTATTGTGTCCAGATGCTGGGATGACAAGTTTTATTTACACATCCCTCATTTGTTTCCATGCTTGGTCTGGTTACTCTTTGCTCTGCAACTGTCCTTGGGGGCATTTCTGCTTAATGGAACAGCAAAATCAATAAGCGGGACTGTTTTATTAGCCTCAACAAATGGCAGAATAACTGTCCTGATGGCCACATTTTGGTAGATCTATTATCAGGGCTTTGGTGCTCTGCATTTTAAAATAGGCTTTTGTCAGAGAAAGCAGATTGAAAGATGAAAAGAGAATCCCAATAAAATTATGAAAACCCCTAGATCCAGCCATGGCTGAAGTCAGGTAACTTCCATATTCTTCCAGATAAAATCTTTTTTTGTTCTCTTCAGGCAGTTTGGGTATAGGTGTAGTTAGTTAAAAATTATATCATTGATTTAATTTGTGTTGAAGTCCATTAGTTATACTTTCCAGTCTTCATTTAACTTCATTTGAATAAATAGCTTCTTCTACCCCAAATCTATATGAAGAAGACTTTAAAGGACACAAATTCATTCCCATTTCTAAGTTATAAAGCCTATGTTTGCATTTCTTTTGTAATTTGGCAATATTACTCAACCTTCTACAAAATAATGTTCACTTCAAAATTACTTATACACATTGTTATACTTTGATGTCAGCTTTTATTATAGGTCATTAAAATAAACAGCCTATATTAGTTTCCTATGGCTGCTGTAACAAATTGCTACAAACAGTGGTTTAAAACCACTTAATTTATTCTTTTAAGGTTCTGGAGGCCAGAAGTTAGACATTAGTGTCACTGAGCTAAAGTCAAGGTTTCGGCAGGGCTGTGCCTCCTTAGATGGCTCTAGGGGAGAAAACTTTTCCTTCCCTTTTGCAGCTTCTAATGCTATATTCCTCACATTCCTGGGTTACGGACACTTCCTCTATTTTCAAAACCAGCAGCACAGAATCTTCAAGGTCTCTCTTCTGTCATATCACCTTTTCCTCTGCAGCACTATCTTCCTTGGCCTCTCTCTAATAAGGATGAATGTGAGAACACTTAGGGCCCATCCAAATAATATAGGCTAATCTCCCCATCTCAAAATCTGTAATTTAATTATATCTTTCAGTATATAAGGCAATACTTACCTATCTTTTTTCCATATAAGGCAGTACCAAAGTTCCCAGGGATTAGAAAGTAGATATCCTTGGGGGTCATTGTTTAACACAGAGCCTTACAGAAACTGCTTCTGCATGTGTTAAAAACCCTAATTCGAGGGTAGTGTTTCCTCAGATATTTTCCTATACTTTAATAATGCAGTTTTGAAGTTCATCTTGGCAAAAATTTTATCTTAAATATAAGAGAAATGTGTGGTTTTATACATTTTATGTAAATTTTTAAGGTTTCCTTTTTGTCTCGTCCGGAATTCCAGGAAGCTCATTGTCTAATTTGCTGCCCAATAAAGAAAGTACACTAATCTTATGGGCAACATATCTACCTCTTCTTCCTTTGTGGTTTTGACTTTTAAATTGTAATATTCTGTTAACCATAGGTTACATATATGTGTATAGTATTTTGTGTGTGTTCATGTGTGTGTGCATTACTG
Organism: Homo sapiens; assembly: GCF_000001405.40. Taxonomy (NCBI): domain Eukaryota; kingdom Metazoa; phylum Chordata; class Mammalia; order Primates; family Hominidae; genus Homo; species Homo sapiens. The sequence continues at coordinate 109,509,830 of NC_000011.10, forward strand.
TAAATCATTTCAGTCTTTTAAAAACCTATTACCAGGGCACCAGGCAATGTGCTAGAAATACAAGTTTCACGTAGGCCAGAAGAGAAGGTGTATGTGTAAACAGGATAAAATAAAACATGTATTGAACAATGATATAAGTAATGTTTTCTTAGGGTGAAGTAAGGATTCCTAGGAGAGGTGGTGGTATTAGAATTGGGGTTTTCAGGTAAAAAAAATTCTGAATAGAATAGATGAAGGGAAAGCAGATACATGAGCCATTTATGCCTAGTATTCCATTACTGGAACACTAAGCATGTTGGAGTTATTTATATTCTATAGCTCAAGGTCATCAGCAAGGTCTGATTGCAAAAACTCAATAAATTGCAACCTCAGACATAAATGGGTTAACAAATTCCACATTGAAGGGAGCATTCTTTTTATTATTTCATATAAATATTTTTGGGGACTTTAACATAAGACAGGCATAGTTCTAGGCACCGGGGATACCAGAATCAACAAAAGAGATAAAGACCTAGTCTCATGGTATTTGTATTTAGGAAAGAGGTGATAGACAATAAACATAAACAAATAAATGTGTAGCCAAGTTAAAATAGTAAAAGATGTCGTAGAGGAGATTTGCCTTCCAGGAACATAGAGATGGCCTATACAGCTGGAAAGCACCCAGAGAACATCCAGCTGTTCTCAAGCAGGGGTGAGTTTGTCACCCAAGGGACATTTAGCAATGCATGGAGACATTCTTAATATTCACATCTGGGGAGATGCTACTGGCATCTACTTGGTGGAGGCCTGAGAGACTGCCAAACATCCTACAATGCACTGGACAGACTCACAGGTCAAAGAATTATCTAACCCCATTTATCAGTAATGTGGAAGCTAAGAAACTCTGGGCTAGATCTTAGAGGAAGAGAATGAAACTGGTAAAAGTTAAAGTCACTGAGGTTGGCAGTTGCCAGCATGTAAGAGTTTGTTGGCATTAGTAGCCATTTTAATTTCATTCTAGGTTTAAAGGAAAGCTACTGGAAAGCATCAATCAGGGATGCTAAATGATCTAATTTACATTTTGAATAATTATTTCAGCTGTTGGGTGTAGAATGAACTGTAGTTGATTCCACAAGAATCAGAAAGAACAATAAGAAAGCTATTAAAATAATTCATGTGAACTAATCATGAAGACCACAATGCTTTTAAAATATGTCCTCAAATTCTTTGATACAAGTATCAAAAATATGTTTTGATCTTTGATACAAGTATCAAAGATATGTTTTGACTGTGTCCCCACCCAAATCTCACCTTGTAGTCCTATACTCCCATGTCGTGGGAGGGAACAGGTGGAGATTATCACGGGGGTTGTTTTCCACATGCTGTTCTCACCAGATCTGAAGGTTTTATAAGGGGCTTCCCCCTTCACTGGGTACTCATTCTTCTCCTTCCTGCCATCAGGTGAAGAAGGATATGTTTGCTTCCCCTTCTGCCATGATTGTAAGTTTCCTGAGGCTTCCCCAGCCATGCTGAACTGTGAGTCAATTAAACCTCTTTCCTTTATAAATTACCCAGTCTCAATATGTCTATTATCAGTGTGAGAATGGACTACTACAATACTCCTCCCTCCAAGAGGTAGAATTTAATTCCCTTCCCTTGAGTGTAGGGCAGATTTAGTAACTTGGGTCTAATGAATAGAATATAACGGAAGTGACAGTAGGACTTCTGAGATTAAGTTGTACAAGGGTTGTGTCTTCCCCTTTGGTCAATTTCTGAGGAAAGACAGATGATAATGTCAGAAGAAACTCAAGCCTTATAAGAAATTCCATGTGGTGAGGAACAAAGGCCTCTGTCCTACATCATGCAAGAGACTGAAGCTTCTATTAAAAAGCATGTAAATAAGTCATCTTGGAATCAAGCTGTCAGCTGCAGTTAAGTCTTTACATTACTACAACAACCCTGGCTAATGCCTCAGGAGACTCTGAGGCCAAATCACCCAGCTAGGTGACTCCTGGATTTCTGACTCACAAAAACTGTGAGGTAGTAAATGTTTATTGGGGTTTAGGGATATTTTGTAATACTGCAACAGATACCCAACACAGGGAAGCATCTGAGGCAGCTTAGGGGCTTGCTGAAGACAAAGGGAATATAGGATGTGTAATAGAGAAAGATAGCAACAAATTCTAGATATAGTCATGTAGTTATACAGTAATAATTATAAGAAATTCTTCCATTGTTTGATATGTTTCTATATATAAAACAAGTGTCTTGTTTTCTTCTTCTCTCACATTTTGTTCCCATCTAATACAAGACATGTTAATAATAATTTACTTTATACTCTAGATTTAAGTTTCAGGAGTGTGAACAGCTAAAAGAAGAATTAACATTACTCAAAGACTAAGGAGGATTTTGCATTTTGGGGGGCAAAAATGTAAGCATGTTTTCAACAGTAAGTGGGATAGCTGTCTTGTGTTAAGTGGAGGCATAATTTTGTTATAATCTTTATTTGGAAATTAGTATAGCTATGTTTCCAAGAGGTGTGCATGGCTGCCAAATTGGCAAGGTGTGTGCTGTGGTGACTTTGTAATGAGTCAAGTTGCCTAGGCTGAACTAAGTTTCTCAGAATTATCCTTTCCGTAAGTTTCTGGTTAGGGTGAGCCACAAGAGACATTTTATAAGTGTGAGATTTAGAAGTGACATCATAGCCATTTTGTCTTTTACACTCAATAGCTCAAGGCAGATGATTTTGCAGCTCACATGCAAGGCTTACCTGCTGGATTACCTGCTTGGCATGGTGCAGTAATTAGGTCTGCCACTGTTAGAACTTCCTCTGTATTTTCCTTCAACTTCTCTGATCCATGGGCCAGGAGCGTTGTTAGCTGTGTGATAAAGGGCACCAGCTTCTCCCTCAGGACACCTGAGCCACAGGAGACAGTAAGGACAGACATGGATTTGGTTCATCCTGCGGGTTTCCCCAGGCCCCACATTTCACATTTATGTTCGTTTTCTGCCAACTGCCTGTGCTGTAGACTTTAAGCTCCTGCAGCAGGCACATGGACAACAGCTGTAGAGAAACTGTTTAACCCACTTCCTCAATCAAGTAAGGTCAAACCCCTGCAACAGAGAACACACACACACACACATACACATACTCTCTCTCTATTTCTCTCACTTTCTAGTGGATCACCTTTAAATGAATCCTGACTAATGGTATTAGAGGAGAGATGGTGAGAATTGGTTGGATTTACAACATAGTTTGAAGGTAGAATCAATCATACTTCCTGGGGGTTTTGATATGGGGATTGAAAGAAAGAGAAGAATTGAGGAGGACATTTGGGTTCATGATCTAAACCACTAGGTGAAACTAGGAAGAATAGGGGCAGGGAAGTGATGGTTAATAAAAAGCTTTGCTTTGGACACTCTATATTTGAGATGTGTAGACATCCAAGTGAAGGTCTCAAGCAAGTATGTAGATACACAAACGTAGCTCAGAAAAGAAATCCAAGTTAGAGATAAAGAATTAGGAATCAGGCTGGATGTGGTGGCTTATGCCTGTAATTCCAGCACTTTGGGAGGCCAAGGAAGGAAGATCACTCTGTCCCAGGAGTTCAAGACCAGCCTAGGCAATCCAGCAAGACCTTGTATCTACAAAAAATATAAAAGTTAACTGGGCATGATGGTGCACACCTGTGGTGCTGGTTGGGAGGCTGAAGTGAGAAAATTGCTTGAGTGTGGGAGGTCAAGGCTGCAGTGAGCCGTGAGCACTTCAGCCTGGGTGACAGAGTGAAATCCTGTCTCAATAATAATAATAATTAATAATAAGACATATTAAGCCTGTACATGATATTTAAAACAATGGAACAGGATTTCTCTGGGGAGACAGTGTAGATGGAGAATACAAGAGAGATAGAGACAAAACCCTACAACATTTAGAGATAAATAAAAAGTGGAACCGACAAGGGAGACTGGAAGGGAGCAGTTAGGAAGGTAGAAGTGAAATGAAGTGAATGTGTTTGAAAAGCCAAGAGCAGAGAATATCTGAACAAGGAGCAAAAACATGCCCCAGAGCTGCTGATGTTCCTGGGACCAAGGGGAGTCCCCAAACTCTAGGCATTCTACATAAGATCCACTCCTTCATCTCCATACTTTAATTGGCTGGAGTTGAGAGTGGATCTAGAAGCCTGCATACTCTTCACCTTCCCTTTCTTCCAACAGCATTCAAGATTGCCACTGCTCATCTCACCAAGCTACTTACCCTTTTGACTAACTTAAACACTAACCTCTGGAAGCCCAGACTCCCTGGGTCATTTTTCTCCCATCCCCTGAAATCACCTTTCCTATGGTTTGTTACCTCCTGTCATCCCCCTCAACTTCAAACATCAACTCTTTTCTCACAGAAACTCCTGAAACATTCCCACCCTACAGCATGCTAGTCAGTCTCCAGGAAAAGTCCTTATTTTTCCAACATCCTCTGAACTGAAGCTTGGCTGACTCTCCCCTGAAGTTTCAGCTTGCCATGTAGCCCTCTCAAGTGGTAGCATTTTACCTCTCACATTCTACAAACCATAGGGGGTGTGTATTGAATGCCCTCTTGTCTTCCACTTCCAAACTGGAATTGTTACCTGTGAATGACATGTAATCAGACTATTCTACCTTGTGGTCACTTAACTTACAACTCCCCCTGGAAACACCCCCTCCACTCACTCTTTAAGTTTTAGTTCCTCAATTATCGACTCACTCCAATACTACTCCTAACACAGTTCATGGAGAGGTCAATTTCCACGAAGACAATCTTCCCAACATACTGGAATGTTAGTTACTGGCTCATTTCACTTCCAATAATCCCCCATATTTCAGTTATCCACTCCCATACTTATAAATCCTATTTCATCATTACCAGTAAGTTCAACTTCTTCATTAACTCAATTTCAAAAGCCTTCTTGTTTCAGTTTAACCCCTAAAGTTCCCCACATTCTACTATCTTTCAGTTTCCAGGCCCTGCAGCTGACTGGTTTTACAACTGTTTCACTGTCTCCAACCCTGTCATGACCTCAATATCCCCCTTACCCTGTTTAAATTCCAAGGTTCATGATTATTCACTGTCTCTTGCATACATTCTCAAGTTCTCAAGCTTCTGAAACTTCTCTGTATTTATCATAGTTGTCTAGCAAAATCTCAGCCTTGGTTAAATCCAATATTTCATCTACTTTGTATCTGTATCCTAACAACTGAACATGGTTGGAGAAACTCCCAAACATTATAATTTAATTCATAACTATTAGCCTCAAAGAAGCCCCTCCTGTGGTTCTGCAATGAAAGTGAAAAATCATTTTCCTAGTTTTTTCATGCTCCTGCTCTTCTAGATGACAATTACAATTTAGGTTCAACAGTACAAGTTTGAAATGTAGGTAAATTGTGCATCATGGGGGTTTGGTTTACAGATTATTTCATCACCCAAGTGATAAGCATATTTGATAGGTAGTTTTTCAACCCTCACTCTCCTACTTCCCTCCACCCTCAAGTAGGTCCCTTGTTGTTTCCTTCTTTGTGTCTATATGTACTCAATGTGTAAGCTTCCACTTATGAGTGAGAATATGTGGTATTTGGTTTTCTGTTCCTGTGTTAGTTTGCTTAGGATAGTGGCCTCCAGCTCCATGCATGTTGCTACAAAGGACATGATCTCATGCTTTTTTATGGCTGAATAGTAGTCCCTGGTGTATATGTACCACATTTTCTTTGTCTAGCCTACTGTTGATGGGCATTTAGGTTGATTCCTTGTCTTTGCTATTGTGAACAATGCTGTGATGAACATATATGTGCCTGTGTCTTTACGGTAAAGTAACTTATATTACCTTGGGTATACATTCAATAATGGGATTACAGAATTGAATGGTAATTCTGCCTTCAGTTCTTTGAGAAATCATCAAACTGCTTTCTACAATGGCTGAACTAATTTACATTCCCACCAGCAGTGTGTAAGTGTCTCCTTTTCTCCACAACCTTGCCAGCATCTGTTAATTTTTGACTTTTTAGTCATAGCCACTCTGGTGTGAGATGGTATCTAATTGTGGTTTTGATTTCCATTTCTCAAATGATCTATAATGTTGAATTTATTTTCATATGATTTTTGGCCACACGTATGTCTTTTTTTAAAAAAAAAAAAAAAGTATCATGTCCTTCACCTACTTTTTTGTGTTCATTTTTTGCTTGCTGCTGTGTTTCTTATAGATTCTGGATATCAGGCCTTTGTTGGATGCTTAGTTCGCAAATATTTTCTCCCATTCTGTAGGTTGTCTGTATACTCTGTAGATAGTTCCTTTTTCTGTGCAGAAGCTCTTTAGTTTGAGTAGGTCTCATTTGCCAATTTTTGTTTTGGTGTCTTCAACATGAAATCTTTGTCAGGTCTTATGGCCAGAATGGTATTAAACTACAAGGGTACGATAAACCAGAACAGCATGATACTGGTACAAAAAACAGACATACACACCAATGGAACGGAATAGAGACCCCAGAAATAAGGCTACACATCTACAACCATCTGATTGTCAACAAAGTCAACAAAAACAATGGGGAAAGGACTCTCTATTCAATACATGGTGCTAGGATAACTGGTTAGCCATATGCAAAAGATTGAAACTGAACTCCTTCCTTACATCAGATACAAAAATCAACTCAAGAGGGACTAAAGACTTACATGTAAAATCCAAAACTATAAAAGCCCTGGAATATAACCTACATGACAATTTTATGCCATGTCCTTAAGCCTCTAACACCTTTACTCTCCTAAATCTCAGCTGATGGCTTTGCTTCCTATTTCACTGAGAAAGTAGAAGCAAAAAGAAAAAAAATGTTAAGGTCCTTGCCTCCACAAGTAACCATACACTTGCATTTGTGCCCACTTACTATGTCTTCCTGCCTGACCCTTCTACTCAAGATCAGCCCTTCCACTTGCGCACTAGGTCTCAGTTCCTCTCACTTACTCCAGGGCATATTTATGGCAAACTCCCTCTTCTCTCATGCATCATCAGACTCCCTTTATCAGCTCCCACTCTTTATTTTATCATAATCTTAGTTTAAGAACAGGCTATTATTTCTCCTGTCTTAAATAAAGCCTTTTTGACCCTAGTCTCTCTTCCAGCTACTACTCAATTTCTTTACCCCCAAATATTTATATATAGCAAACATTTCCAAATATTTACCTATATTTGCTATTGCTAATTTCTTTTCTTCCATTCTCTCTTGAACTCATTCCATTTAGGCTTTCGCCTCTCACTTATCCATTGAAGCTACTCTTATCAAAGTTACAATTGCCCTTCTTGATGTTATGTCTAATGGTTAATTTGTAGTGCACATCTTACTGGAACTTTCAGCTGCCTTTAACATAGTCTTTTTCTTGAATACTGTTCTTTCTTGGCCTCCTGAATTTCACACTATTTTTGGCCTCACAGGCTACTCTTTCTTAGCATTTTTGTCTGTTTTTTGCTGGTTCTTTCTCATCATATTGACTTCTGAATTTTGGAATCAGATAGGTTTTTCTGTTTGTTTGTTGAACCTGAATACACAGTATCATGAGAATTCCAACAGTGTTTGGTTTCCATGAATGAACCTTGAGGATGAATATTTTCCAGATAGCTCTGGAAGTGCCTTATGTCAAAATCTGTACTTGTTGATTACTTGCCCATCTCAAAGTATCCAATATACTGAGATCTTTTTTTTCCTTCTCCTATCTGCCTCAGCAGTATTTTAAATTGCTTATTAGAGCAGTTATGCATTCAGAATATTAATGAGGACTAGCACACTCATCTATTAAATTACAATGGCATGTTAAAATTCAGAAATTCTGTATCATCCTTATTTTGGAGCTTGGGCCGCTAATAAAGAAAACACAGTGTCAAGGTGATTTTCAGATCGTTTTAACAGACTAACTAATGTAAAAGGATAAGAATTTCTATCCTAGACTGCTTTCCATTTCAAAGTTGATGAGAACATTGTTCAGCTGGCAATAAAGATAGAAAATTTATAAGGGTATTCAAGGTAGATTATGGCGCAACCTAGCTGTTGAATTTTTCATCTGTATCATAAACAAAGAAGGATAAGAAACATTTACTCTGCGTTTCAAAAAACTACACATGAAAATAGACTGTGGAGTGGAAAACCAGCATAATTAATTTCCAGTCTTTAAAATGTCACTGCATTTTAGACACTTCTGTGTATGGTTTCTTGCTTTTTTTCTACTTTTTATTAAACTTTATAAAACTCCTATCTCATTTAGAGAACAAGTTACTGAAGAGCAGCAACGAACGTTTTATAGATCCCAATTACATTATAGATTCTGAGCTAAATGTCATCCCAGTATCTCGGTGTAGCAGTGATTAACCTGAGGAGATTTTCTTATCTTTATAACCTGCTTATGCTACAATACAAAGCCTGATAACAATTCCTAAGCCTAGGTAAGATGAATTATCATCATGGATGTTGGCAGAAAGTTAAAATTGGAAATGCAAAATAAACTGCTTGAAATTTTAGAGATTATGTATTATTACTGTAATGGATGTTTCCAGAGATTTGGGCACATACTCAGAAGATGGAGGGGAAGATTAAATCAAATATCTCTAACAGGGACATCAAGGGACCTTTAGAGGATAGAATGTTTATCTCCTCTGATGTCAAACTCTCTGACATCAACTGGATTCAACGGTGTCCTTGTCTTATCATCAGGTCAGTAGTTATTAATTTCATCTGATTCAGGTAAAATTTATGATAATATTTCACTTTTTGCCTTCCCTTACTGCTAATGTAAGGGACATCCCATTTTCTAAGTATTTTTTTTATTTCTTTATTTGTGTGTGCATATATATATATATATATATACACACACACACACACACATATACACACATATATAATTACAGTAAATTTCATCTCTGTCGAGTACTTTACAAGGTGTGCTATTGTTTAAGAAAGAGAAATGTCATTAATATTCATGGATCACTTTGGTTTAACAGATGGAAGATTCTTTTTAAATTCATCCTTAAAGTTGACTTTTTAACATCTACTATAACTTCTTCACATACAATAAATATTTATGCACGTTCAAGAAGGTTATAAAAACCACCTGTGATAAATGTTAATTATTAGCAAACTAACAAATGTACTCAGGCTCCTGCAAGACTCTGTTGCTCAATTATTATAGATGTAAATTAGAGACCTGAAGCCATAAACAAGGATACGATGCACTGGCATGGGGGAGAGCTGTGAGCAGCTGGTCACAGTGATGTTTTGTTTTGCCAGCATAGTATTTTCGCATTGATTTGCCAGCATTTAAAAATTTTGTGTTCACAAAGGCATCTGAATATCTGCTTCTTCTGAAATATTGGGGGATCTGGGAATACTTGGCCTATATTCAATGGTATGTATGCTGGTAGATGTTTACCATCCAGACTTCAAGAAAAGTCTTGATTTGTATCATTTGCCTATTTCTATGGTGTAAATACTATGCCACGGCTGATTTCTAGCTACCAAGGTGACCTTCTTTACTGGAGTTGGGAAGAAGTACACAGTCTGCTCTCACAAACTAGTATAGTTTCAGCACACCACTGTCTGTATTACTCCTCAACAAAATTGGCTGAAGTTACCAGTTGCCCCTTTTAGACAAGGTACAATCTCTCTGATTCGTGTTCTGCATCTCATCTGTGTCACTTATTCACATGACATACTAATTTGCATAGGAGTTTTGTTTGTGCTTGTGACCTCTGTCATAAGAAATAATTATGTTGAGACTCAAGGTCTGGAACCTTAGAATTATAAATAAGCTCAATGTTATTTCAAGTAGGCACTGTGTATTTAAGGCCTTAGGTTGAAAAGAGCTGACCCAATTAGAGAAACAGGATAAACTGGGGATAGAAAGAGCACACAGATGCAATGGACCAATATCCATGCCTCTGTAGCATGTAGCCCCAGTTTTTTCTGGAGAACTTGACCTTTGCAATGATTAGTAGCCAAAGATTGGGGCAGAAATGGTGTCAATGCTAGGATTCCAGTGCTGGATCATAAGAAAACTGCTGGTTTGGGAGGCAGCCTCCTGGACTGTGTAGAGATGACATCTTAGTCTGGGGTGCTATAAAAAATTACCATAGACCAGGTGGCTTAACAAAACACTTATCTCTGACAGTTCTGAAGGCTGAGAATTCCAAGATCTAGGTGCCAGTAGATCTTGTATGAGATGAGGACCCGCTTCCTGATTTGCAGCTGGTCATCTTCTTGCTGTGTTTTCATATGGAGGGGAACAGAGAGATAGAAAGCAAATCTTCTCATGTCTTTTTATAAGGGCACTAATCCCACTAAAGAGAGCTTCACCCTCATGACCCAGTCACCTCCCAAAGGCCCAGCCTTCTACTACCATAACATTGGGGATTAGGATTTTAACATATTCATTTTGTGGGGACACAAACATTCAGTCTGTTGCAGCTGATAACCTGAGTAAGCACCTAGTAATTTCAGTTGGCCTCATACCTCCCCATGTACCTCTGGGGAGGTGTGGCCAGGTAGCTGCCTGGTCTATAAGAGGGCTGACTTCCCATACCCACCCTAGCCCTTTGCATACTCCACTGCACTGCTTTCATGAACCAAGGCTAAGCCTGGCCAGAATTACCATATATGAGTATGAGGATTGTACTCTGCACAACTTTAGGGGGGACCTTTCCTATATAGACTATAATCTAGATGGTTTTCCCTTAGCCATTTAGTGCATAGCCTGTGAAACCTACCTGTGTAGAAATAAATTAAGACCAAACAAATGAGGACATGCAAAGGGTATTTATTCAGAGATTGCTATAGCAGGGAAGTCAGCCACTGTCACCTGCATTTGCAGAGACTCTTGGCAGGCAGAGGAGCGAGATAGCTTTATAATGGAACAAAAGGAAGGCCTCAGTACACCATGATTGGAGGTTGTTAGCAGAGGGAAGCTGTAGGCAGGCTAACTAGAAGCAGGGTATCCTATGGGATTGGTTCTAGGTGCATTATTTGGCTTTTTGTCGTTGGTTTTAAGTTGGAAGCAGGAACAAGAATTAGAAAAGCTGCCTTTTATTAATCAAACTCTGGACATTTGGAGCTGATCGTTATAGTAGTTATTATTTAGCTTCCTGGAATGTTACTAGAGATAGCAGTCCTGACTTCCTACAAGTCTGGCTTATAGAAGACTGGGCAGATTGCTGCAGGCTGTGGGTCAGAGTTCTATTTTAATATATGGTCTGGTCATTGTCCTGTGTATATCCAATCTGTCACCTGGTAGCCTATCTGCCTGATTGTCTACCTTTTCTCTGTTATACATTTTTATTTTTGAGGCTACTTGCAAATTGAGCCTTGTCAATACCAGGTCCTCTAACAGTCAAAATAATTTTTTACAATGGCATGTTCTAGGCAATGATGGGATATTGGTGGAGATGGGGTAGAATAGTCTATGTCTCATAGCTGCAAAAGAGCAGTAGGAATAAATAGAAGAGAAGGGTCAGCCCCACTCAGCAAATCATGTTTGAAGGCCAGTACTTCTTCAGCATTGGCTCATCATATTTTGGGATTGTCCAGCTTTTAACTTATGCCTTCACTGGATGAGTTTTTATCTAAAATGATAATTGACTTTAGCTACTCATTCTGAGATACTAAAATCAATGAAGGGGTTAAATATATCTTAATGCACTTAACTTCTAAGGGTGCAAAAGTAAAAACTAAAAAAAACTATTGTAAAATGAAATATAATTAAGTGATATGAAAGTAAATGGAATACAACAAAGGCCTTGCTAGTTATTCTTCCCTGCAAATGACATGCTCTTATATATACATTTCTCTCTGTTTTTGGACTTATCTCTGGAGTAGGAGCAGGGACTGTGCTCCTTTGAATTACCCACAGAACAGGTTGAGTACCTTCAACATGTTGCTGGCCAGTCAGCTAAGCTATGCAGTTTTTCAAAGGGAAGAAGTTGTACAAGATAAGGCCCAAGCAACAAGTTGTATCATGCACATAACCACTGCTGGTAGCTTTATAGAGAATGCTGTTGACCTCTGATCAGGCCTGGGTCAGAGTCTAACCTCTGTGTCCTCTGGTCAATAGATTCAGCCCCTGTTCTTATCCAGAGTGGCACATACAGTAAACATCATTCCATTTACTTGTAAACTTGACAAATGGTGTGCAGCGAATTTAGCTTCCAAATGTATTTGGTTTCATGTTAAAGATATAAAATATATTATTGAAAATTGGGATTTTCTGAATTCTGCTTTTCATTCTATTTCCATATTGCTGCTCTCTCTATCCCTTCAATATTCTACTTTTCCAACCCTTAGACATTGAAACTTACTATGGTTTTCCCTTTTCTTTCTCTAAAATTCCACCTTTTAAAGATAGTTCCTTTGCAACGAAGTAATTTCTGTCTAGTTTTGCTTTGTCTTAACATGCACTATGAAGAACTTGGAATCCTTGCCTCAGGCTCTAGTTTCTAGGGAGATTTACTATAAGAGTGCCTTTATGCAGTACATACACTATTCAACTATACAAGCAGGCTGTGGATGGGCCTCCCTTGCTTTCCTTTGTACAGCCTTCCACCTCTTCCCTCAACTTATTTTTCTAGAAATACTTCATTAGGTTTAGTCTATAATGTAATACTTTAGAGGTTGCAAAACTGTAGACTGATCATATGGTTAGTTATAGTTCCACTGGCCTTCTTTTCTCTCACTCTCTTCCCTGTTCCTGTTTTAATGCATTGGGCCTGCTAGTGGCAGCCTGTGGGCATTGCTCAGCCCAGCCAGGAGCCTACATGGGTAAGAGGGCTGCTAAATTTTCTTCTACTTTGTAATATAGTAACTGGCTGCACAGCTTGTTATCATGGAAAGAACAGAGAATCTGGATTCTTCTATGGTATTTGGCTTTTGATTTTCGCTTATTTTAGGTCATCTGTTCTAAACTTTCCCCTAATCTCCCCTGCCATCGATGCACTGCTGTCTACCTCTCTGCATGACATAAATCCATTGCCAGTGGTGGCTACACTTTATTCTCCCCAAATCCCTCTCCTTGGCTATGGCCTCTGAAGACTTCAGAAGGCCATTCTTACCACTTGGTCCCATTAGGGGCCAGAAGAGGAAGTACTGGATTCTCCCCAGATTCCAGAAAGAAAATTCTTAGGGATAAGCCCTTACCTTATTGAGACCTTCAAGGGTCTCAGGCTGCTTAGGCTCAAAAGCCTTTGGACACTAAAACGAGTTAGTGCCATTCATATCTTACGTCCCTGTTCTTGTTGGGTCATTCCAAATGGAATCCCCCAAGTCATCTATTACCTAGTGTTGTCAACCAGCTCAGCTCTTCTTGGTTCACATTCCTTATTCTGGGCATCTCTTTCTGGTATGCTTTGTTTTCAGAGACAGGATCTCACTATGTTGCCCAGGCTGGACTTGGATCCTCCTGCTTCAGCCTCCTGAGTAGCTGTCCAGCTTTTAGTATGCTTTCTAAAACTCTCTCATTTGATCAATCTTTTGGCCTTTTCTATCTTCCCATACTGCCCCTCTAAGGATGCCATTTGCCTTATGGCCTTCTAAAATGAAGGATTTTTGACATCAATATATCCTTTATCTTGCAGTTAGAAATAGTTAGAGGTTAAGAATTTTATGAGTTTCCTATAAGCCACTTTCAGACTTGTTTTTCTTTTCCTGAGACAAAGAAATATTTACATTTATTGCCAACATTCCACTATAATGGCTCCCAATTAGGCCTTACAACCTTGAGTGTTCCTCCTTTCAGATCCCAAACTCTGGTTTCTTATTTTCTAAACAGAACTCCCTGTTCTTTCTTCTTGCGGACTCACTATAGCTGGTGTTTTGTTTTGATTTGTTTGTTTTCCCTTTACTTCAATGCCCACAATACCTTGATTCAGTTTTCTCCTTGTCCGCCAGGGAGAATTATATATACAACTACTCACTCTTTCCCCACCTCTGCCCACAGCCCTTAGCCAAACACTCCAGTTAGTTACTCTCTAGCTGGCACTCTCAAAACACCTCTCTTTTTCCACCTGTTTCATAAAGATGGAAAAGCCCACATAAAACTGGACATTGATGCCATATGCATTCTTTTATTGATGCCCTCAATGTCTTCAACAATCAATTTTATGTATCCTTGGAAAAACATCTTACCCATTTCAACAATAGCTCTTTCAAAACCATAGGCACTTGCTGTTGTTAAAATAAGTTATGATTCTAAGTGAAATATTCTATGAAATTACGATGAATATTTTCTGGGTAGCCAGAAAGAAAACAGAAGCTATACGAAATAATATATGAAATATATTGAATATATAAGAAAATATAATGCATTGAATAATATAAGAAGCAGCAAAGAAACAATCAACAGCATAAAGAGACAACCTGTTGATTGGAGAAAATATTTGCAAATTACTAATGCAACAGCAAACGAATATCCAGAATACACAAGGAACTCAAATAACTCAACAGTATAAAAACAAATACTCCTGTGGAGAAATAGGAATGCTTTTACACTGTTTGTGGAAGTGTAAATTAGTCCAACCACTGTGGAAGACAGTGTGGAGATTCCTCAAGGATCTAGAACTAGAATTACCATTTGACCCAGCAATCCCATTACTGGGTATACACCCAAAGGATTATAAATCATGCTACTATGAAGACGCATGCATGCGTATGTTTATTGCGGCACTATTCACAATAGCAAAGACTTGGAACCAACCCAAATGTCCATCAATGATAGACTGGATTAAGAAACTGTGGCACATATACACCATGGAATACTATGCAGCCATAAAAAATGATGAGTTCATGTCCTTTGTAGGGACATGGATGAAATTGGAAAACATCATTCTCAGTAAACTATCACAAGAACAAAAAACCAAACACCGCATATTCTCACTCATAGGTGGGAATTGAACAATGAGATCACATGGACACAGGAAGGGGAATATCACATTCTGGGGACTGTTGTGGGGTGGGGGGAGTGGGGAGGGATAGCATTGGGAGATATACCTAATGCTAGATGACGAGTTAGTGGGTGCAGTGCACCAGCATGGCACATGTATACATATGTAACTAACCTGCACAATGTGCACATGTACCCTAAAACTTAAAAAAAAAATAGAGCACATTTGCAACACACTTTTGAATTAACCTGGGCAATTTCTCTAAAAATTAAAATTGTAGAAATCTCAAAATTGAATTTCTATTATATTGTATTAAGTTGGAAATCATATATTAAGCACTTATTTGAGTTATACTCATGATAAATCGTACCAAAGGGACTTACAATAAAGTTGTAAAATTGTGAAAAAAAAAAGAAACTGTGGCACATATACACCATGGAATACTATGCAGCCATAAAAAAGGATGAATTCATGATGTCCTTTGAAGGTACATGGATGAAGCTAGAAACCATCATTCTCAGCAAATTGTCACAAGGACAGAAAATCAAACACCACATGTTCTCACTCATAGGTGGGAATTGAACAATGAGATCACTTGGACACAGGGCGGGGAACATTACACACCAGGGCCTGTTGGGGGGTGGGGGGCTGGGGGAGGGACAGCATTAGGAGAAATACCTAATGTAAATGATGAGTTGATGGGTGCAGCAAACCAGCATGGCACATGTATACCTATGTATCAAACCTGCACATTGTGAATGTGTACCCTATAACTTAAAGTAAAAAACAAACAAACAAACAAAAAACAAAAAACAAAAAAACAAAAACAAAAAAAAAGAAAACGAAAATAAAATCCAGTTTAATCCTTTCAAAAACATAAAGTAAAATTTGTGGAGCAAGCATTAAAAACAACAACAACAACAACAACAAACAAATAATCCTGCTAAAAATTGGGCAAAGGACATGAATAGACATTTCTCAAAAGAAGACACACAAATGACCAACAGGTATGTGAAAAAATGCTCAGCATCACTAATCATCAGGGAAATGCACACTAAAACCACAGGGCCGGGCGCGGTGGCTCATGCCTGTAATTCCAACACTTTGGGAGGCCAAAGCTGGTAGATCACCTGAGGTCAGGAGCTCAAGACCAACCTGGACAACGTGGTGAAAACCCGTCTCTACTAAAGATACAAACCTTAGCCGGGCTTGATGGTGGGTGCCTGTAATCCCAACTACTTGGGAGGCTGAGGGAGGAGAATCGCTTGAATCTGGGAGGTGAAGGTTGCAGTGAGCCAAGATTGCGCCACTGCACTCCAGCCTGGGCGACAGAGCCAGACTCGATCTCAAACAACAACAACAACAGATATTTCATCCCAGTTATAATGGCTATAATTAGACAAGAAATAACAGATGTGGGCAAGGATGCAAAGAAAAGATAACCCTTATACACAGTTGATAAGAATGTGAAATAATACAACCAGTATGGAAAATGATGACATGGTTTGGGCCTGTGTACTCGCCCAAATCTCACGGCAAATTGGAATCCCCAATGGAGGAGGTGAGGCCTGGTGGGAAGTGATTGTATCATGGGGGCGGATTTCCCACTTGGTGCTGCTCTCATGATAGTGAGTGCTCATGAGATTTAGTGGTTTAAAAATGTGTGGCACCTCCCCACTTTCTCTTCCTCCTGTTTTGTGAAGATGTGCCCCCTTCCCCTTTGCCTTCTGTCATCATGAGGCCTCCCAGCCGTGCTTTCTTTTCAGGCTGCAGAACCATGAGCCAATTAAACCTCTTTTATTTATTAATTACCCAGTCTCGGGTATTCCTTTATAGCAGTGTGAGAATGGACTAATACAAACGGTATGGCAATTTCTCAAACTAAAAATAGAACTACTATGCAATCCAGAAATTATACTACTGTGTATCTATCCAAGGGAAAACAAATCAATATATCAAAGGGATACCCACATTCACATGTTTATCGCAGCACTATTCACAACAGCAAAGATATGGAATCAATGGACAAATGGATAAAGAAAATGTGGCATAGATACACCATGGAAAACTACTCATCCATAAAAAAGAATAAAATCCTGTAATTTTCACCAGTGTGGATGGAACTGGAGGTTACTATGTTCAGGGAAATAAGCAAAGTACAAAAAGACAAATACTGTATGTTCTCACTTACAGGAGGGAGCTAAAAAACTTGATCTCATAGACATAGAGAACAGAGCAATAGATACCAGAGACAGGGGCGTGGGGGGGATTACATACAGTAACGTACACAGATGGCTTTAGTGCAATCCCTGATTCAGAAGTTAAAATGCCTAGCAGGAACTCAGTAATGGTTTCGTTGCCTTTATCTTTCACTTCCCCATATTAAAATCCTAGACATTCTTCAAGGCTTAGCTCTAATATGACCTCTTCTTGGTTAAACATTTTCCTTTTTTCCTTTGCAGCCACTCAGTACAATGTACGTTCCTTTGTTTAGCCTTATTTTATTTTGCCTTGCATTGGAGTTATTTGTTCATATGTCTTGCTGCTTTCTAGTAGATTTTAAATTCTTCAAGGGCAGAGAGACCTGTCTCATTTATCTTTGCATTTTTCCTTCCTCCTGACAATACCCAGTGAGTGCCTGGCAAGTAGGAGGCACTCAACAATGTTTGTTAAAATAGAATGAAATAAAACCTAACAGATTTTACAAATTGAATGAACTTATCTGTTCCCAGACCCTCGAGAAATTTTTAGAAAAGGGAAAAATGAGATGGGCAGAATGCACCTGGTGTATGTTCTCTAAATCATTAGCAAGGTTAAAACTACAGACTCGTGTCATCTTGAAGCTTTGACAAGGAATATTTGCAGTTAACCAAGTGTTATAAGGAAGTCACTCCACATGGGTTTTGCACAGCTCTGTTAATAACAAAGATATGCCACAGAGATATTTGACATTTTTCTTTACAGAGCTCATTTCACATATGTATCTGGACTCAGAGCTTAACTTAGCTTGCATAATGCCTGTCAGAGGACAGAAAAAAGCTCTAACCTCAAAGTCTGAGAAGACAGTGAAGGAGAGAATGAAACATACAAGGGCATTTTGACATGCATTGTCTCTTCACAGTTTTGACCACAAGGCTTAAAAATAATTGCAATGGCAAAGACTTCAATTTTTAGGAAAAAATAGAAGCAATGTTTTTTAATTGCTTGCTGTTCTTTTAAAAAAATCATAACTCAGGATACTATTTAATTGACATAGATTGTGGAATTATGGTGAGGATAACTTTCAAAATTAGGTTGTAAAATCAGCAAGAAAAAAACAAGCCCACAAAAAGTGGGCTAAGGACATGAGTAGACAATTCTCAAAAGAATATATACAAAGGGCCAACAAACATATGAAACAATGCTTAACATCACAAATGATCAGGGAAATGCAAATCGAAACCACAATACAATACCACCTTACTCCTGCAAGAATGGCCATAATCAAAAAATAAAAAATAGATGTTGCTGTGGGTGTGGTGAAAAGGGAATACTTTACACTGCTGGTGGGGATGTAAACTACTACAACCACTATGGAAAACAGTGTGGAAATTCCTTAAAAAACTAAAAATAGATCTACCATTTGATCCAGCAATCCTACTACTGGGTATCTACCCAGAAGAAAAGGAGTCATTATTCAAAAAAGATACTTGCACACACGTTTATAGCAGCACAATTTGCAATTGCAAAAATATGGAGCCAGCCCAAATGCCCATCAATGAGTGACTAAAGAAATGTCACTGCGTATACACACACACGCACATACACACACCATGGAATACTACTCAGCTATACAAAGGAATGAAATAATTCACAGCAACCTGGATGGAACTGGAGACCATTATTGTAAGTGAAGTAACTCAGGAGTGGAAAACCAAACATTGTATGTTCTCACTCCTAAGTGGGAGCTAAGCTATGAGGATGCAAAGGCATAAAAATGATAAAATGGATTCTGGGGACTCAGGGGAAAGAATGTAGGTAGGTGAGGGATAAAAGACTATATATAAGACTGCTTTTATAAGACTATGTAAAAGATTGCTCAGGTGATGGGTGCACCAAAATCTCAGAAATCACCACTAAGGAACTTATTCATGTAACCAAACATCACCTATTTCCCAAAAACCTATTGAAATAAAAAAATTAAAAAATAAAAAACAAAATTACCTTGTAAAGAAGAATGGTAAAATAAATTAATATAAGGACTTCATGTCTAAAACACCAAAAGCAATGGCAACAAAAGCCAAAATTGACAAATGGGATCTAATTAAACTAAAGAGCTTCTGCACAGCAAAAGAAACTACCATCAGAGTGAACAGGCAACCTACAGAATGGGAGAAAATGTTTGCAACCTACTCATCTGACAAAGGGCTAATATCCAGAATCTACAATGAACTCAAACAAATTTACAAGAAAAAAAAAAAACCACACCAAAAAGTGGGTGATGGATATGAACAGACACTTCTCAAAAGAGGACATTTATGCAGCCAAAAAACACATGAAAAAATGCTCATCATCACTGGGCATCAGAGAAATGCAAATCAAAACCACAATGAGATACCATCTCACAGCAGTTAGAATGGCAATCATTAAAAAGTCAGGAAACAACAGGTGCCGGAGAGGTTGTGGAGAAACAGGAACACTTTTACACTGTTGGTGGGACTGTAAACTAGTTCAACCATTGTGGAAGTCAGTGTGGTGATTCCTCAGGCATCTAGAACTAGTAATTCCATTTGACCCAGCCATCCCATTACTGGGTATATACCCAAAGGATTATAAATCATGCTGCTATAAAGACACATGCACACGTATGTTTATTGCGGCACTATTCACAATAGCAAAGACTTGGAACCAACCCAAATGTCTAACAATGATAGACTGGATTAAGAAAATGTGGCACATATATGCCATGGAATTCTAAGCAGCCATAAAAAAGGGTGAGTTCATGTCCTTTGTAGGGACATGGATGAAGCTGGAAACCATCATTCTCAGCAAGCTATCGCAAGGACAAAAAACCAAACACCGCATGTTCTCACTGACAGGTGGGAAGTGAACAATGAGAACACATGGACACAGGAAGGGGAACATCACACACCAGGGACTGTTGTGGGGTGGGGGGCTGGGGGAGGGATAGCATTAGGAGATATACCTAATGCTAAATGACGAGTTAACGGGTGCAGCACACCAACATGGCACATGTATACATATGTAACAAACCTGCACGTTGTACACATGTACCGTAAAACTTAAAGTATAATAATAAAATTTAAAAAATTATGAAACATTTAAAAATTATGTTTTTTGCAAGATATTTAGTACCTGAAAAAAGAACAGCAGGTTGCCAGAAAGGAGCAACTAAATTAAATATACATGTCTCAAAAGCTGTGTACGTTTATATACATAGAGAAAACCTAGAAATGAATATGTCAAAATATTAGTAATATGTGTTCAAGTTTTTGGCTAACAGCATTATGGATAATTTTGATTTTGGGGGGTGGTACTTAAAATGTATTTTATTTTTACTTTAAGTTCCGGGATACATGTGCAGAATATACAGGTTTGCGACATAAATATACGTGTGCCATGGTGGTTTGCTGCACCTATCAACCCGTAATCTAGGTTTTTAGCCTGACATGCATTAGGTTTGTGTCCTAATGCTCTCCCTTCCCTTGCCCCCCACCGGCTGACAGGCCCTAGTATGTGTTGTTATTCCCTTCCCTGTGTCCACGTGTTCTCATTGTTCAGCTCCCACTTATGAGTGAGAACACGCAGTATTTGGTTTTCCATTCCTGTGTTAGTTTGCTGAGAATGATGGTTTCCAGCTATATCCACGTCCCTGCAAAGGACATGCTCTCATTCTTTTTATGACTGAATAGTATTCCATGGTGTATATATGCCACATAATCTTTATCCAGTCTATCACTGATAGACATTTGGGTTGGTTCCAAGTCTTTGCTATTGTGAACAGTGCTGCAACATACATGTGCATGTGTCTTTATAGTAGAATGATTTACAATCCTTTGGGTTTATACCCAATAATGGGACTGCTGGATCAAATGGTATTTCTGGTTCTAGATCCTTGAGGAATTGCTACACTGTCTTCCATAATGGTTGAACTAATTTACACTCCCACTAACAGTGTAAAAGCGTTCCTATTTCTTCACAGCCTCGCCAGCATCTATTGTTTCCTGACTTTTTAATAATCACCATTCTGATTGGTGTGAGATGATACTGTGGTTTTGACTTGCATTTCTCTAATGACCAAAGATGAGCTTCTTTTCATGTTTTTGGCTGCATAAATGTCATCTTTTGAGAAGCGTCTGTTTATATCCTTTGCCCAGTTTTTTATGTTTTTTTTTCTTGTAAATTTGTTTAAGTTCCTTGTAGATTCTGGATAATTTTGATTTTGTATATGTACTTCTGTGTGTCTTGCTTTAAATTCCTGTAAGATTTCTTCTTAACTTTTCCCTTATTTCTGCCATAATAACAGAAGTCAGAAACAAAAGACATCTTACTTTGACTTAATGTAATAGCTAACATTTAGGTTCTTACTACCAGATACACTGATAAGTGTTTTTCATAAATGATCTCTATTATAAATAATAGGAGGATAACAATCCTCCTATTATTTATAGTCATTTACCAGATTTGGCAATCAAGACATGGAAAAGTTAAGACAACTGTTTATGGCAGCCCATGTAGTAAGGAGCAGAACTTGGATTTAACATCAGCTGACTTACTTCAGAGCTTGAGCTCGTTAACATTAAATTCTAGACAAATCCTAAAACACGGGGAAGGGAGGTCTACAGTTGACATGTGCTTGTATTGTTTTGGGAAAACAGTATTTCCAGGCCCAGCCTGTTGAGAGCAGTGAGGGAGATTAGGGGTTGATGTTAGAATGAAGGAAAGAGGATCTCTGACCTAAGTGGGGAGTAGTGTTCCTGGAAAGACAAGCCCAAACTTCAACCTCTAGCTTCACCTAGAACAATCTCCCAATGTTTAAGGCCTGAATGGTTACAGAATTTGAAGGTCTTTGAGGGTTACTGACAGGACAGTGGCAGTCATCTGTTTTATTTAGCAGACATTAATTGAGAACATATCATGAGACAAGGCTCAGTTCCCATGGTTTTGAAGGCTGGATTGGAATGATGAGAGGCCAGAGGCTGTTGTGACAAACTGAGCTAAGGTCCTGGAGCTTAGGGGAGAGCTCAGATCAGCTTAGCATACAAATTAGAATGACAACTGGCATCTGTATGCAGCTTCCCTATTTGCCAAACTGGTTTCTTAAAGTGCTTTATTTTTACTGTTTCAACCACCTAAGAACCTTATAAAATAGAGACAAACAGCATTTACCAAGGGCCCACTACATTCTAGGATCTATGGTAGAATTTTTGCCCACACTGGCTCTTCTAACCACTTTAAAAGCTCCTTTCAGGAGGTCTTCATTACATGTTAGGCAACTGAAGCTTAGAAGACTGAATTAATTTCTACATGGTCATATGTGAGTGGTATAGACTCCAGCCCTGACTCCATATGCAGAGATCTAACCATTGCACCATGCACCATGCAGCTGAAGATGTTGGGATAGATGCATTTCTATAAGATAGATGTTCTTAACTTGGTGCCTCCTGTGGTTCTTTTTACACCTAGAAAAGGAGTTCCAACCCTAGCTACCTGGCGCACTCTCAGAAAATTTCTCCAATTCTAGCCATTATTCTCTATCTGGGTCAGAATCCATTCAATATACTTGTGGCCCCTGATTGTAGGTGTTATGCCTTGGATTTAATTTTTCTTCCATATTCAGCCTTCATTGATTCAGGGGTCAGCAGAGTTCAGTGCATGGGCTGCTGCTTGTTCTTATAAGTAAAATTTTATTAGAATACAACCATGTTCATCTGTTTACATAGATCTATGGGTGCTTTCTTTTACACTATAATGGCACTATAACAGTTGCAACAGAGAATAGTCTCTGCAAGGCCTGAAGTACTTATTATTTTACCCTTAAAAACATAAAGCTAACTGTTAGATGCTTTGTCATACTGTCTACCTGGGCCTCATATTGCTGTTCCTCCTGAGTGCTGTTAAGCCAGCTCTGTTCACTCCCTGTCCCTACCTCATACTTTGTCTTAGAGGCAAATTTGAAAAGACAGAGGGTAAACCCTGGCCTTGGAAAATATCCACAATTACAAGAAAAGAGGGAAAACAGGACTGTCATAAAACAGGGTATCATAGCCTAATAGAAACCACTGGACAGATTTCAAAAAAGACAGGCATTTAATGGTGTCTAGAGTAGCAAAAAAAATTGAGAAAATGAGAAAAGATTACTGAATTTGACCATTAGCCAGTCACTGGTGACCTTTGAATGTGTAGTATCAGTTGAGTGACAAGGGTGGAAACCAAATTTCAGGCAGTGAAGAAGATAATGACTTGGATTTCCAAAATGGACTTAGCATTGCTGGCTAAGGAGGTTAGCACTTCCTGCCTCCCTAATTTCTCATGGGCAATTTCGTGATTCTGTTTCCATATTTAACCTCTCTACACATTAAGAAGAGCTAGTTACACTTGTCATTTGTAATCAAGCAGCTGTTACATCTGGACGATCTCTTGACAGTCACAATCCTACACGCTTACACAGTATCTCTAATTGAGTGTTTGGTTTCTCTTAATTTTTCTTTTCCTTTTTTAGGCTATATATACGTATATCTTTTGCCCCAGTCTGTGCTGTTTAAATCTCTGATAGTGGAAGCCATGAAATGTTAATGAGGCCACATCTTTTATGGTGGACAGATAGATCAATAGCTTTCAGGTATTAATGAGATGTCCTCAAAATTTATGTCCATTGTTAGAAAGCTGATGGCTCCCTGATGGACTGTCAGACCTTGCTTAAATGGACAAC
Source organism: Homo sapiens (assembly GCF_000001405.40). Classification (NCBI taxonomy): domain Eukaryota; kingdom Metazoa; phylum Chordata; class Mammalia; order Primates; family Hominidae; genus Homo; species Homo sapiens. Next base: position 109,533,668 of record NC_000011.10, read on the forward strand.
CAAAGGCATTTTCCAGCCTTGCATAAATTTGAATTTTCATGCTTGGATATTCAGTAAAGGTACTAAAAATTCAAGCTATCTCAGTCATGAACTTCTTCCCCACCTTCAAACTTTCATGTCTCTAACCTCAAAGAGAATTGTTCCTCTTCCTTCCCAAGGTTAACTTCTCCAACTGTGCTTTTGATCCTAATTCCCATCACCTCCTCAGGCATTCATCCATCATTTATCTTTCTGATATTTTTAACTTCTCTTTCACATCTTCCTCTCTTCAATTTACAAATATATTTAAGTTTCTCTCCTCCTAAGAAAACTTTCTCACTTGATCCTGCTTTTCTCTCAAGTCACTGCCCTTTATTGTTGCATTCACACACCCATCCCATTTTACTGTAAAACTTTTTGAAAGAGAATGCTACACTGGATGTATTATTTCCTCACCATTTTTCTCTCCTTTATAGAAGTTTGGCTCAAGTCCCATCTTGCTGTTGCAAATATTCTGCAAGAGTCACCAATGATCTCTCACTACCAAATTCTCTGACCTCTTCTTAGTCCTCTCTTACTTGACCCCTCAAGCCTTCTGGTCCCTTTCCTGACACTCTATTGTGTCCTGGGAATCAAATGTTCTCTGGTTCTTCTTCCTCTCTGATCACTTGCTTCTGACTCATCTTTTACGGATTCCTATTTCTCTGTGTATTCCTCAAAGCGGCAGTATCTCAGATTTTTGTTCTAGGGTTTTCTTTTCTCTTTGACAAATTCTTCCTGGGACGCTTCATCCTTGTTAATAAATTCACCTACCTTCCAAACACTCAAATAACTCCCAAATCTGTACCTGTAGATTTGTCCTATCTCCTGAGCTCTAGACCAGTAGGACTTTCTGGTTCAAATAGAAATTTCTATAATGATGGAAGTTTTTTTTTTTTTTTTTTTTTTGCACTGTGCAATACAGTAGCCACTAGCCACCTGTAGCTACTGAGTATTTGAAATGTGGCTGTATACTGAACTAAATTTTTAGTTGTATTTGTTTAATTTAAACTTAAATTTAAATAGCTATGTGGCTAGTGACTGCTGAAGTAGGCAACAAAGCCTAAGACCCCCTGATTTAAATCCCCATTAGAGATCTGTTTTTAAATTTTCCTCTGAATGTATCCTAAACTTATCAACCAATCTCCCAGATGTCTCCTTTTTCTATATTCCTCATTTCATTAAATAGCATCACCATCTTAATATTTATTTTAATGCCTAACCTCAGAGCCTTATTGGACATTTTTATTTTCCATAAATGAATATGCTTGGAATTTGCTATTTTAATGACATGACACACTGTATTAGTCCATTTTCAAACTGCTATAAAGACACTACCCGAGACTGGGTAATTTATAAAGGAAAGAGGTTTAATTGACTCACAGTTTTGCATGGCTGAGGAGGCCTCAGAAAACTTTCAATCATGGCAGAAGGTGAAGGGGAAGCAAGGCACATCTTACATGGTGTCAGGAGAGAGAGAAGAGTGAAGCGAGAACTGCCAAACACTTTTAAAACCATCAGCTCTCATGAGAACTCACTCACTGTCATGGGAGCAGCATGGGGAAAACCATCCCCATGATCCAGTCACCTCCCACCAGGTCCCTCCCTGGACACCTGGGGATTACAATTCAAGATGAGGTTTGGGTGGAGACACAGAGCCAAACCATATCATACCCCACTTTGTTATAAGGAATTCTCTATATCCAGGGAGATAACCTTGGTGCTGAATTGGAAAAGAATAGGATATTAAAACAAACCATTGAGAAATGTTGAGTTCCTTAGACTTTTCTGTTCTCTGGGCAAAGTCTATAATGTACTCCATTGTGTCTATGTACCACATTTTTTTAAACCCATTCATCTGTTGATAGACACTTAGATTGCATCCTAATCTTGGTTATTGTGAATAATGCCACAGTGAAGTGCTATCTTTGTGATATACAAATTTCCTTTCTTTTGGGTATATACCTAGCAGTGAGATTGCTGGATAATATGGTGGCTCTATTTTTAGTTTGTTGAGGAATCTCCAAACTGTCCTTCATAGTGAATGTACTAATTTACACTCCTAACAATAGCATACAAGGGTTCCCTTTTCTCCACACTCTCACCAGCATTTGTTATTGCCTGTCTTTTGGATAAAAGCCAGTTTAACTGTGGTGAGATGATATCTCACTATAGTTTTGATTTGCATTTCTCCGATGATCAACGATGTTGAATACCTTTTCATATTTCTGTTTGCCATTTTGTGTCTTCTTTGGAATAATATTAAAATCTTTTGCCCATTGTTGATCAAATAATTAATTTTTTCCCCATAGAATTAAACAATGAGAACACTTGGACACAGGAAGGGGAACGTCACACACCGGAGTCTGTTGTGGGGTCGGGGGAGTGGGGAGGGATAGCATTAGGAGATATACCTAATGTAAATGATGAGTTAATGGGTGCAACACACCAACATGGCACAGGTATACATATGTAACAAACCTGCACATTGTGCACATGTACCCTAGAACTTAAAGTATAATAAAAAAAAAAATTTTTTTCCCATAGAGTTGTTTGAGCTCCTTGTACATTCTGGTTATTAATCCCTTGTCAGAAGGGTAGTTTGGAAATATTTCCTCCCATTCTGTGGGTTATTTACTTTGTTGACTTTTTGAAGCTTTTAAACTTGATGTGACCCTATTTGTCCACTTTTGTTTTGGTTGCCTGTACTTGTGGGATATTACTCAAAAAATCTTTGCCCATCCAGTGTCCTGGAGAGTTTCCCCAATGCTTTATTTGGTTATTTCATAGTTTGAGATCTTAGATTTCAGCCTTGAATCTATTTTCATTTTTTTTTATGGTAAGGGATAGGAATCTAGTCTTATTCTTCTGCGTATTAATTTTCAGTTTTCCCAGAACCATTTATTGAAGAGACTGTTCTTTCCTCATTGTAGGTTTTTGACACTTTTCTCAAAAATGAGTTCACTGTAGTTGTATGGATTCATTTCTGGGTTATTTATTGTATTCCATTGGTCTATATGTCTGTTTTTATGCCAGTGCTATGCTGTTTTGGTTACTGTAACTCCATAGCGTAATTTAAAGTCAGGTAATTCCTCATTCTTTTTGCTCAGGATAGCTTTGGCTGTTCTGAGTATTTTGTGATTTCATACAAATTTTAGAAATATTTTTCCTATTTCTGTGAAAAATGTCATTGGTATTTTGATGGGGATTGTATTGAATCTGTAGACCACTTTGGGTAGTATGCACACTTTTAACAGCATTGATGCTTTCAATCCATGAACATGAAATATCTTTCCCTTTCTTTCTGTCCTCTTCAATTTCTTTCATCAATGTTCCATAGTGTTTATTATATAGAGATCTCTCACTTTTATGGTTAAGTTTATTCATAGATATTTTATTTGTAGCTACTATAAATGGAATTTCTTGATTTCTTTTTCAGATTGTTCACTGTTGGCATATGGATATGCGGCAGATTTTGGTATGTTGGTTTTGTATCTTATAGTTTTACTGAATTTATTAGTTCTAATAATTTTTTGGTGGAATCTTCAGTTTTTTCCAAATATAAGATCATATCATCTGCAAACAAGGCTAATTTAACTTCTTCCATTCCATTTTGGGTACCATTTATTTTTTTTCTCGTCTGATTGCTGTAGATAGGACTTCCAGTACCATGTTGAATAATAGCGGTGGAAGTGGACATACAGCCTTGTCTTGTTCCAGATCTTAGAGGAAAGGCGTTTCATTTTTCCCCATTCAATAAGATACTAGCTATGTATCTGTCATATATGACTTTTGCTGTAGCGTAGGTCTGGTGTTGATGAAATCCTTCAGCTTTTGCTTTTCTGGGAAAGTATTTATTTCACCTTCATGTTTGAAGGATATTTTTGCTGGATATACTATTCTAGGGTAAAAGTTTTTTCCTTCAGCACTTTTTGTTTTGTTTTGTTTTCTGAGATGGAGACTTACTCTGTCGCCCAGACTGGAGTGCAGTGATGTGAACTCGGCTCACTGCAACCTCCACCTGCCGGGTTGAGCAATCCTCCTGCCTCAGCCTCCTGAGTAGCTGGGATTACAGGTGTGCACCACCATGCCCAGCTAATTTTTGTATTTTTTTGGTGGAGAGGAGGTTTCACCATATTGCCCAGGCTGGTCTCGAACTCGTGACCTCATGATCCACCCGCCTCAGCCTCCCAAAGTGCTGGATTACAGGCATGAGCTACCGCACCCAGCCCCTTCAGCATGTTTAATATGTAATGCCATTCTCTCCTGATCTGTAAAGATTTCCACTGGAAAGTGTGGTGCCAGACCTATTGGAGCTCCTTTTGATGTTTTAGGATCCCTTCTTTATCCTTGACCTTTGGGAGTTTGAGTATTAAGTGTCTTGAGGTAGTCTTATTTTGGTTAAATCTGCTTGGTGTTCTTTCTGTACTCATTATATCTTTCTCTAGGTTTGGGAAGTTCTCTGTTTTTACCCCTTTGAATTAACTTTCTACCACAACTTTTCTTTCTAGCTCCCCTTTAGGGCCAATAACTCTTAGAATTGCCCTTTTGAGGCTATATTCTAGACCCTGTAGGCATGCCTCGTTCTTCTTTTTTCTTTTGTCTCCTCTGACTGTGTATTTTCAGATAGCCTATCTTCAAACTTGCTAGTTCTTTTTTCTGCTTGATCAATTGTGCCCTTGAGAGGCTCTGATGCATTCTTTAATATGTCAATTGAATTTCTCAGCTCTAGAATTTCTCCTGGATTCTTTTTAATTATTTTAATCTCTTTGTTAAATTTATCTGACAGGATTCTGAATTCCTCTGTGTTATCTTGAATTTTGTTGGACTTTCTCAAAACAACTATTTTGAATTCTCTGTCTGAAAGGTCACAAATCTCTGTCACTCTAAGATTAGTTACTGGTACCTTAGTTTGTTTGATAAGGTCATATTTTCCTGTATGCTTGTGGATATTATTTGATGTCTTGGCATTGAATCCTTAGGTATTTATTGTAGTTTTCAGTCTGGGCTTGTTTGTACCCATCCTTCTTGGGAAGGATTTCCAAGTACTCAAAGGGAATTGAGTGTTGTGATTTAAATCTTTGGTCACTGAAGCCATATGTGCAGTAGGGGACACCCACGCCCAGCAGCACCGTGACTCTTGAAGGCTTGTAGAGTTACCACCTTGATTGATCTTGGGTGTGATCTGGGAGAATTCCCTGTATTATCCAAAAGAGTATTCTTGTTCTCTTCCCTAACTTTCTCCCAAACAAATAGAGTATCTCTGTGCTGAACTGCCTGGAGCAGCAGAAGAGGTGACACAAGCACCTCTGTAGCCCCCACAACTGTGACCGTGCTCAGTCAGACCTGAAGTACATCACTGGGTCGCATCCAAGGCCTGCAGTGAGCACTGCCTGATTACCACTGATGTTTACTGAAGGACCAAGGGCTTTTCAGTCAGCAGGTCATGAATCTAGCCAGGCTTGTGTCCTTCCTTTCAGGGTGGCAAGCTCCTCCTCGGTCCAGGGGAGGTCCAGAAATGCTGCATGCGAGCTAGGGCCTGGAGTGGGGAATCTTAGGAATCTACTTGGTGTGCTCTATTCTACTGAGACAGCTCGCACCCAAGCCATAAGACAAAGTCCTTTCCACTCTTCCCTCTCCTTTCCTTATGCAGAAGAAGTCTCTTCCCACAGCCACCACAGCTCCAGGCCCACAGTTAAGTACTACTTGGCTACTCAAGGCCCAAGGGCTCTTCAGTCAGCTTGTGGTGAATGCTGCCAGGCCTGTATCTCTCCCTTCATGGCAGTGGGTTTCCCTCTGGCCCAGATTGGGTCCAGAAATGCCATCCAGAAGCCAAGGCCTAGAACTGGGGAATCCAGGAGCCCACCTGGTGCTCTAACTCAAGGCGGCCAAGCTGGTGTCCACACTGCAAGACAAAGTCCCCTTTATTCTTTCCTCTCTTTTCCTCAAGCAGGAGTCTCTCCCCATGACCACTAAAGCTGGGAATGTGCTTGGTCACACCTGAAGCCAGCAAGGCCCTGTGTCTCCCCCAAGACCCAGGGTGTGAGTACTGCCTCAGTACTGCTGATGTTCATTTAAGGCCCAAGGGCTCTTTAGTGAGTAGGTAATAGATCCTGCCAAGACTGGGTCCCTCCCTTCAAGGCAGTGGGTTTATTTAGGATTCCAGGGCACTTTATCTCATGGTGACTGAGAACTGGACCTAAAGGCTCTAGCTAGGGCTGGCCTAAATGCTCCCACCATATGCACCACATGAGTTCTGCCCTGTGGTTCTTTCTGCTATGACAGCGCAGCACTGACTTCCAGTGCAAGTCCCACTGCACTCTCCCTCCCCTAAGCACACAGATACACAGTGGCCCTCCATACCATGTGGCCACTGCCAGGGCATGGGGGCGTGGTGATGTCAGCAATTAAAGACTCTCTTTTCCACTCTCTTCAGTGCCTCTTTTCTTAATACAATGTTAAAACCAGATAATGTGATCGCTCATCTGATTTTTGCTTCTTATGAAGATTTTTTTGTGTGTGTGGATAGCTGTCCAATTTCGTGTTCCTGTCCAATTTGCTCCAATCACTGCAGGCTTCTATTCAGGCTTCTATTCAGCCATCTTGCTCCTTTTTTTGTTGTTGTTGGTCACAGTCTTTTGTATTTGTCTATGTACAAAGTTCCAAATAATCTACAAAACAATTCCTAGAACTACAAATAAATTCAGCAAGGTGAAACTACCTCTGGACAAATTATGACAGTGAGAAAAATCTGACATAGGAAAATTATGACCATGAAAGAAATCTGACTTAACTGACTCCATCTTGCCTTTAACCTCTAAGCTTCTCTTGTTCATTCCTGGGGATAGGCTGAACTAACTTTAGGAGGAATTCAGTTTATACTTTAACTTTGAAAAAAGATAATAATAGCCCCTCCACAGACAAATCCCCTCCTTGCTTAGGGACCAGACTTCCTTCGTAAAACTAACAAGTTAGCCATAAGATTAGAAATTATGGCTCAGGAGACTTAGACTCCCACACAATAATAATGGGAGACTTTAACACCCCACTGTCAACATTAGACAGATTAACAAGACAGAAAGTTAACAAGAATATCCAGGAATTGAACTTAGCTCTGCAGCAAGCAGACCTAATAGACATCTACAGAACTCTCCACCCCAAATCAACAGAATATACATTCTTCTCAGCACCACATCAAACTTATTCCAAAATTGGCCACATAGTTGGAAGTAAAGCTCTCTTCAGCAAATGTAAAAGAAAAGAAATTATAACAAACTGTCTCTCAGACCACAGTGCAATCAAACTAGAACTCAGGATTAAGAAACTCACTGAAAACCACTCAACTACATGGAAACTGAACAACCTGCTCCTGAATGACTACTGGGTACATAATGACATGAGGGCAGAAATAAAGATGTTCTTTGAAACCACCGAGAACAAAGACACAACATACCAGAATCTCCGGGACACATTTAAAGCAGTGTGTAGAGGGAAATTTTTAGCACTAAATGCCCACAAGAAAAAGCAGGAAAGATCCAAAATTGACACCCTAACATCACAATTAAAAGAACTAGAAAAGCAAGAGCAAACACATTCAAAAGCTAGCAGAAGGCAAGAAATAACTAAGATCAGAGCAGAACTGAAGGAGATAGAGACACAAAAAACCCTTCAAAAAATCAGTAAATCCAGGAGCTGGTTTCTTGAAAAGATCAACAAGATAGATCGCTAGCAAGACTAATAAAGAAGAAAAGTGAGAAGAATCAAATAGACACAATAAAAAATGATAAAGGGGATATCACCACTGATCCCACAGAAATACAAACTACCATCAGAGAATACTATAAACATCTCTACACAAATAAACTAGAAAATCTAGAAGAAATGGATAAATTCCTGGACACATACACCCTCCCAAGACTAAACCAGGAAGAAGTTGAATCCCTGAATAGACCAATAACAGGATCTGAAATTGAGGCAATAATTAATAGCCTACCAACCAAAAAAAGTCCAGGACCAGACGGATTCACAGCCTAATTCTATCAGAGGTACAAGGAGGAACTGGTACCATTCCTTCTGAAACTATTCCAATCAATAGAAAAAGAGGGAATCCTCCCTAACTCATTTTATGAGGCCAGCATCATCCTGATACCAAAGCCTGGCAGATAAACAAAAAAAGAGAATTTTAGACCAATATCCCTGATGAACATCGATGCAAAAATCCTCAATAAGATACTGGCAAACCGAATCCAGAAGCACATCAAAAAGCTTATCCGCCATGATCAAGTCGGCTTCATCCCTGGGATGTGAGGCTTGTTCAACATATGCAAATCAATAAATGTAATTCAACATATAAACAGAACCAAAGACAAAAACCACATGATTATCTCAATAGATGCAGAAAAGTCCTTTGACAAAATTCAATAGCCCTTCATGCTAAAAATTCAATAAATTAGGTATTGATGGGACGTATCTCAATATAATAAGAGCTATTTATGACAAACCCACAGCCAACATCATACTGAATGGGCAAAAACTGGAAGCATTCCCTTTGAAACTTGGCATAAGACAGGGATGCCCTCTCTCACCACTCCTATTCAACATAGTGTTGGAAGTTTTGGCCTGGGCAATCAGGCAGGAGAAAGAAATAAAGAGTATTCAGTTAAGAAAAGAGGAAGTCAAATTGTCCCTGTTTACAGATGACATGACTGTATATTTAGAAAACCCCATCATCTCAGCCCAAAATCTCCTTAAGCTGATAAGCAACTTCAGCAAAGTCTCAGGATACAAAATCAATGTGCAAACATCACAAGCATTCATATACATCAATAACAGACAAACAGAGAGCCAAATCATGAATGAACTCCCATTCACAGTTGCTTCAAAGAGAATAAAATACCTAGGAATCCAACTTACAAGGGATGTGAAGGACCTCTTCAAGGAGAACTACAAACCACTGCTCAATGAAATAAAAGAGGATACAAACAAATGGAAGAACATTCCATGCTCATGGATAGGAAGAATCAACATCATGGAAATGGCCATACTGCCCAAGGTAATTTATAGATTCAATGCTATCCCCATCAAGCTACCAATGACTTTCTTCACAGAATTGGAAAAAACTACTTTAAAGTTCACATGGAACCAAAAAAGAGCCCACATTGCCAAGACAATCCTAAGCCAAAAGAACAAAGCTAGAGGTATCAAGCTACCTGACTTCAAACTATGCTACAAGGCTACAGTAACCAAAACAGCATGGTACTGGTACCAAAACAGAGATATAGATCAATGGAGCAGAACAGAGCCCTCAGAAATAATACAACACATCTACAACCATCTGATCTTTGACAAACCTGACAAAAACAAGAAATGGGGAAAGGATTCCCTATTTAATAAATGGTGCTAGGAAAACTGGCTAGACATATGTAGAAAGCTGAAACTGGATCCCTTCCTTACACCTTACACAAACATTAATTCAAGATGGATTAAAAACTTACATGTTCGACCTAAAACCATAAAAACCCTAGAAGAAAACCTAGGCAATACCATTCAGGACATAAGCATGGGCAAGGACTTCATGTGTAAAACACCAAAGGCAAAGACAACAAAAGCCAAAATTGACAAATGGGATCTAATTAAACTAAAGAGCTTCTGCACAGCAAAAGAAACTACCATCAGAGTGAACAGGCAACCCACAGAATGGGAGAAAATTTTTGCAATCTACCCATCTGACAAAGGGCTAATATCCAGAATCTACAAAGAACTCAAACAAATTTATAAGAAAAAAAACAAACAACCCCATCAACAAGTGGGCAAAGGATATGAACAGACACTTCTCAAAAGAAGACATTTATACAGCCAAGAGACACATGAAAAAATGCTCATCATCACTAGCCAGAGAAATGCAAATCAAAACCACAATGAGATACCATCTCACACCAGTTAGAATGGCAATCATTAAAAAGTCAGGAAACAACAGGTGCTGGAGAGGTTGTGGAGAAATAGGAACACTTTTACACTGTTGGTGGGACTGTAAACTAGTTCAACCATTGTGGAAGTCAGTGTGGCAATTCCTCAGGGATCCAGAACTAGAAATACCATTTGACCCAGCCATCCCATTACTAGGTATATACCCAAAGGAATATAAATCATGCTGTTATAAAGACACATGCACACGTATGTTTATTGCGGCACTATTCACAATAGCAAAGACTTGGAACCAACCCAAATGTCCATCAACGATAGACTGAATTAAGGAAATATGGCACATATACACCACGGAATACTATGCAGCCATAAAAAATGATGAGTTCATGTCCTTTGTAGGGACATGGATGAAATTGGAAATCATCATTCTCAGTAAACTATCGCAAGGACAAAAAACCAAACACCACATGTTCTCGCTCATAGGTGGGTATTGAACAATGAGAACACATGGACACAGGAAGGGGAATATCACACTCTGGGGCCTGTTATGGGATGGGGGGAGGGGGGAGGGAAAGCATTAGGAGATATACCTAATGTAAATGACAAGTTAATGGGTGCAGCACACCAACATGGCACATGTATACATATGTAACAAACCTGCATGTTGTACACATGTACCCTAGAACTTAAAGGGTAATTTAAAAAAAAGAAAGAAATTACGGCTCAGGAGTCATGCAACTAGAGGCCAAAAGATTCCTAACCTCTCTAATTGCTCCTATGAATACCATTACAATTGTAAAACCCAAGATTGGTGTTTGAGGTATTTTTCAGAACCTGCATTCTGATGGATTATCTGATGCCACACAGACCAGTAAACTGGCTCATCTGATCTTGTGATCCCCACCCAAGAGCTGACTCTGCGCAGGAGGACAATTTCAACTTTCTGTGAGTTCATTCTTGATCCAACCAATCAGCATTCCCTGGCCCCATGCCCAGCAAACTCTCTTTAAAAAACTCTAGCCTCTGAACTTTCAGGGAAGATGATGTAAGCAATAATGAAACTTGGCCGGGTGTGGTGGCTCACGCCTGTAATCCCAGCCCTTTGGGAGGCCGAGGTGGGCAGATCACAAAGTCAGGAGTTCAAGACCAGCCTGGCCAACATAGTGAAACCCTATCTCTACTAAAAATACAAAAAATTAGCCAGGCATGGTGGTGAATGCCTGTAATCCCAGCTACTCAGGAGGCTGAGGCAGGAGAATCGCTTGAACCCAGGAGGTGGAGGTTGCAGTGAGCCGAGATCATGCCATTGTACTCCAGCCCAGGCAACAGTGCCAGAATCCGTCTCAAAAAAAAAAAAAAAAAATAGAAAAAGAAAAAACCTCCGGCCTCCCATTTAGTCAGCTCTGTGCGTATTAAACCCTTTCTCTATTGCAATTTCCTTGTCTTGATAAATAGGCTCTATCTGGGTAGTGGGTAAGATGAACTTGTTGGGCAGTTTCAAAGGTCAGAAAATGCAGATAAATACACAAAAATTAGTTGCATTTCTATGTGGTAGCAATGAACAGATGGACAACAAAATTAAAAATGCAACCCTACTTAACAATCAAGAAGTAAAGAAGAAAGACATAAATACTTAGGTATAAAACTAACACAATATGTATAGAATTTGTATGTTGAAGAAAACAAAACACTAATGAAAGAAATTAAATAAAATCTAAGGATATGGAAAGACATACTGTGCTCATGGATTTAAAGGCTCAGAATAGTATAAATATGTCAATTCTTCCCAAAGTGATATATAGATTTGATAGCTGTCCTACCAAAATCCCAGCAAGGCTTTTTTTGTAGATATAGAAAATGTTCTTTTAACATTTAAATGGAGAGCCAAAGGAAATATAGTAACTAAAACAATTTTTAAAAAGAAGAATAAAGTGGGAGGAGTCACTGTATCCTATTTCAAAACTTGCTGTACATACATTAATCAAGACTATGTAGTACTGGCAGAATAGACATGTGGATCAATGGAGCAGAATAAATAACCTAGAAATGGAAGAACCCAGAAGTAGACCCATATAAATATGCCCAACTAATTTCTGGCAAAGGCACAAAAGCGCTCCAATGGAGGAAAAATAACCTTTTCAGGAAATGGTGCTGAAGTAATTGAACATCCATAGGCAAAAAATAAAATAATAATAAATAAAAATAAAATAAAATTGAACTAAGTCTTACATTTTATATAAAAATTTACTCAAAGTGAATCATGAACTTAAATTTAAAACATAAAACTATAAAACTTTTAGAAAAATGACTTACAGGGAAGGGAGAAGGGATCAAACAAGGGCCTTGGGATTAAGGTCTGCTCAAGTTTGGAAAAGAGTTAGTTCCTTAAAAAGTTAATCATAGAGTCACCATATAGCATAGCAATTCTACTCCAAAGTATCTACACAAAAGAAACAAAACATATGTTCACACAAAAACTTGTACATGAATCTTCATAACAGCCTCATTCATTATCACCAAAAGGTATACCAACAACCAAAATGTCTATTAAATGATAAATGGATAAACAAGCTGTGGTATATCCATTAAATAGGATATTATTCAACTATATAAAGAAATAAAGTGCAGATTCATCCTACAACATGGATAAAGTTTGAAAACATTATGTTAATTAAAAACACAGGCACAAGGGTCACATATTATATGATTACATTTATATGAAATACCCAGAATAGGCAAATTCACACAGGCAGAAAGTAGATTAGTGACTATAAGAGGGCAGGAGGAAGAAAAGATGGAGAGTGACTGCTAACAGTTATGAGATTTCTTTTAGAGAAATTAAAATGTTCTAGAATTTAGTAGTAAATTCCATAGTGGTGACAACCATAAAAAATCTTAGGAATATACTGAAAAAACTGAACTGTACACTTTAAAGGGATAAATTTTGTGCTATGTAAATTATATCTAAATAAAAAAACCACATATGAAACTACTATATGACCCAGAAATTGCACTTATGAGCATTTATTCTAGAGAAATGAAACCTATATTCACACAAAAACCTGCACGCTAATGTTCATAACAGCTTTATTCCAATATCCCAAACTGAAAACAACCTGGTATCCTCCAATGGGTGAACGGTTAATCCACTCACTGTGGTACATCCATACTATGGAATACTACTGGCAATAAAATAGAAGGAACTATTGATATATGCAACCCCATGGATGAAACTCCAGAGAATTATGCCTAGTAAAGAAAGCCAATATTCAAAACTTACATACCTCATAATTCCATTTATATAACATTAGTACAATGACAAAATTGTAGAAATGGGGAGTAGATTCGTGATTGGTAGAGGTTCAGAATGGGGAAGGGAGGTGTAGGACAGAAGTGGATATGACTATAAAAGAAAAACATGTAGGATTCTTGTGGTGGTAGCAATATTTTTTCTATTGACTGTATCAATGTCGATATCCTGGTTGTAATATTATACTATAGTTTTGCAATATTTTACCATTTAGGGAAACTAGGTAAAGTATACATGAGATATCTCTATTATTTTTTACAATTGCATGCAAACCTATAATTATCCCCAAATTAAAAAGCTTAATTTTAAAAAACAAAAAAGAAATCTCTGAAGTCAGTCTCTGGAGATATTTGCCAAGTAAAATTCAGTGCAAGAATGGTAACATTCTAAAACATAACCATGACCTGCTATCTCTCTCTCTCCCTCTTCCCACCTGTCTCCCTCTCTTTCTTATGTTCATCATACTTCCACTAGAACTGGGCTAAGTGTCTGGCTAGGTCCTAGACAATAAGGTTACAAAAACAAATGAGCTGAGTCCTGTCTCCTTTAAGGAGCTGCTCATAATCTCTCTTGGAAGAAACAATTAGGCTGGACTTGGTGGCTCACGCCTGTAGTCCCATCACTTCGGGAGGCCAAGGCGGGCAGACCACTTGTGGCCAGGAGCTCAAAACCAGCCTGGCCAGCATGGTGAAACCTCTTCTCTCCAAAAAAAAAAAAAAAAGAGGGGGAACAATTGACAGGTATAAAGATTCCTTTGACCTAAGGAAAGAGATTAGTTTCTGTCATCTTGAGAGATTCATCTCCAGTTCTGGGGCAGAGAGGGGCATCCATGATATATCACTTGTTCTTGATTTTAAGGAATCTTTCAACTATTTAAACTGCATTCCCAATAGTTCATTTGATGCCAAAGAGCAAACTGTGGCAAATTCTTTTGAGCGGTTAACATTCTTTACTTATGAGCTATGCATTCTTTGCTGACAAGATTAGGAAATTTCTTTTACTGAAGTAACTTTCTGAAATGATTCCCCATTAACACGTTATCTGTCATTTTTGTTTTTATTATTTGTCGTTTTTTAAATCCACAGGCAGAACATAAAAATCTGATTATACTTTCTCTCATAATTTAGTGCTAAGTTCATATTTTAGATGGCAAAGTAGTAGATTTCATGACATGAAACCTCTGTTTGGGTTTTTATTTTGCCTCTATTTGAGGCTGCAAAAGCTCTATCTGTTTAATAATACTTTTGCATTTTTGTTTGTCTTTCTTGTCTGATTTTAAACCAAACCAGAAGAGTTTTGGGTTTTGTTTTCTTTTGTTGTTTGTCAGATTTACTGATTTCAAACTAAAAACACTATGTATTTTATTAGGATTCATTACTTATTTGTTTCAGGTCTTTTCAAAGCAGTTAACCAGTGTGGAAAGGTGGATAACTTTGGGACCAATATGCCAGGCTTATGTAATTTGAACCTGTTTTCTAATCTGTGAAATTGGAATAATGGTTAAGTCTGTAAGAATTCATTTGAACTCGAAGTTGATTGAAAATTTAAATATAAGACCTCAAACTATAAAAACTCTAGAAGAAAACCTAGGAAATGCCCTTCTCAACACTGGCCTTGGAAAGACTTCATGATGAAGACTTCAAATGCAATTTCAATAAAAACAAAAATTGATGACTGGGACCTAATTTAACTAAGAGCTTCTGCACAGCAAAATAAACTATCAACAGAGTAAACAGATAACCTACAGAATGGGAGAAAATATTTACAAACTATGCATCTGACAAAGGTCTAATATCCAGGATCTATAAACAACCTAAACAGATCGATGAGCAAAAAACAAATAATCCCTTTGAAAAAATGGGTAAAGGACGTAAACAGACACTTATCAAAAGAAGATCTATGAGTGGCCAACAAACATTTAATAGTGTTCATAATCACCAATCATCAGAGAAATGCAAATCACAACCATAATGTCTCACACCAGTCAGAATGGCTATTGTTAAAAAGTAAAAACAAACAAACAAAAAAAAACCCAGAAATATTGGCAAGACTATGGAAAAAAGGGAATGCTTATACCCCATTAGTGGGAATGTAAATTAGTTCAGCCACTGCAGAAAGCAGTTTGGAAATTTCTCAAAGAACTTAAAACAGAGCTACCATTTGACCCAGTGGTCCCATTACTAGGTATATATCCACAAGAAAATAAATCTTTCTACCAAAAAGACACATGTACTTGTATATTCACTGCAGCACTATTCACAATAGAAAAGACATGGAATCAACCTTGGTGCCTATCAATGGTGGATGAGATAAGAAAATGTGGCACATATATACCATGGAATACTACATAGCCATAAAAAGAATGAAATCATGTCCTTTACAGTAACATGGATGCAGCTGGAGGCCATAATCTTAAGCAAACTAACACAGGAACAGAAAACCAAACACCACATGTTCTCATTTATAAGTGGGAGATAAACACTGAGTACACATAGACATGAAGATGGGAATAGACACTGATGACTACTAGAGGGAAGAAGAAGGGAAGGAAGAGTGAGTTGAAAAACTACCTGTTGGGTATGATGCTCACCACCTGGGTGATAGAATCAATTGTACCCCAAACCTCAGGATCACATAGCATACTCATGTAACAAACCTGCACATACACTCCCATAACTAAAGAAAAAGTTAAAAATACTTTTAAAAATAAAAAAGATTCATGTAAAGTGTGTAGAAATATACCTAGCATTAAACTGTACTCTGTAAATCTTAGCAGTGCATATATTATCCCAGTTGCATTGCAGACATAACCATTTGGGTTATATCATTTTAGTCACGTAACAGTTAAGTAGATGCAAGGAAGGCATCTTTTTAGGAAGGAAAGCAGCTTGTCATTGCTCACAAATATCTTGACTGTAATTTTATCTAATCTTCAAAGAATCCTCTACAGGTAAATTGCACTTATAATTTTTAAAGCATTCACATCCACATAATCTGCTTTAGTTACACACACTTAAATGGTCTCTGAAGTCAGTCTGGTTCTCCATTTCACAGACATCAAAGCTATACTCAGAACAATGAAGAAGCCTGGGCGCGATGGCTCATGCCTGTAATCCCAGCACTTTGGGAGGCCGAGGCGGGCGGATCACGAGGTCAGGAGATCGAGACCATCCTGGTTAACATGGTGAAACCACGTCTCTAGTAAACATACAAAAACAAAATTAGCCAGGCGTGGTGGTGGGCACCTGTAGTCCCAGCTACTCGGGAGGATGAGGAGAAAGAATGGGTGAACCCGGGAGGTGGAGCTTGCAATGAGCTGAGATCACGCCACTACACTCCAGCCTGGGTGACAGAGTGAAACACCATCAAAAAAAAAAAAAAAGAAAGAAAGAAAGAAATGTTGTCAAGATGAGAGTCTCAAATGTGAAAGAGCTTGAACTGGAACTCTGGCACTACACCCTTCCACCACATCTCATTTATTTTGTCTAAATGAAGAATTCATGTTTTATTTTCAAAAATGAGGAATCTGAGTCTAATGAAAATATCCTTTTTTTAGTGACTTTATTTCTTATATGCCTCATCAAAGAGTGGAAATATAGTCTGTGTCTTTCAGAATTTTATCTGGTCAAACCTGCTTGAGATGTTCTCTCTCCTTTGTATATGCAGCTTGGTTATTTTGTCTTTTAAGATACAGCTAAATGTCTCCATCTTCCATAAAGGCCGCCTTAATCATCCTAATCTGAACTTGTACTACTCTTTTGTCTATCCAACTAGCTGGGCATTTACCCTATGCTTCATTTTACTGGGTATTTACTCTATGCTTCCCATTATGTAAATTGTTATACATCTTTTTGTGGTCATGCCTGTCCCTTCAATTTGACTATTAATGTCCTTGTGCACAAGGATCTGTGCATAGCATAGTACTTGGTTCAAACAGGTGTATAGTTCTTTGATGATGATGATGATGATACTGATGATAGTGATAATGGTGACAATAATGATATTATCTACTATAACCTCTCCATTGGTATTCTCACCATGGCTGTGATCCTGGAAAGCAATACTTAATTGGTTGGTCACAGATCATTCATATATTCACCTGTGTTCATTAATTTGACCAATATCGTCTGAGACTACGCTATTTGCCAGTCCCTATCTACACACCAGTGTTAGGAAGACAAAGAAGCCCTAAATTCAGGGACTTACATCCTAATGGAAAAGACAGACTTGAAAAATAAGCATAATAGTATATTTCAGGTGATATAATAGAAATATTACTGAGATGGCAAAAATGAGGGAAACAGTTCTGAGTTATTTACGGAGAGAGAGGTGGGTTCAAGAAAATCTTCAAAGAGGAGGTAGAATTTGAGCCAAGTATTTAAAGGTGAGTAAGTGGAACAAACTTACTAATGTCTGCTTTTGGAACTTACTAATTTTCTGCTGTTGGAAGCAAATATGCCCCAAGCAAGTATGCTTAAAAGACCACTCGTTTAAAGTGCCTGAAGCTAAAACAGAACTGGAGATTTTTGACATTCAACTACTGGAGTAGGAGGTAATGGGATGATCTACTTTAAAGAAACAAATTATCTGTTATTTGGAGAAGTTACTGTGAAATGAGTTGGAATTGCGTCGAGATTATTGTGGCCTGCTTTTTTAGAAGAGGGGTTTTGTCTATGCCACTGTGTGGGATTCTAAAGAGCTCATAAAGAAAAATAGATTTGCTTTGCATTGGAGACTTTCAGATACATAGTGTATAGATTGGTTTCATTCTACACTAGTAAGCAAAATCTCCATATAATTAACACTTTGTCTGAGCAGAGTGGCTCATGTCTATAATCCCAACACTTTAGGAGGCTGAGTAGGGAGGATCGTTTGAGGCCAGAAATTCAAGACCAGCCTGGGTACCATAGCAAGACCACATCTCTAGAAAAAAATTAAAAACTTATCTGGACTTGGTGGCTCAAGCCTGTGGTCCTAGCTACTTGGGAGGCTGAGGTGGGAGGGTTCCTAGAGCCCAGGAGTTTGAGGCTGCAGTGAGCTATGGTTGCAGCACTGTACTGCAGCCTGGGTGACAGAGCAAGACTCTGTTAAAAAAAAAAAAAAAAAAAAGATATTTTATTCAACATATATTTGTTGAGCACCTATTCTGTGCCAGGTACTATTACAGCAGCTAAAGCTCCAGCAATGAACAAAACAAATAAAAATAATTGCCCTCCTAAAGTTTATATTCCAGTAGGAATTAATTGACAGTAAGAAAATAGATAATTTACAGTACGTTAGAAAGTGAAAGTGCTATAGAGAAAAGTAAAAAGTAGGTAAAGAGTATCAGATAGGAAGCATTTTTCAAGTTGCATTTTTAAGTAGATTGATTAGGAAAGGTCCCACTCAGAAGGGAGGAATCAACCCCAAATTTGAAAGGGATGAGAGTTCAAGCAACGTAAATATCTGGGAGAAGAGAACTCCAGACTGAGTAAAGAGCATGTACAAATGCCCTGATGTGGGAGTATGCTTGGCACAGTTCAGAAAAAAAATAAATAAGGAGGCCAATGTGGCTGGAATGTAGATGAGGGGAAAATATGAGGTTATCAAGGTAACTAGGGGACAGATTGTGCAGAACTTTTACGTTGTTGTAGGTATGCCGGATTTCACTCTGAGTAAGATGGGGAATCATCGGAACTTTAAAGCATGTTCTGTCTTATGTCTCAATGTGATGACTCAGGCTGCTTTATTGAGTGATGAAGAGCAAGGATAGAATCAGAGAGAACAGTTAGAAGATGTTTTTCAATAATTTAGTTGAGAAATAGTGTGGCTTGGTCCAGAATGGTAGCAATGGTAGGCAGTAATGAGAAGAGGCCAGAATATGAATGTAGTTTGAAAGGAAAGTCAATAGGATTTGTTAATGGATTAGATATATGGTAGCAGAGAAAGGAAAAAGTAAAGAATTGACTCCAAGGTTTTGACCTGATTTACTACTTGCTATTATCAAAGTGGGGAAGACTATGGAAGAAGCAACTTCTGAGATAAGATGAGATTTTGGACCTGTTATATTTGGGATATATTTATTGGACATTCAAGTAGAAATGTTGAGTAGCAAATGGATTTATGAGACAGAAGTTACGGGAGAAATCTAAGACATATTTCTTTTTCATTTTAGAGACAGGATCTATCTCTATTGTCCATGATGGAGTGCAGTGGCACAATCATGGCTCACTGCAATCTCAAACTCTTGGCCTCAAGCAATACTCCCACCTCAGCCTCCCAAATAGCTGGGACCACAGGCATGTGCCATTACACCAGACTACTTTTATTTTTAATTTTGTAGAGATGGGGTTTTGCTATGCTTCCCAGGCTCAGCCATACATTTTTGAGTCATTGACATGAAGACGGTGTCTAAAGTCATGAGCTTGGAAGAGATCACTGATTAAACAAGCTTAAGTAGAGAAGAGAGTCCTGGGGTGTCTCACCATTTTGAGGTTGTGAATATGATGAGGAACCAGCAAGGGAGTCTGATAAAAAGTATCCAGTGAGGTAGGAGGAAAAGCAGAAGTGTGTGGTGTTCTGGAAGCCAAGCAAAAAGAAGTTACAGAGGGAGCAATCAGCTGCATGAGTAATGAATCTTTGTACTTAACAAAATGATAATCATTAGTAACCTGACAGGAAGAGTGTTCAGTATGAAGTTGTATTAGTCCCTTCTCACACTGCTATAAAAAACTACCTGAGACTGGGTAATTTATGAAGAAAAGAGGATTAATTGACTCACAGTTTCACAGGCTGTATTGGAAACGTGGCTGGGAGGCTTCAGGAAACTTACAATCATGACGAAAGGGCGAAGGGGAAGCAAGCACCCTCATCACCTGGCAGCAGGAGAGAGAGGGAGTGCAGGGGAAAGCACTACACACTCTATCACAAGAACAGCAAAGGCTAAGTCTGCCCCCATGATTCAATCACCTCCCACCAGGCCCCTCCTTCAACACATGGGGATTACAATTCAACATGAGATTTGGATGGGAACACAGAGCCAAACCATATCAGGAGTAAAGGGGAAGAAAACCTGAATAGATTGCGTTTAAGAGAGAATGAGAGCAGAGAAATTGGAGACAGTGAGTATACACAACTCTTTTAACCAGTTTTCTTTAAAGAAATCAGATAAATGGAATTAAAGTTAGAAAGCATAATATTGGTTGTTTCATGTGTTTGTTTTTAAGATAACCTTATCCTGAATATTATATTTTTTATAATATAAAAATATTATATCCCAAAAATCTGTAATTTCATTTTCTTTATTGAAAGAGTAAAAACTATATGCAGAGTAGAGACAGATAAAAATATGGGTACCTATAAGTCACTGGGTTCATCGGTAAAAAATTTAACATTGTAAGGGATTGAATTCCTTTGGAATAATTTTATTCTTAATTTAGCCAAGGTTGAAATTGACCAAAATGTAGCCTGCAAATTGACAATCAAAGTGGAGACTCAGCAGTGATTAGCCAGGTTGATTTTACTCTTAGTAAACATTGTCAGCTTAGGGATAATACTATAATAATTTGGTGGCCAAGCTATGAAATTTTGATCATTTAAGACTTCACATTTAATTTAAGAATTATGCTTGGAAGAATCACAAAATAGAGGGCTAAAAGTAACTTTGAAGAGGATTTAATTTAACGTGCATGTTTTATTAATTGGTAACTCGAACCCTGAAAATTAAAATGACATGCCTGAAGTCACAAAGCCAGCCAAGACTAGAACTCAGAACTCAGTTCTTATGATACCCAGAAAAAGGGCCCATTCTAATGTCTCAGGTTCATTCCAATCTTGGATGATACCCTATTGATGCCTAACAGCAGCCACACATGTATCAATATACATGGCAATTTTTCATAAAAAATAAACATTTAAAAATGTGCTGATTTAGCTGGTAAATACTGAAGTCCACATCTTCTATTGCTTGCCCCTTCAGTCTGCAGCTGAAATAAGGAATTAATGGCCAGGGGCTCTCAGTTTCATTCAGTATGTACATATAGATCATCTTCTGTATGCCAAGAGGCATCTAAGAGGAATATGAGGAATTTTGTACTTTCTTAGGGCTTATGTCACCTGAGGACAGGAGAAGGAAGAAGGGGACTGGAAATTATGGGTACAGATTGCACCTTCATGTGCAATCCCTCCTGAATCTCACCACAGTTAGGTGGAATAGGGATAGTCATTCCCTTTTCATAGATAAGGAAACTGAGATTAAGCAAGGTTAATGGAGTTGCTCAACATCAAAGCTTTCCAATACAAACCTTACTGAATGTAGGGATCATGCAATTTCCAGGCTTACTCAATGGGGAACTGGAGCCTAATACTCTATAAGGTCAGGGTAGGGGACTCTCCTCTGGGAAACTATGGTTTGGAGGAAATAAAAAGAAAGGGTGAAGAAAGAATTATCATACAACAGAAGATTCAGTATCTTGAATGTGTCTTCACTTAGTAGTCCAAAAAAGGAGTGATACGATGTCTTCTGCCTGCCTGAGTAGAGTGGGAGAAAGAGGGAATGGAAAGGCCTGACAGTTACTCGGTGGGATTGTTTCTATCCTAGAAACTGTGAACTAATTTTCATGATGCCACAAAATTGCATAGACATTTTTAAAGAAGTTGGTGATGAATTTTACACTGAGAAACCTAGAATGTGGCGACATTGCTCTATCTTTGGAAAAGTTAGATTTCAGTAACATGAAGAGAAATGGATTCAAATAAATGAACTTCAAATTCAGTAGTGGAAAACAGACTGGATTCAGAATCAACATTACCTAGATTTTGGTCCTACCTTTGCCACTTACTAGCCCTGGGACAAACGGCAAGTCACTTAAGCAGGACTCTGAGTCCTAGTTTCTTCATCTTTAAACTGGATATTAATGATAAGTTCTGCCTCACATAGTCCTTGAGAAGAACAAATAAGATAATGCATATAAAAGTGGTTTAAAAAGTCTTCAGTGTCATACAAATCTTAGTTATCATTCTTATATGCATTCTTACATTTTTTATTTCAATAATCTGGGGATTACAGGTGGTTTTTGGTGACATGGATGAGTACTTTCCTGGTGATTTCTGAGATTTTAGTGTATGCATCATCTGAGCAGTGTAGACTGTACCCAGTATGTAGTCTTATGTCCCTTACCCCTCTCTTAACCTCTCACCACCAGGTCCCTAAAGTCCATTATATCACTCTATATGTCTTTGTGTCCTCATAGCTTAACTCCCACTTATAAGTGAGAACATACAGTATTTGGTTTTTCCTTCTTGAGTTACTTCACTTAGAATAAAGAAGTAATAATGAAGAATAATCTGGGGATTACAGGTGGTTCAGGTGGTTTTTGGTTACATGGATGAGTACTTTCCTGGTGTTTTCTGAGATTTTAGTGCATGCATCACCTGAGCAGTGTAGACTGTACCCAGTATGTAGTCTTATGTCCCTTACACCTCTCTTAACCTCTCACCACCAAGTCCCTAAAGTCCATTATGTCATTCTATATTTCTTTGTGTCCTCATAGCTTAACTCCCACTTATCAGTGAGAACATACAGTATTTGGTTTTTCATTCTTATTTCACTTAGAATAATGAAGTGAAATGAGTTACTCTAAGTGAAAAAACTCAAGAATGAAAAACAAAATACTGTATGTTCTCACTTATAAGTGGGAGTTTCACTTAGAATAATGAAGTGAAATAACTCAAGAATGAAAAACCAAATACTGTATGTTCTCACTTATAAGTGGGAGTCAAGCTATGAGGACACAAAGACATATAGAGAGATATAATGGACTTAGGACATGGATGAAGCTGGAAACCATCATTCTCAGCAAACTCGCAATGACAAAAAACCAAACACCGCATGTTCTCACTCATAGGTGGGAAGTGAACAATGAGAACACTTGGACACAGGAAGGGGAACATAACACACCGGGGCCTGTTGCGGGCTTGGGGGAAGGAGGAGGGATAGCATTAGGAAATATACCTAATGTAAATGATGAGTTAATGGGTGCAGCACACCAACATGGCACATGTGTACATATGTAACAAACCTGCATGTTGTGCACATGTACCCTGGGACTTAAAGTATAATAAATATATATATATATATATATACACACACATATATATACATATATATATATACACATATATATACATATATATATACACATATATACACATATATATACACGTGTATATATATACACGTGTATATATATACACACACATGTATATATATACACACATGTGTATATATATACATGTATATATATACACGTATATATATACATGTGTATATATATATACACGTATATATATACATGTGTATATATATATACACGTATATATATACATGTGTATATATATATACACGTATATATATACATGTGTATATATATATACACGTATATATATATATACATATATATATATATATATATATATATATAAAGAATAATGACCTCCAGCTCCATCCAAGTTGCTGCAAAAGCCATTATTTCATTTCTTTTTACAACTGAGTATTATTTCAGGATGTATATATACCACATTTCCTTTATTCAATGGTTGGTTGATGGGCACTTAGATTGGTTCCATATCTTCGCAATTGTGAATTTTGCTGCTATAAACATGCATGAGCATGTGTCTTTTTCATATAATGACTTCTTTTCCTTTGGGTGGATACTCACCAATGGGAATGCTGGATTGAATGGTAGATCTACTTTTAGTTCTATAAGGAATCTCCATACTGTTTTCATAGTGGTTATACTAATTTACATTCACACCAGCAGTGTAAAAGTGTTTCCTTTCACCACATCCCTGCCAACATCTATTGTTCTTTTTTTTTTTTTTGGCTTTTTAATTACAGCCATTCTTGCAGGAGTAAGGTGATATCTCATTATGGTTTTAATTTGCATTTCCTTGATTATTAGTAATGTTGACCATTTTTCATATTTGTTGGCTGTCTGTATATCCTCTTGTGAGAAATTTCTATTCATGCCCTTTGCCCACTTTTTGATGGGGTTATTTGTTCATTTCTTGCTGATTTGAATTCCTTGTTGATTCTAGATACTAGTCCTTTGTCAGATGTGTAGCTTGGGAATATTTTCACACACTCCATGGATTGTCTATTTACTGATTATTTCTTTTGCTGTGCAGCAGTGTTTTGGTTTAATTAGGTCCCATTTATTTATTTTTATTTTTGTTGCATTTGCTTTTAGGGGCTTAGTCATGAATTCTTTGCCTAGGCCAATATCTAGAAGAGTTTTTCTAATGTTATCTTCTAGGAATTTTATGGTTTCAGTCCTTATATTTAAGTTTTTGATCCACCTTGAGTTGATTTTTGTATAAGGTGAGAAATAAGGATCCAGTTTCATTCTTCTATATGTGGCTTGCCAGTCTTCTCAGCACCATTTATTGAATAGGGTGCCCTTTCCTCAGTTGATGTTTTTGTATGTTTTGTTGAAGAGCAGTGGCTCTAAGTATTTGGCTTTGTTTCTGGGCTCTCTATTCTGTTCCATTAGTCTATGTGCCTATATTTATACTGGTACCATACTGTTTTGGTAAGTATAGTCTTGCAGTATAGTTTGAAGTTGGATAAGGTGATGCCTCCAGATTTGTTCTTTTTGCTTAGTCTTGCTTTGGCTATGTGGGCTCTTTTTGGTTCCATATGAATTTTAGGATTGTTCTTTCTAGTTCTGTGAAAAATGATGATGGTATTTTGATGGAAATCACATTGAGTCTAGATTGCTTTTGACAGTATGGTCATTTTCACCATGTTGCTGCTTCCTATCTATGAGCATGGGATGTGTTTCCATTTGTTTGTGTCACTTACAATTTCCTTCAGTAGTGTTTAGTGTTGTCTAGTTTTCCTTATAGCACTCTTTTAACTCCCTGGGTAAGTGTATTTGTAGATATTTAATTTTGTTTGCAGCTGTAGTAAAACACATTATGTTCTTGATTTGATTGTCATCTTGCTTTTTGTTGGTGTATAGCAATGCTATTGATTCATGTACCTTGATTTTGTAGCCTGAGACTTTACTGAATTAATGTATCAGATCTAGGAGCCCTTTGGATGAGTCTTTAGGGTTTTCTAATTATATGTTCATATCATTAGTGAACAGCGACAGTTTGACTTACTCTTTTCCAATTTGGATGCCCTTTTTTTTTCTCTTGTCTAATTCCTCCAACTAGGACTTCCAGTACTATGTTGAATAGAAGTGATAAAAGTGGGCATCCTTGTCTTCTTGCAGTTTTCAATAGGAATGCTTTCAAATTTTCCCCATCCAGCATAATGTGGGCTACAGATTTGTCAAAATATGGTTTTTATTACTTTGATGTAAGTCCCTTTTATGCCAATTTTGTTGAGGATTTTTTATCATAAAGAGATGCTGGATTTTATCAAATGCTTTTCTGCATCTATTGAGATGATCATATGGTTTTTATTTTTAATTCTGCTTATGTGATGTATCACATTTACTGATTTGTGTGTGTTAAATCATCCCTGCATCCCTGGAATGAAACCCACTTGATCATGATGTATTATCTTTTTGATGTGCTGTTGGATTTGGTTAGCTAATATTTTGTTGAGGATTTTTGCTGTATGTTCATCAGGGATATTGGTCTATAGTTTTATTTATTTATTTTTTGTTATGTCCTTTCCTGATTTTGGTATTAGGGTGATAGTGGCTTCATAAAATGATTTGCAGAGGATTCCCTCTCTCTCTATCTTTTGGAATAGTGTCAACAGGATTGGTACCAGTTCTTCTCTAAATGTTTTGGTAGAATTCAGCTGTGAATCCATCTGGTCCTGACCTTTTTTTGTCGGCTTTTTTTTTTTTTAATTACTGATTCAGTGTCATTGCTTATTGTTTGTCTGTTTGTTCCAGATTTCATCTAGGAGTGTTTTATGTTTCCAGGAATTTATCCATTTCCTCTAGATTTTCTAGTTTGTGCATATAAACGTGTAAACAATAGCCTTGAAAAATCTTTTGTATTTTTGTGGTATCAGTTGTAATATGTCCAGTTTCATTTCTAATTGAGCTTATTTGGATCTTCTCTCTTTTCTTGGTTGATCCTGCTAATGGTCTACTAATTTTGTTTATCTTTTCAAAGACCAACATTTTATTTTATTTTTTATTTTTTTTGTTTCAATTTCATTAAGTTCTGCTCTGATCTTTGTTATTTTCTGCTGGCTTTGGGTTTTATTTGTTCTTGTTTCTCTAGTTC
Source organism: Homo sapiens (assembly GCF_000001405.40). Lineage (NCBI taxonomy): Eukaryota > Metazoa > Chordata > Mammalia > Primates > Hominidae > Homo > Homo sapiens. The sequence goes on from NC_000011.10 coordinate 109,560,156, forward strand.
TTTGAGGTATGACATTAGGTTGTCAATTTATGCTCTTTCAGACTTTTTGATGTAGGCATTTAACACTGTGAACTTTAGCACTCTCAGCACTGCTTTTGCTGTATCCCAGGGGTTTTGAAAATTTCTGTCACTATTATCATTATTATTATCACTATATTTATCACTATATTATCACTATCATTTCAAAGAATTTTTTAATTTCCCTTTTAATTTCATTGTTAACCCCAAAATCATTCAATAGCAGATTATTTAATTTCCATGTATTTGTATAGTTTTGAGGGTTCCTTTCGGAGTTGATTTTCAGCTTTATTCTACTGTATTCTGAGAAGATACTTGATATGATTTTAATTTTCTTAAATTTATTGGGACATGTTTTGTGGCCTATCATAAGGTCTATTTTGGAGAATGTTCCATGTGCTGATGAGAAGAATGTATATTGTACAGTTGTTGGGAAGAATGTTCTGTAAATATCTGTGATGTCCATTTGTTCTAGGGTATAGTTTCATTCCATTGTTTCTTTGTTGATTTTCATTCTTGATCTGTCTAGTGCTGTCAGTGGAGTATTGAAGTCCACCACTATTATTGTGTTGCCGTCTAATGTTTTAGGTCTAGTAGTAATTACTATATAAATCTGGAAACTCTAGTGTTACGTGCATATAAATTTAGGATTGTAATATCTTCTTGTTGGATTGATTCTTTTAGCATTAAATAATGGCCTTCTTTGTATTTTTTTTACTGTTGTTGCTTCAAAGTCTGTTTTGGTTGGTATAAGAATAGCTATTCCTGCTCACTTTTGTTTTCCATTTGCATGAGATACCTTTTTCCATCCTTTTACCTTGAGTTTATATGAACCCTTATGTGTTAGGTGAGTTTCTTGAAGTCACCAGATATTTGGTTGGTAGGTTTTTAAAATCCATTCTGCCATTCTGTATCTTTTAAGTGGATCATTTAGGCCATTTACAGTCAGTGTTAATTTTGAGATATGAGGTAGTGTTCTATTCATCATGTTAGTTGTTACCTACTTTGTTTTTTCATTGTGTTATTGTCTTATAGGCCCTGTGAATTATCTACTTTCAGAAGGTTCTATTTTGGTGAATACCAAGCTTTTGTTTCAAGATTAAGAACTCCTTTTAGCAATTCTTGTAGTGCTGGTTTGATAGTGGCAAATTCCCTCAGTGCTTGTTTGTCTAAAAAAGAATTTATCACTCCTTTATTTATGAAACTTAATTTTACTGGATACCAAATTTTTGACTGACAATTGTTCTGTTTAAGGAAGCTAAAGATAGGACACCAGTTCCTCTAGCTTGTAAGGTTTCTGCTGAGAGGTTTGCTGTTAGTCTGATAGGTTTTTCTTATATGTTATCTGATGGTTTTGTCTCACAGTGCATATATACACATATACACGATATATATACATACACACATATGTATATATGCATATATACACATATACATATATACACATATACATATACACATATACGCATATATACGTATACGTGTATATGTGTATATATGCATATATACATATACTCACATGTATATATCATTCAGTATACACGTATATACATATATACATATATATACACATAACGTTTTATTTACTCACTGATAGGCATTTGGGCTGGTTCCATATTTTTGCAGTTGCAAGTTGTGCTGCTATAAACATGCATGAGCATGTGTCTTTTTTATATAATGACTTCTTTTTATATAATTACTTCTTTTTCTCTGGGTAGATGCCCAGTAGTGGGATTGCTGGATCAAATGATAGGTCTACTTTTAGTTCTTTAAGGAATCTCCACGCTGTTTTTGATAGCGTTTATACTAATTTACATTCACGCCAGCATGTAAAGTTGTTCCCTTTTCACAATACCCATGCCAACATTTGTTTTTTTGATTATGGCCATTATTGCAGGAGTAACATGGTATCGCATTGTAGTATACGTATGTAACAAACCTGCATGTTGTGCACATGTACCCTAGAACTTGATTTGCATTTCCCTGATAATTAGTGATGTTGAGCATTTTTTTTCATGTTTGTTGGCCATTTGTATATCTTCTTTAGAGAATTGTGTATTCATGTCCTTAGCCCACTTTTTGATGGGATTGTTTGTTTCTTTCTTGCTGATTTGAGTTTCTTGTAGATTCTGGATATTAGTTCTTTGTCATATGCATAGTTTGCAAAAATTTTTCTCCCACTCTGTGGGTTGTCTGTTTACTATTTTTTTCTTTTGCTGTGTAAAAACTTTTCCATTTAATTAGGTCCCACTTATTTATTTTTGTTTTTGTTGCATTTGATTTTGGGGGCTTAGTCATGATTTCTTTGCCAAGCCAATGTCTAGAAGGCCTTTTTCTGTTATCCTCTACAATTTTTATGGTTTCAGGTCTTATTAGATTTAAGTCTTTTATTCATCTTGAGTTGATTTTTGTGTAAGGTAAGACATGAGGATCCAGTTTCATTCCTCTGCATCTGGCTTACCAATTATCCCAGCACCATTTGTTGAATAGGGTGTCCTTTCCCCAACTTATGTTTTTGTTTGCTTTGTCAAAGATCATTGGCTGTTAAGTATGCAGCTTTATTTCTATGGTTTCTATTCTGTTCCATTGCTTTATGTGCCTATTTTTATGCCAATACCATGCTATTTTGGTAACAATAGTTTCATAGTATAGTTTGAGGTCAGGTAATGTGATAACTCCAAATTTGTTCTTTTTGCTTAGCCTCACACTTTGGCTATGTGGGCTCTTATTTGGGTTCATATGTATTTTAGGCTTTTTTCTAGTTCTGTGAAGAATAATGGTATTTTGATAGGAATTGCATTAAATTTATAGATTGCTTTTGGCAGTATGATCATTTTCACAACATTGATTCTACCCATCCATGAGCATGGGATGTGTTTCCATTTTTTTGTGTTGTCTGGTTTTTGTTTTGTTTTGTTTTTGCAGTGTTTTACAGTTTTTCTTATAGAGATCTTTTACCTCCTTGGTTAAATATATTCCTAACTATTTTATATCTTTATTATTTATTATTTATTTTTGGAGCTATCATAAAAGGGGTTGAGTTCTTGACTTGATTCTCAGCTTGTTTGCTGTTGGTGTATAGCAGAGCTACTGATTTGTGTAGGTTGATGGTGTATCCTGAAATTTTACTGAATTCACTTACCAGTTCTGGGAGCTTTTTGAATAAGTCTTTAGGGTTTTCTATGTATATAATCATACCATTGGTGAACAGTGACAGTTTGATTTTCTCTTTGCTTATTCAGATACTCTTTATTTCTTTCTCTTGTCTAATTGCTCTGGCTAGGACTTCCAGTACAAGTTGAATAGAAGTGGTGACAGTGGGTATCTTTGTCTTATTCCAGTTCTCAGGGGGAATGCTTTCAACTTTTCCCCAATCAGTAAAATTCTGACTGTGGGTTTGTCAAATATGACTTTTATTACCTTAAGATATGCCCCTTCTATGTGGCTTTTGCTGAGGGTTTTAATCATAAAGGGATGCTGAATTTTGTCAAAATTTTTTGCATCTATTGAGATGATCATGTGATTTTTATTTTTAATTCTGTTTATGTGGTGTATCACATTTATTGACTTGCGTATATTAGACCATCCCTGCATCCCTGGTATAAAACTCACTTGATTTTTGCATCTGTGTTCATCAGGGATATTGCTCTGTAGTTTTTATTTTTTTAATGTCCTTTCCTGGTTTTACCATTAGGGTGATACCGGCTACACTGAATCATTTAGGATGGATTCCCTCTTTATCTTTTGGAATACTGTCAGTAGGATTAGTACCACTTCTTCTTTGAATGTATGATAGACTTCAGCTGTGAATCTGCCTGGTCCTGTACTTTTTTATTGGCCATTTTTTTAAATTACCATTTCAATCTCAATGTTTGTTATCAGTCTGTTCAGAGATTCTGTATCTTCCTGGTTTAATCTAAGGGGTTTGTATATTTCCAAAAATTTACACACCTCCTCTAGGTTTTCTAGTTTATGTGTGTAACAGTGTTCATAGTAACCTTGAATAATCTTTTGTATTTCTGTGGCATTAGTTGTAATATCCCCTGTTTCATTTCTAATTGTGCTTATTTGGATCTTCTCTCTTCTTTTCTTGGTTAATGTCACTAATGATCTATCAATTTTATTTAATTTTTCAAAGAACCAGCTTTTCATTTCACTTATCTTTTCTGGGTTTTTCTTTTTGGTTTCAATTTCATTTAGTTCTGATCTGATCTTGGTTATTTCTTTTCTTCTGCTGGGTTTGGGTTTCGATTGTTCTTGTTTCTCTAGTTTCATGAGGTGTGACCTTAGATTGTCTATTTATGTTGTTTCAAACTTTTTGATGTAGGCTTTTAATGCTAGGAACTTTCTTTTAGCACTACATTTGATGTATCCTGGAGGTTTTGATAGGTTATGTCATTATGAATTTTTAAATTTCCATCTTGATTTCATTGTTGACCCAGCAGTCATTTAGCAGCAGATTATTTAATTTCCATGTATTTGTATAGTTTTGAGGGCTTCTTTTGGAGTTGATTTCCAGCTTTATTCCACTGTGGTTTGAGAGAATACTTGATATAATTTTAATTTTTTTAAATTTATTGAGACTTGTTTTGTGGCCTGTCACATGGTCTGTCTTGGAGAATGTTCCATGTGCTGATGAATAGAATGTATATTCTGCAGTTGTTGGGTAGAATGTTCTGTAAATATTTGTTAAATCCACTTGTTCTAGGGTTTAGTTTAAGTCTACTGTTTCTTTGTTGACTTTGTATTGATGACCTGTCTAGTGCTGTCAGTGGAGTATTGATGTCCTCACTATTATTGTGTTGCCATCTGTCTCATTTCTTACGTTTGGTAATAATTGTTTTATAAATTTGGGAGCTTCAGTGTTAGGTGCATATATTTAGGATTGTGATATTTTCCTGTTGGACCAGACCTTTTATCATTGTATAACGTCCTTGTCTTTTTTAACTGTTGTTGCTTTAAAGTTTGTTTTGTCTGATACAAGAATAGCAACTCCTGCTCACTTTTGGTGTCCATTTGCATGGAATATCTTTTTCCACCATTTTACCTTAAGTTTATGTGAGTCCTTATGTGTTAGGTAAGTCTCTTGAAGACAGCAGATACTTGCTTGGTGAATTCTTATCCATTCTACCATTCTGTATCTTTTAAGTGGAATATTCAGGCCGTTTATATTCAGCATTAGTATTGAGATGTGAGGCACTATTCTATTCATCATGCTAGTTGTTGTCTGAATAATTTGTGCTTTTTTCATTATTTTATTGTTTTATAGGTTCTGTGAGATTTATGCCCTAAGGAGATTCTATGTTGGTGCATTTTGAGATATTTTTTCAAGATTTAGGACTCCTCTTAGCAGTTCTTGTAGTGCTGTCTTGATGGTGATGAATTCCTTCAGCATTTGTTTGTCTGGAAAAGGCTGTATCTTTCCTTCATTTATGAAATTTAGTTTTGCTGGATATAAAATTCTTGGCTAATAATTGTTTTGTTTAAGGAGGTTAAAGATAGGACCCCAATCCCTTCTAGCCTGTAGGGTTTCTGCTGAGAAATCTGCTGTTAATCTGATACGTTTTCCTTTATAGATTACCTGATACTTTTGCCTCACAGCTCTTAAGATTCTTTCATTTCTCTTGACTTTAGATAATCTGATGACTATGTGCCTAGGCAATGACCTTTCTGTGATAAATTTCCTGGGTGTTCTTCCAGCTTCTTGTATTTGGATGTCTACATCTCTAGCAAGGCCGGGGAAGCTTTCCTCAATTATTTCTTCAAATATATTTTCCAAATGTTTAGATTTCTATTCTTCCTTGGGAACATCAATTATTCTTAGGTTTGGTTGTAATAATCCCAAACTTCTTGGAGGCTTAGTTCATTTTTTAAAATTCTTTTTTCTTTGCTTTATGAGGTTAATTTGAAAGCCTTGTCTTTGAATTCTGAAGTTGTTTCTTCTACTTGTTCAATTCTATTGTCGAGACTTTCCAGTGTATTTTGTATTTCTCTAAGTATGTCCTTCATCTCCAGAACTTATGATTATTTTTTATTTCTGCTGTCAATTTCTCTGGTGATTTTTCTATCCATACCGTATAACATTTTAAAAATTTCTTTAAGTTCGTATTCACCTTTCTCTGGTGCCTCCTTGATTAGCTTAATAATTGATCTTCTGAATTGTTTTTCTCGCAATTCAGATATTTATTCTTGATTTGGGTCTATTGCTGTGATGTTATCCATCTTCAGGTCTCTCAGCTGTGGATACCAGCACTTGCTCCGGTCAAGGTAGCAAGGGGAGTAAAGTGGACCCTGTGAGAGTCCTTGGTTGTAGTTTTGTTTAGTGTACTGGTTTTCTCGAATGCTGGTTGTGCTGGCAGTAAAGATGTCATGTGGAAAGACTCAGGACCTCTGGGTAGCCAGGATGTTACAGGTGGTGGAATAAGCTGTCGTTTTCTCTTTTCTTGGGACAGGTTTGTTTTTTTATGAGTTGCTATAATGGTTTGTGTTGGTTGGCCTCCAGCCAGGAGGTGGCACTTTCAAGAGCACATGAGCTGCAGTAGTGTAGGGAGGATATATGCTTGCCCTAGGGTCTCCTGGATAAGTATCAGTTTTCTCAAGTGATGGGCAGGGCCACAGAGCTCCCAAGAGATTATGACTTTTTATTTTATTTTATTTTATTTTATTTTATTTTATTTTATTTTATTTTATTTTATTTTATTTTATTTTATTTTATTTTATTTGAGACAGAGTTGCACTCTGTTGCTCAGGCTGGAGTGCAGTGGTGCAATCTTGGCTCAAGGCAACCTCTGCCTCCCAGATTCAAGCAGTTCTTGTGCCTCAGCCTCCTGAGTAGATGGGATTACAGTTGTGCGCCACCACTCCCAGGTAATCTTTGTGTTTTTAGTAGAGACGGAGTTTCACCATGTTGGCCAGGCTGGTCTCTGGCTCCTGGCCTCAAGTGATCCACCTGCCTCAACCTCCCAAAGTGCTGGGATTATAAGCGTGAGCCACCATTCCCGGCCTGCTACCAGGATGAGTAGAGAAAGATCATCAGATGGAGGCAGGGTTAGGTGCAGCTGAGCTCACACTCTCCTTGGGTGGGGCTTCCTGTGGCTGCTGTAGGGTATAGAAGTGTGGTTCTCAGGCTGATGGAATTACGTTCCCAGGAAGAATATGGCTGCCTCTGATGCATCATTTAGGTTTCCAGGGACGAGCAGGGAAAGCCGGCAGTGACAGTTATCACCCAGCTCCCACGCAGCCAGCAAGGATAGTACTACTTTAGCCCACCATGCTCCCCAACAGCACCGAGTTTATATTGAGGCAGCCGGTGAGTGGGGCTGGGAACTTGCCCCAGGTTACAAGCCTCCCTGCAGAGAAGGCCAGCAGGGTTTTCAGGCCCTGCTCCTCCCAGCCATGGTTTCTGTGGTCCTTTGTGCGCCAACCCCGGATTCTGCCCTGGAAAATTCACACTCAGTCGAAATCACTGCAAAGTTCAGCTGGAAGTTTCCTTCTCCCTGTGGTCTATTCCCAAATCAGCTGGCAGCCCACCCCAAGGACCCCTGTGAGATAAAGTCAGAAATGGGTTCCCTGGGGGCTGGGAGTGCCTTCAGGGCTCTTCCCGCTGCTTCTTCTACTTTTATATTTGCTTCGCTCTCTAAATTCACCTCAGCTTTAGGCAAGGTTAAAACCTTCTCCGATGATCTGGATTTTCAGTCTTCCTGGTGAGGATGTGTGTTTGTAGGCAGACTTTCCCTCTCACACTTTGGGTACTCATAGTTTTTTGGCTGTCTCTCAGAGAATTTGCAGCAGCAAGTCACTTCTTTCAAAGGGTCTGTGAAGTTTTTCAGTTTTCCTGGTATGTTCCTGCATTAATTCTTGGAGCAAAAGTTCACGATGTGAGTCTTCACAAACTGTTCTGTCTGTCCAAGTGGGAGCTGCAAGTCAGTCCTTCCTCCCATCCGCCATCTTCTTGTCAAAACTTGCCATTGCATTTTGCATTTTCTTATGCATGTCTTTCATTTCCAGAAGTTCTGATTGGGTTTTCTTTATGATATCTCTCTAGAAAATTTTACATTCATATCCTGAATTTTTCTTTTAATTTCTTTATATTGGTTTTCACATTTCTCTGGTATCTCCTTCAGTAGCTTAGTAATCAACTTTCTGAATTCCTTATCTGGTATTTCCAAGATTTCATCTTGTTTTAGAACAACTAGGGAGCTAGTGTGATCTTTTGTGGGTGTTATAGAAACCTGTTTTGTCATATTACCAGAATTACTTTTCTGGTTTCTTCTTATTTGGGTAAACAATTTCTTCAAATAGTTCTTGAATTAATTTTGATTTGACTGTGTCTTTTTTAAATTTTGTTTTTTCCCTCCTAAGGATGTGACTTTAATGTTTATAGTTTATTATAGCCTAATTTGATTCTTGGTGCTTTTAGGGATTAAGACTATATGAGCTCCTTTGTTATAAAGAGTCTTTATATGCTGGCTTTCTCAGATGCTGGTTGTAGTAGTTATGTACTCAATGTGTGGGCAAGTTCACTGTCTCCTATGGGGTTGGAAAGGCAAGGATCTCTTGAATCTTATTCATTCCTCCATGTTGTGCACTTTATTTAATTTTTCCCCAGTATTTTATTTACTGAGTTGATGGTTTAGGATTCAGATAAGTAGGGGAGGTATCTCTGTGCAGGAACTGTTTGTAGCTAAAGCAGGTGGGTAAATGCAATAATGCCAATGGTGGGCAGAGGTTCCAGCCTTGATGAAGGTGGCTGGGGGAGCTCTCAATTAGATGCACTGAGGTTTTATCAGGTTAAAGGGTGGGGGCTACCTCAGCTGCCTTGCCAGGCCAGCAGGAAAGCTATCTACATCACAGCCTCACTCCAGTCCCAGTGTCCCAGCTCTTCAGATCAGATAGGCACCTATTTCGGTCTGTAGGAATTTTATGTTCCAAGTAGAGAGGAATTATGAATCTGCCTCTTGTGCAAGCCTGAACTTGGGGAGTGCTCCTCCTGTGAGGATGCAATCATCCTGAATTGTTTCAGGAAGGCTGTATATAGGTGCATCCATGCTGAGTTCCCACGGGAGACGCCCCAGCTGTATTTGCAGTGGTGGACAAGGGGGAAACATGGGCCTCTTCTCTAGTACCCTTCATGAGCACTAAGGCTGCTTGCCTATTGGAGTAGAGGTGCAGACTTTCCCTGATGCACTCAGCACTGCAATTGTGTCTCTGCTGTAAGAAACTTCCTACAGGTGAAGAAATCTGGGACTCAGGGTTTGCCATCCAAATTCTTTTGTCCCATGGGGTGTTCTTTTGATGTCGTACTCTTCCTCTTCCCCTAGGAATAGAAGCTCCTGAGAGCCAGACTACAGTGATTACTATTGCTCTTCTGGGTCTAGCCAACCAGTGGGGCTGCCACACTCAAAGCTTTTGCTGTGGAAATTCCTGAGAGCCAGACTAGTGATTATTACTGTTCTTCTGGGACTAGCCAACCAGTGGGGCTGCCACACTCAAGGCTGGTGCTGGGGAATGTCTGCAAGGGATCTGGTGTTGTAATTCATCTTCAAGTCTCCCAGCAGTGGGTACCAGCCCGTGTATCTTTACATTTCTGAATGCAAAATAAGGTAGTTCAAACGTACTAGGGTTATCCAGGGGTTTTTAGTTACTTGCCTTGGTTTTGAGAGCCTAGATTTGGTTTTGAGTAATCTAGAATTATAAAGTCTGTTTATAGCTTTTGCTGCTGCCACTTGAAAGAATTCCTAATTCTCAAGAGTTCTAGAACCCTTAAAGCGTGAATCATGGAGTGCTTCAGACCAAAAATGAGTTCCCAGATACTGCCTAATGCCAGATTTAACAATGAGTATTAGATTAAATAGGCTTTTGAAAATGTGGTAGTATTTTTTAAGTGTTGTGCATTGGTCGTGAAGACTGCACTGAAAAGGAAAAATGTGGGCTACTCTTGAAAGCATTCCCTCTGAGAATAGGAAAAAGACAAAGACACCCACTATCACTGCTCCTCTTCAGCATAGTACTGGAAGTCCTAGCAAAAGCAATCAGAAAAGAGAAAGAAATAAAGGGCATCCAAATCGGTAAAGAGGAAGTCAGACTGTCCCTGTTTGCTGATGATAGGATCCTTTACCTTGAAAACCCTAAGGACTCCTCCAGAAAGCTCCTAAAACTGACAAAAGAATGCAGCAAAGTTTCTGGATATAAGATTAATGTACACAAATCAGTAGCCCTTGTATACACCAACAGCGACGAAGCAAAGAATCAAATCAAGAACTCAACCCCTTTTACAATAGCTGCAAAAATAAAATAAAATAAAATACTTAGGAATATACCTAACAAAGGAGTTGAAAGACCTCCTCAAGGAAAACTACAAAACACTGCTGAAATAAATCATAAATGACACAATCAAATAGAAACACATCCCATGCTCATGGATGGGTAGAATCAGTATTGTGAAAATGACCACACTGCCAAAAGTAATCTACAAATTCAATGCAATCCCTATCAAAATATCACCATCATTCTTCACAGAGTTAGAAAAAACAATTCTAAAATCCATATGGACCAAAAAAAGAGCCTTAATAGCCAAAGCAAGACTAAGCAAAAAGAACAAATCTGGAGGCATCACACTACCTGATTTCAAACTATACTATAAGGCCATAGTCACCAAAACAGCATGGTACTGGTATAAAAATAGGCACATAGACCAATGGAACAGAATAGAGAACCCAGAAATAAACCCAAATACTTATAGCCAACTGATCTTCCACAAAGCAAACAAAAACATAAAGTGAGGAAAGGACACCCTTTTCAACAAATGGTGCTGGGATAATTGGCTACCCACATGTAGGAGAATGAAACTGGATCTTCATCCCTCACATTATACAAAAAATCAACTCAAGGTGGATTAAGGACTTAAACCTAAAACCTGAAACTATCAAAATTCTAGAAGATAACATTGGAAAAACCCCTCCAGACATTGGCTTAGGCAAGAATTTTATGACCAAACACCCCAAAGCAAATGCAATAATACCAAAGATAAATAGCTGGGACCTAACTAAACTAAAGAGCTTTTACACAGCAAAAGGAGCAGTCAGCAGAGTAAACAGACAACCCATAGAATGGTAGAAAATCTTCACAATCTATACATCTGACAAAGGTCTAATATCCAGAATCTACAACAAACTCAAACAACTCATTAAGAAAAAAAAAAAAAACAAGGGGGGAGAAGCCAAGATGGCCGAATAGGAACAGCTTCGGTCTACAGCTCTCAGCGTGAGCGACGCAGAAGACGGGTGATTTCTGCATTTCCATCTGAGGTACCAGGTTCATCTCACTAGGGAGTGCCAGACAGTGGGCGCAGGTCAGTGGGTGTGCGCACCGTGCGTGAGCCAAAGCAGGGCAAGGCATTGCCTCACTTGGGAAGCGCAAGGGGTCAGGGAGTTCCCTTTCTGAGTCAAAGAAAGGGGTGACGGACGCACCTGGAAAATCGGGTCACTCCCACCCAAATACTGCGCTTTTCTGACCAGCTTAAAAAAGGCGCACCACGTGATTATATCCTGCACCTGGCTCGGAGGGTCCTACGCCCACAGAGTCTTGCTGATTGCTAGCACAGCAGTCTGAGATCAAACTGCAAGGCAGCAGTGAGGCTGGGGGAGGGGCGCCCAACATTGCTGAGGGTCCTGTCTGTTAGAAGGAAAACTAACAAACAGAAAGGACATCCACACCAAAAACCCATCTGTACATCACCATCATCAAAGACCAAAAGTAGATAAAACCACAAAGATGGGGAAAAAACAGAACAGAAAAACTGGAAACTCTAAAACGCAGAGCGCCTCTCCTCCTCCAAAGGAATGCAGTTCCTCACCAGCAATGGAACAAAGCTGGATGGAGAATGACTTTGACCAGCTGAGAGAAGAAGGCTTCAGACGATCAAATTACTCTGAGCTACAGGAGGACATTCAAACCAAAGGCAAAGAAGTTGAAAACTTTGAAAAAAATTTAGACGAATGTATAACTAGAATAACCAATACAGAGAAGTGCTTAAAGGAGCTGATGGAGCTGAAAACCAAGGCTCAAGAACTACGTGAAGAATGCAGAAGCCTCAGGAGCCAATGCGATCAACTGGAAGAAAGGGTATCAGCCATGGAAGATGAAATGAATGAAATGAAGTGAGAAGGGAAGTTTAGAGAAAAAAGAATAAAAAGAAATGAGCAAAGCCTCCAAGAAATATGGGACTATGTGGAAAGACCAAATCTACATCTGATTGGTGTACCTGAAAGTGATGGGGAGAATGGAACCAAGTTGGAAAACACTCTGCAGGATATTATCCAGGAGAACTTCCCCAATCTAGCAAGGCAGGCCAACGTTCAGATACAGGAAATACAGAGAACGCCACAAAGATACTCCTCGAGAAGAGCAACTCCAAGACACATAATTGTCAGATTCACCAAAGTTGAAATGAAGGAAAAAATGTTAAGGGCAGCCAGAGAGAAAGGTCGGGTTACCCTCAAAGGGAAGCCCATAAGACTAACAGCGGATCTCTCCGCAGAAACTCTACAAGCCAGAAGAGAGTGGGGGCCAATATTCAACATTCTTAAAGAAAAGAATTTTCAACCCAGAATTTCATATCCAGCCAAACTAAGCTTCATAAGTGAAGGAGAAATAAAATACTTTACAGACAAGCAAATGCTGAAAGATTTTGTCACCACTAGGCCTGCCCTAAAAGAGCTCCTGAAGGAAACGCTAAACATGGAAAGGAACAACCAGTACCAGCCATTGCAAAATCATGCCAAAATGTAAAGACCATTGAGACTAGGAAGAAACTGCATCAACTAACGAGCAAAATAACCAGCTAACATCATAATGAGAGGATCAAATTCACACATAACAATATTAACTTTAAATGTAAATGGACTAAATGCTCCAATTAAAAGACACAGACTGGCAAATTGGATAAAGAGTCAAGACCCATCAGTGTGCTGTATTCAGGAAACCCATCTCACGTGCAGAGACACACATAGACTCAAAATAAAAGGATGGAGGAAGATCTACCAAGCAAATGGAAAACAAAAAAAGGGAGGGGTTGCAATCCTAGTCTCTCATAAAACAGACTTTAAACCAACAAAGATCAAAAGAGACAAAGAAGGCCATTACATAATGGTAAAGAGATCAATTCAACAAGAAGAGCTAACTATCCTAAATATATATGCACCCAATACAGGAGCACCCAGATTCATAAAGCAAGTCCTGAGTGACCTACAAAGAGACTTAGACTCCCACACATTAATAATGGGAGACTTTAACACCCCACTGTCAACATTAGACAGATCAACGAGACAGAAAGTCAACAAGGATACCCAGGAATTGAACTCAGCTCTGCACCAAGCAGACCTAATAGACATCTACAGAACTCTCCACCCCAAATCAACAGAATATACATTTTTTTCAGCACCACAACACACCTATTCCAAAATTGACCACATACTTGGAAGTAAAGCTCTCCTCAGCAAATGTAAAAGAACAGAAATTATAACAAACTGTCTCTCAGACCACAGTGCAATCAAACTAGAACTCAGGATTAAGAATCTCACTCAAAACCGCTCAACTACATGGAAACTGAACAATCTGCTCCTAAATGACTACTGGGTACATAACGAAATGAAGGCAGAAATAAAGATGTTTTTTGAAACCAATGAGAACAAAGACACAACATACCAGAATCTCTGGGATGCATTCAAAGTGGTGGTAGAGGGAAATTTATAGCACTAAATGCCCACAAGAGAAAGCCGGAAAGATCCAAAATTGACACCCTAACATCACAATTAAAAGAACTAGAAAAGCAAGAGCAAACACATTCAAAAGCTAGCAGAAGGCAAGAAATAACTAAAATCAGAGCAGAACTGAAGGAAATAGAGATGCAAAAAACCCTTCAAAAAATCAGTAAATCCAGGAGCTGGTTTTTTGAAAGGATCAACAAAATCGATAGACCGCTAGCAAGACTAATGAAGAAAAAAAGAGAGAAGAATCAAATAGAAGCAATAAAAAATGATAAAGGGGGTATCACCACCGATCCCACAGAAATACAAACTACCATCAGAGAATACTACAAACACCTCTATGCAAATAAACTAGAAAATCTAGAAGAAATGGATAAATTCCTCAACACATACACTCTCCCAAGACTAAACCAGGAAGAAGTTGAATCTCTGAATAGACCAATAACAGGATCTGAAATTGTGGCAATAATCAATAGCTTACCAACCAAAAAGAGTCCAGGACCAGATGGATTCACAGCCGAATTCTACCAGAGGTACAAGGAGGAACTGGTGCCATTCCTTCTGAAACTATTCCAATCAATAGAAAAAGAGGGAATCCTCCCTAACTCATTTTATGAGGCCAGCATCATTCTGATACCAAAGCCGGGCAGCGACACAACCAAAAAAGAGAATGTTAGACCAATATCCCTGATGAACATTGATGCAAAAATCCTCAATAAAATACTGGCAAAACGAATCCAGCAGCACATCAAAAAGCTTATCCACCATGATCAAGTGGGCTTCATCCCTGGGATGCAAGGCTGGTTCAATATACACAAATCAATAAATGTAATCCAGCATATAAACAGAGCCAAAGACAAAAACCACATGATTATCTCAATAGATGCAGAAAAAGCCTTTGACAAAATTCAACAACCCTTCATGCTAAAAACTCTCAATAAATTAGGTATTGATGGGACGTATCTCAAAATAATAAGAGCTATCTATGACAAACCCACAGCCAATATCATACTGAATGGGCAAAAACTGGAAGCATTCACTTTGAAAACTGGCACAAGACAGGGATGCCCTCTCTCACCACTCCTATTCAACATAGTGTTGGAAGTTCTGGCCAGGGCAATTAGGCAGGAGAAGGAAATAAAGGGTATTCAATTAGGAAAAGAGGAAGTCAAATTGTCCCTGTTTGCAGACGACATGATTGTATAACTAGAAAACCCCATTGTCTCAGCCCAAAATCTCCTTCAGCTGATAAGCAACGTTAGCAAAGTCTCAGGATACAAAATCAATATACCAAAATCACAAGCATTCTTATACACCAACAACAGACAAACAGAGAGCCAAATCATGAGTGAACTTCCATTCACAATTGCTTCAAAGAGAATAAAATACCTAGGAATCCAACTTACAAGGGATGTGAAGGACCTCTTCAAGGAGAACTACAAACCACTGCTCAAGGAAATAAAAGAGGATACAAACAAATGGAAGAACATTCCATGCTCATGGGTAGGAAGACTCAATATCGTGAAAATGGCCATACTGCCCAAGGTAATTTACAGACTCAATGCCATCCCCATCAAGCTACCAATGCCTTTCTTCACAGAATTGGAAAAAACTACTTTAAAGTTCATATGGAACCAAAAAAGAGCCCGCATCGCCAAGTCAATCCTAAGCCAAAAGAACAAAGCTGGAGGCATCACGCTACCTGACTTCAAACTATACTACAAGGCTACAGTAACCAAAACAGCATGGTACTGGTACCAAAACAGAGATATAGATCAATGGAACAGAACAGAGCCCTCAGAAATAATGCTGCATATCTACAACTATCTGATCTTTGACAAACCTGAGAAAAACAAGCAATGGGGAAAGGATTCCCTATTTAATAAATGTTGCTGGGAAAACTGGCTAGACATATGTAGAAAGCTGAAACTGGATCCCTTCCTTACACCTTATACAAAAATCAATTCAAGGTGGATTAAAGACTTAAACGTTAGACCTAAAACCATAAAAACCCTAGAAGAAAATCTAGGCATTACCATTCAGGACATAGGCATGGGCAAGGACTTCATGTCTAAAACACCAAAAGCAATGGCATCAAAAGCCAAAATTCACAAATGGGATCTAATTAAACTAAAGAGCTTCTGCACAGCAAAAGAAACTACCATCAGAGTGAACAGGCAACCTACAAAATGGGAGAAGATTTTCACAACCTACTCATCTGACAAAGGGCTAATATCCAGAATCTACAATGAACTCAAACAAATTTACAAGAAAAAAACCCATCAAAAAGTGGGTGAAGGATATGAACAGACACTTCTCAAAAGAAGACATTTATGCAGCCAAAAAACACATGAAAAAATGCTTGTCACCACTGGCCATCAGAGAAATGCAAATCAAAACCACAATGAGATACCATCTCACACCAGTTAGAATGGCAATCATTAAAAAGTCAGGAAACAACAGGTGCTGGAGAGGATGTGGAGAAGTAGGAACACTTTTACACTGTTGGTGGGACTGTAAACTAGTTCAACCATTGTGGAAGTCAGTGTGGAGATTCCTCAGGGATCTAGAACTAGAAATACCATTTGACCCAGCCATCCCACTACTGGGTATATACCCAAAGGACTATAAATCATGCTGCTATAAAGACACATGCACACATATGTTTATTGCAGCATTATTCACAATAGCAAAGACTTGGAACCAACCCAAATGTCCAACAATGATAGACTGGATTAAGAAAATGTGGCACATATACACCATGGAATACTATGCAGCCATAAAAAATGATGAGTTCATGTCCTTTGTAGGGACATGGATGAAATTGGAAACCATCATTCTCAGTAAACTATCGCAAGAACAAAAAACCAAACACCGCATATTCTCACTCATAGGTGGGAATTGAACAATGAGATCACATGGACACAGGAAGGGGAATATCACACTCTGGGGACTGTGGTGGGGTGGGGGGAGGGGGGAGGGATAGCACTGGGAGATATACCTAATGCTAGATGACGAGTTAGTGGGTGCAGCACACCAGCATGGCACATGTATACGTATGTAACTAACCTGCACAATGTGTACATGTACCCTAAAACTTAAAGTATAATAAAAAATAAATAAAATAAATAAATAAATAAAATAAAAAAAAACAAAACAATCCCATCAAAAAGTGGGCTAAGGACATTAATAGACAATTCTCAAAAGATTTATAAACGGCCAACAAACACATGAAAAAAATGCTTAACATCACTAATGATCAGGGATATGCAAATCAAAACCACAATGAGATACCACCTTACTTTTGCAAGAATGGCCAAAATCAAAAAATCAAAAGACAGTAGATGTTGGCATGGATGTAGCAATCGGGGAACACTGCTACACTGCTGGTAGGAATGTAAACTAGTACAGCAGCTATGGAAAACAGTGTGGAGATTCTGCAAATAACTAAAAGTAGAACTATCATTTGACCCAGCAATCCCACTACTGGGTATCTACCCAGAGGAAAAGAAGTCATTATTTAAAGTAGATACTTGCACACGCATGTTTATAGCAGCACAATTCACAATAGCAAAATCGTGGAACCAACCCAAATGCCCATTAAGCAATGAGTGGATAAAGAAACTGTGGTATATCTATACAATGGAATACTAAGCCATAAAAAGGAATGAATTAACAGCATTTGCAATGACCTGGATGAGATTGTAGACTATTATTCTAAGTGCAGTAACTCAGGAATGGAAAACCAAACATCGTATGTTCTCACTGATATGTGAGAGCTAAGCTATGAAGACGCAAAGGCATAAGAATGATACAATGGACTTTGGGGACTTGGGGGGAAAGATGGGAGGGAGGCAAGGGATAAAAGACAACATATATGGTGCAGTATATACTGCTCGGGTGATGCGTGCACCAGGATCTCACAAATCACCACTAAAGAACTTACTCATGTAACCAAATACCACCTGTACACCCAATAATTTATGGAAAAATGAAATAATAAAAATAAAAATATTGTCATAAAAAAAGAATGTGGGCTATTCTTAATGAAAATATGCATAAGCATACCATCAGTGTGTTGAATCTGGAATACAGGGTTGCCTTACTTGATTATATACTCCTGGCTCCTTAAAAACTTAAACTTTCAGCCGGGCGCGGTGGCTCATGCCTGTAATCCCAGCACTTTGGGAGGCCAAGGGGGCGGATCACGAGGTCAGGAGATTGAGACCATCCTGGCTAACATGGTGAAACCCCCTCTCTACTAAAAATACAAAAAATTAGCCAGGCGTGGTGGCGGGCGCCTGTAGTCCCAGCTACTCGGGAGGCTGAGGGAGGAGAATGGCATGAACCCAGGAGGCGGAGCTTGCAGTGAGCCGAGATCGCACCACTGGACTCCAGCCTGGGCGACAGAGCAAGACTGTCTCAAAAAAAAACAAAAAAACAAAAAACAAAAAACTTAAACTTTCCAACATGTCAGCTAAGCAACAGATGTTCCTTGGAACTAATATGAAGGAAGTGAACATTATAAATGTCCTCAACATACTGAGATCTTGCATGGAGGTCTAAGTCATTTGCTTTTTTTGAGAGAGAGAGTTTCGCTCTTGTTGCCCAGGCTGAAGTGCAATGGTGCGATCTCAGCTCACCGCAACCTCCACATCCTGGGTTCAAGCAATTCTCCTGCCTCAGCCTCCCTAGTAGCTGGGATTACAGGCATGTGCCACCACACCCAGCTAATTTTGTATTTTTAGTAGAGACAGGGTTTTTCCACATTGGTCAGGTTGGTCTCAAACTCCTGACCTCAGGTGATCCACCAGCCTCAGCTTCCCAAAGTGCTGGGATTACAGGTGTGAGCAACCGCGTCCAGCCATCATTTGCTTATTTTGCACAAAAATTTTATTTAAAATGTACACTACTGAAGGTCAAAAACTATTGTACTAGGGATGTAAGAAGATTTAATTAAAATTCTGGCTCACTTTTTCTTCTACATTAAATTGTTAGTTGCCTCTATTGTTTTCTACCTTAGTATTGCATCCATGATTGCAATGGATAAAAGATAAATTGTTCTGCTTTAATGGGTTGAAATTACTGCAGAAGGATTTGATAGTGTTTTCCTTCGTTTTTGTAACTGAAACAGATTTGCAGTAAATATACACTGTTAACAATTTGAATAAAATGTTTTTCATTATCTGAGAGCAATTTCCATGGAACAGAGTTGAGCCTGCACCGTTCTGATTTTGTGGGCAAAGTATTTGATTAAAGCTGACTAGCTTAGTGTGACTACCCTTTAGAACAATGAAATATTCTATGAAAAATCCACTTACTTAAGACTACCAGTGAGCTAACTGGAGTCTATTGTACAGTTTTTTGACTGAGGAGATGCCTCTTTCTGTGTGACAAGCAAAACAGGGAAGCAAAAATAAACTTCATGAGCTAAAAGTTGGCCAGATGAGACTGAGGTTACCTTGGTCAGAAATTGGGCGGTCACAAGTAAGAGAAACCACTTAATGTTACTTAAATATAAATGAGATACTAACTGCTAATAAGCAAGATGCCTTTCAAAACAGGGACTATAACCATCCTCACATGAGGCTGGAACAAGAACTGGAAAGAATATGGAAACGAGGCAGCATATTTGCTTGTCAGCTTGGCTCCACATTGATCCTTGGATTTACATGGTCTCTTATATTTTTTTTCTTTTCCTATATTCATTTTTATCTCTCCAAAGGCCAGCTTTCTCTGGCCATTTCCACATGGACCCGATACAGCCACCTGACAAGAAATAATGGAGCCAGTTCCTGGAGTCCTTTGTGCTGTGGTTTCAGATTTCCAGGAATTGGAAGTCTATTTAATTATCTTTGGACCTGATGGCATAGTTCTGTCCTTCAGGATCCCTGTAATTCTGAGTAAGTCCCAGAACTCCAGGGAGCAGAATAGCTCTGAGGGCTGGGTCCCAAGGAATTGGCACGGTTTGGTTAGAAAAAAAATCTTGGGAAAATTGGGAGGTCAGCATATATTCTTGGTTTCTCCCTTTGTTTCCATTTGGAGACCATTTTCTCATTTGGGGGCATCTGCTGACTCAGGCTGCCCAGAGCTTCCTCCTCTGATCCCCACCTTCTCTATGTGTCAGCAGTGGAACTTTCTGCAGACTTATTTCAACTGTATTTATTGTTATTTGCACCTTCCTAGCCTCTTATTTATTCACCTATATTCTAAATGACATGATCTTACAAACATGGAACCTTTCGCAGTCAACAAACAGTACCTGTTTTCAAAAGGCCTTTAAATAGTGACTCCGGTAATGAGAATGCAAGACACAAGCAGGAGGCATTTGTCAAAAGGTTCCTTCTGAGATAGCCAGGTATAATATAAAGTACAAATCAGAGAGATTTGGATTTAAAGCCCAGCTCCACTACTTTTAGTTGTGAGAACTTAAAGACCTGCTTGGCACATCTGCTCCTGAATTTCCAATTGTCTCTCAGCTCTACTTACTCCATAGAGTTGTTGTGTGGAATAAACGAGGTAAAGTAAACACATAAATATGTAAAATGGTCAAAGTTGGTAGGATATCAACAAATAATAATCCCTCAATCCACTGTCCTCCCATGCCCTGCACTCAACTCTCTTTACAAGGACCGTCACCTTAGAGTAAGTCCCACACAATGGGGACACCTTTAAAAAATACCACTGCCTCCTCTCTCCAGGGCAAATATTTCTCACTCATTTATGCACAGATTGGAGTATTAGAGACAGGATGTCACACTCTTCCAATAAAAGGTATAGCTGGTTAAAATTTCCCAGACAACAAAAGGATTCCAAGACAAAGAGGCACTTTGGATCTAAAAGGTATCTACTGGCATTAGGAACAAGGAAAAACTGAAGAATCATGTCCAATGGCATTATCTTTTAATCATGGAAGACTCTTTTTATTCTTTCTAGCTATATAAACACGTTAGTCACGCACCCAAACATGACCATAATCATAACGACAATGATCATAACAACCGCTACATTTTCACCATTAATTCTGTATTTACAGTGTCAAGTATTTCACATGTCTCACTCAAAAACTCTTGGAATCATGATAGCATTTTACAGATAAGGAAATTAAGACTCAGAGCTGTCCAGTAAAAGCCTAGGGTACAAGATTGTATTAAAAGATATAGAGATTTACTCTCAGCCCTTTTTCATACTGCTATAAAGAACTGCCCAAGACTGGGCCATTTATAGAGGAAAAGGTTTAATTGACTCACATTTCAGCATGGCTGGGGAGGCCTCAGGAAACTTACAATCACGGCAGAAGGCAAAGAGGAAGCAAGGCACCTTCTTCCCAAGGCGGCAAGAAGGCGAAGTGCTGAGCGAAGCAGGAAGAGCCCTTTATAGAACCATCAGATCTCATGAGAACTCAGTCACCAGCACGAGAACAGCAGAAAACTGCTTCAATTATTCAATTACCTCCACCTGCTCTCTCCCTTGATGCATGGGGATTATGGGGATTATGGGATTACAATTCAAGACGAAATTTGGGTGGGGACACAAAGCCTAAGCATATCAGATTCCAACTCCAAAAATGATGCTTCTAACCACTGGCAATATGTCATGCTATGCTATACTACTTCCTATGCTGCTTTCTTTGTCCCTCTTTCCTATCAAATTCTCACATAGCTACCTGGAGTTTCTAACTTCTCATAAACCCTATCTGTCAGCGGTTCTATGCAAAACCTTCAGACCCACAGGTAAGATCCAAGCCTCATCCATCTCCCAGGTCTAGGACCTTGCTATTCAAAGTGTGATGCTTGAATCAGCAGCATCACCTGAGAGTTTGTTAGAAATGCAGAATCTCACCCCAGGCCTCCTGAATACGAACTGACATTTTAAAAAGTCTTCCTGGTGGTTTCTAACCATATTAAAGCTTGAGAAACAGTAATCTGGGATATGAACCACACTGGATACAGATTATCTTAATTGCTTGGGTATTTTTCAGTGTATTAATCTCCTTTCTGCGTTAGTCATAATACTTGATCCCTGTGAACAATCTCCACTTTGTAGCTTTTCACATTCCTTTCCTTTCCTCACTTTAGTCAGTAGCAGATTCATCTCTCTTGGAGAATTTGGTAGTTGGGAAATAATTAGATTTTGGGGGAGTCCCTTGCCTCATCCTAAATATAAGTTACTGTTCAGGACCTCACTTTAGAAGTCAGGCTCTCTGACTGGCAAATCCCTTGTCACTCAAAGCATAAGGGCGGTTTTTCTTCATTTGCTGAAGATGTCAGCTGCTCTGCACTTTCTCTGAAAGAAGCCCCTTCTTGTGACTTATTACTAAAAGTGTTTTTTATTTTGTTTTGTTTTGTTTTTGTTTTTTTAGAGCAAAGCAAACCACAGAAGGGGAACTCATTTAAAGAAAGAAGGTAGTAACCAAGATGCACGGGGCCTTTAACTTTGGAAAAATAAGGATTTCAAGTAATTCTTTACTATGATGCTTTTAAGTTGATTAAAGTTGGTGCAAATAGAAGGTCAAGCGTCCATGGAGCTGGTTAATCAATTATAATAGATTACACTTGCGTCTTTAAAAAATTCTATGATTTAAAGATGTTGCCAATAGTGAGCAGAATAGGGGAGCTTCCCAGAGCCCACTCCATCTTTCTTCCTTTCATCGCAGCCCTGATTAGAAGGCCCCAGAAAAGATGTTGAGTTAGGATTGCTAGCCCGTGACGGCCTGGGAGAGTAAAGGAGGGCTGCTGAGAGTAGTGCTTACTGAGAAGGCTAGAAATGTGCAGAGGGGAATCCTGCATGATTCGACTAATTGCCTCTCAGTATTTCACAGGGCGCTGGACTGCTAAAAGAATGGTTCTCTGGAAAGGGATATCCTCTGGGAAAGATAAAATATAATATAGGGTTGCAAGAGGATGTACTCATTATGTGTGGTAAGAATCTTGATTACAAAACTAATACATCCTCATTACAGAGAATTGGGAAATACAAAAAAGGTCCATAGAGGGAAATAAGAATTGCACATAATCCCACTAGCCAGAATAATTATTTTATATTCGATATTTTCCTTCAGATATACACATTTTTAAAATTCATGATAATTAGTAAATACTGTTAAAGGCAGATGGTAATGACTGCACCATATAAATGTAACCAATGTTGCTTATGTGAGATTATTACGTTGATCATTTGGCTATTTCTAATTTCTAGCTATTAAAAGTAACTCTGTTATGAATATTATTTAACATAAATCTTTGACTATGATTATTTCCTTAGGGTAAACTTCTAGAAGTGAGATTACGGAGTGAGAGGTATGATTATTTTTAATGTTTCCAACTATATATATATGTGTGTGTGTGTGTGTGTGTGTGTGTGTGTGTGTGTGTGTATGTATATATGTGTGTGTGTCTCTGTGTGTGTGTATAGCTAACTGCTCTTTGGAAAGATTACTTTAAATTTTGGTCTCCAACAGCTGAGTTTGTTATTATCCATTGCAGCCTTATTAAATAGTATTTTTTCAGTTATAAATAATGATGATGATTAAAAAAACAAATAAACAAAAACCGAGTCAACCTGCCCTAAACAGAAAGGGGACTTACTGGTTTATGTAACTGGAGGGTTACAGCTTCGTTGGTATCCTCTTTAGATTAGTTTTATCCTCAGTCTCATTTCTCTGTGGTTATCAGATGGTTGCCAGTGTTGAACTTATTTTATACCTAGAAGGAGAAAAGATTCATTCCAAAAGCACTGATATAAGGTATTCAAATTGGCCAGGTTAAGTTAGGATAGAACATTGGGATTAAGAAGATCCTGTTACCTTGATGAGAATTAGCACTCAGGGAGCATTCTAGGGGCAGAGTGAGGGCCAAACCTACCCTTGCCATACTGTTGCTCACAGCAGCAAAGGTATATAATTGATGTTCACAAGACAACCACTATGTCCTTTACATCCTATCAAATATTGTTAGCTTTAAAACTTTACCAACGTAATAGGCAGAAATGCTATTCTACTGTAGTTTCATTTTGTATTTCATTGGTTACTATTGAGGTTTAATATATTTTTAAAATATGTATTGGTCATTTGCATATCTTCCTCAGCAAACTGATTCTTCAGGCCCTTTCCCCAATGAAATTCATTCTAAGTTATATTTAGGAGCTTAAACATGTAGAAAAGAGATTCTCAGCCTGGCTGAACATTAAACCAATTTAGGGAGTTTCAAAAAACATGATATCATGACCTCACCTCCAAAGTTTTTCATTTAATGCATGCAGAGTATGTTTTAAAATCTCCCTGGAGATTTGAGGAATGTTAGCTTTCTGAAACACCCTTCCTCAAATTTACTTATATTTCTTTCACATTGCACATAAACTTTGCTTATTTTACAAATCACTCTGGAATCCTACAAGATATCATAAATAGCTCTAGTAAATGAGGCACTTATTCAAATCCTAGATAAAACAGAATGAGATGAATATTCATGACCATTTAGCATGAACTAAGTCAAGCAATCAGCAGCTTCTCTGGCAGGGTCAATGTGGCAGTACTTAAATTCACCAGAATTGTCATTGGCGGGTTCCTTTCTGATTAAGGGGAAAAGGCAAAGATGTCCCTAAGAAACCCAATCCAGGGAAAGTATATTTGTAAACAGGGAGCTTCACAGGAACATGTTCTTGTTGAGAAACAGAAAAATATTTACTTCTACTTTGGTTGTTTATGGCATTGTAGCTGTGCTACAGAAACAAATGGTGCTATGCTTGGTTTATTCCCACTCCTAAAGAGCCCAAGGAAATGTAAGCAGACCTTTCCTTTAACAAATGACAGTGCTTCTATTAAGCAGCTATTCTGCATGCATCTGCCTTCTCCATGTTTGGGGACTAACAGAGTACTTGTTATTCCCAGGATGTGTTAAGTCAATGAAATCAAATAAGAAACTGTTCCTTCCAACACTGCACTGACAAATTGGTTGGATTTTTCTTTTTTAAATCAGAAACACCTCACTGCTTTGAATCATCAATGAGGAGAAATTGCTTCATAAATATTTCTTTTCTTGGCCATAACTAAGATGTGCTTCCTCTTTTAGTGTTCAGGAGGGCTACTAACGACTTCCTTTGACGACTAAGAGGAAAGGTAGCATTCCAACTCAGCAGTTTCTGCCGTCACCTCTAAGTGTTTTATTTGATAACTCATCATGTATACTTGGCATCTTACTTTACACATATGTCATTAATTGATCATCTTTTATTATATCCCTCAGTCTTCTTGTTGATATATCCATAAACTGTTTGATAACTTTTATTTATCAAATAATTACAATATTTAGCATTTTAACCAAACACATAAGCACCATCTGGCAAAATAATTGCAACTATTACTAGACAGAACCAGTGCTGAGGGATGGTTTGGTACCTTCAGGAAAAATAAGGCAAGCGTATTTTAGAGGCAGATGAGATAAGTACAGGGCATTAGGAAAGCTCTCCCCTAAAAGACAGAACCTTGTGCTTTATGTATTTTAACTTATACTTTTATTCTTCCTTGTCCAAAAGGTATAATGGAAATGTCTAGAGGACTTCATTATTCTAGAAGCCTAATTTGACCTACCAAGTCTATAGAAAATGGAATCAGTGATAGAAAGGAAATATATTTTTTGTCTCTTTGAGAGTTAATAATATAAAAATGCAGATTTTAAAAAAGTATAATCAGTCCCCAAGGAGGTTGAGCCTATCTTCACAATTTGCAAATCCAGCAAAGTGCAGCAAACTGTGAAGTTTAGCAATGAGGGAACAATCCCAACCTTCAAAGAGGCAGCGTAGTTTATTACTGTCTGAAAATTTAAATGTCAAACCACTGAGAAAGATGTGGTTGAGATTTTTCTTCTCTAGTAGACAAAAGAAAAAGTAGGCAGTAGCCTTGGTGATAGTCAACACTGTTTTTTTTCTTCTTGAAGTAGAAGGCAAAAATAAACAACTTTCTAGAGCAGGCTACTACAACTATGACCCAAAAGAGAAAAGGTGGCCCCTCAAGCTGTTAATGGAATCCCTTCTGTTCCTGCCATGTCTTCCTAGGGAGATGCCTCCCCCTTTGCCTATGTGCCCCATCCTCTTTTAGGTAGAGGAATACCACTGAAAGAGCAAGGCCTTATGAACCAAAGAAAACTTTGTACAAATTTCCATCACATGTATGAAATGAGGATCATAGCTAACAGCACTGTATTGTATTTGAGAAATTTTAAGTACTATTGACACAAAAAAAGGTAGGGGTTAACTATGTGAGATGATACATATGTTAATTTGCTTGACCATAGTAACCATTTCACCATATATGTATTTAAAAACATTATGTTGTAGCTGGGTGTGGTGGCTCATGCCTGTAATCCCAGCACTTTGGGAGGCCAAGGTGGGCAGATCACGAGGTCAGGAGATCGAGACCATCCTGGCTAACACGGTGAAACCCTGTCTCTACTAAAAATACAAAAAATTAGCCAGGTGTGGTGGCAGGCGCCTGTAGTCCCAGCTACTCAGGAGGCTGAGGCAGGAGAATGGCATGAACCCGGGAGGCGGAGCTTGCCGTGAGCCGAGATCACGCCACAGCACTCCATCCTGGGCGATAGAGCGAGACTCCATCTCAAACAAACAAATGAACAAAAAATTACGTTGCACACCTTAAATATATATAATAAAACTCCATCACAAACATACTATGTGACTTTGAGCTAGTTATTGATATTTTAAAACTTCGTTTTCTCAGTAGCAAAATGGGCATAAATAAACGTAGGGGCTCAAAGAATATAAAGAGGAGAAGAAAAGAGGAAAGTGAAGTAGACAGAGAAAGAGTGAGGGGCAAGGAGAGAGGAGAAAGAGAGAATAGGGTAGGGAGAAAGGAAAAGAAGAAAGGAGGATGGGCAGAAGGGAGGCAGATGGATGTTATCTTTAGGATCAAATGAAATCGTTTCTAAACCAACCTTAGTTCCCCATCTGTTCCTTTTTCCTTTGCTTCTCCCAGCCCCTCTTCCTGTATCGTCTCCTCAGGAAATTGACAACACCCAGTCACAGCCCTCCACACAGGAAGGCCCTGCCAGCTCCAGGACTGCTGATGGGTGTGGCCAAGGAGCCCATTCAAAGCACAGCATGAAGATGGCAAATGGCACTGGTCTGCTTGAATCAGGTTAACTTTGCCTGGGCTGTCTTCATTGTCAGGAAGATAGAAAATCATAATATTGTTGGGGAACCTGAAAGTAATTAATTTATCTTCTATTATTAGACTTTTATTTAGTCACTCTCTCTCAACTAAAACTTATTTTTAAATTACCATTATTATGCTCTATTGAGGAAGAAAAGTAAAACAAAACAAAAATACCTCAGCTTTTTGTTTTGTTTTCTTCTGGAAAGGAGGGGTGGCAGGGAAAATGAGAATAAAGGGTAATAATCTGTAGCACTTATTGAGCACTTACTAGGTGTTGTTCAGTTGTTTATGTATATATTTTATTTCACTTTGTCATTATCATGACTTTATAAGGTAGGTATGATTATAGATCATCTCCTTTGTATAGAGACACAGCTAACACAGAGATTTAAAAATGTCCTCAATTAGACCTTGAGCTAGAAAAGTGGAGCTGGAATTGAAACCCAGACACTCTGTGTCTAGAATTCTTGATCTGTATGGTGAGAGTGGGCATGGGCTTGGAGCTGGACAAACCTGGGTTCAAGCATTAGCCCTGCCAACTAAGGGCTGAGTAACCTTGTGAATGCTACTTAAACTTCGTGAGCATTCATTTCTTCATGTATGAAACAATATATGTAAAAACCTTTAGCACAGGGCTTGGCATAGAGTAACATTTCAAAAAATGTTAGCTAAGAATAGTTTCATTTTACTATGGAACTTTCAGAAATGGCAACATTGCTTTAATTTGCTAATTTTTGTACTTTCATCACAGTACAGGCATAGTTGACATTGGAGCAATTGTTTGTATTTATTTTGAAGCATTCTTCCTTTGGAAAAAAAATTATATTCTGAAAACCTCATGCATTTGGATGAAATGGTTTCTGCTGTCATGATAAACTCCTGAATAGGATTTAAAAATCATCCTGGAAAGAAGTAGACTGTGTACAATAATAAATTGCTACCCTATTATTCTGCTTTCTTAATACTATCTAATCCTTGTTGTTTTGTCTAGATCATTAAGAAACTGTATTTGAAGGTCTCAAAGGAAAGCAATATTGTGGGAAAAAGTAGAGTTCAAAACTCAGATACTAAAATTCTTTTTGCTCACAGACTTGAGGCACATACGTGTTTTTTTTTGTGTTGAATATACCTGAATATATACAGGCAACCTTTGAATTTTCTTTGAAAAGGGATATGTTACAAAATAATAGCTCCATGAGGAAGCAACCTTAGACTGATACGAACCCTACAAATTCAGTTTCATAAGTGTGTACTGTTTATTGGCTTTGAGCTAGTAGGTTGAGTAAAGTGAGGGAAACAATTTAAGTACCTTTTCTTCCTATTAATAATATGTTGAAAAGCAGTCCCAAATTTTCTAAATAACCCAGTTATTATGCCTGAATAGTATTGCAATTCTGCAATTTAAACGATTTCCTAAGATGTTTTCAATCAATGTATATTGTCTTTATACCAACTAATTCTAAAGAACCTTAGTAATTTTCATCTTTTGCAAAAAACTCTGTAGGTAGGAATAACTGGACTTCCAGCAGTGAAGTACAGGTAAAGAGAGCAGAGCAGTGAAAAGGGAATAGAAAGCCAGGCTGAGAGGCTTCGGAAACAGAGGCTAGGGAAGGGGGTCTGGAAGAAGAACAACAGGGTGGCTTCTCTAATTGTTAGCTCCATCTCAGCCTTTTTAAAAGACCCATGACCCCAAGGAAGAAAGCAAATGGCCTCTTTTCTCCCAAACCATGTGAAAACTAAAGAGATTCTCTTTCTTCGAAAAGATTACCATGGTTTTGAGCATGCTCTGTTTCATTTTATAGTATTTAAAAACAAAAAAAGAAGAAGAGAGGGGAGGAGGACAAGTGATAGAGGGAGAGAAAGGGGCAGGCACAGAGAAAAGGAGATGGGGAGGTGAAGGGATGGGATTGGGAGGGAGGGGAGGTGAAGGGATGGGATTGGGAGGGAGGAGAAGTGAAGGGGATGAGGAGATATAGATGCTGCAGGATCTCTTTCCCACTTGCTGACAAAGTAAACAGTTCCTAACTTGTTTTTGGTACTCATCAAAAACAGAAGGCAGTGATAGAAGTGGGCAAGAGTGCAAATGAGAAAAAGAGGGTGAGAGTAAAGGAGAGAGGAGGCGGCAGGGGAAATACAGGAGTGACAGAGATATGGAGAGACAGAAAGAGGAAGAGACAGGCCAACAGGATAATCACCATTGAAATCCTTTTCTATCTTGCCTGATGAATGTTTTTAGTGGCTGTCTTATCCCACACATTGTAATAAGCCTCCAAAGGCTTCCCCACGGTGGTAGCAATCAAGACATCATTCTGGGCCAGTCCAGGAACTATCCCCATGCCTTTAGTGCATTACCAAGAAATCAGACATACAAATAACACACTCTATGTGTGTCATTTCTGGATTAGAAACATATTTTTAAAAGCAAATTTAGGAGCCAACAATCATTTTCTACTCTCAAACCAGGTGCATGGTTTATACACATGTCTTCAGAAGCAGAATTGGTGGGACAGATAGGAAAGTCATTTCTTTTATTTATCAGAGCACATTCCTGACAGCCAGACACAGTTATGGGCAAAGACATTTGGATCCTGAGGCGAAAAGGAGAGAAACAGACCGAGAATACATGACTGCCCACTGGCTCTTCCATCATCACCCCAGAAGTGATGCAAGTCACTTCTGTTCAAATTTCATTAGCCAGAAAGATTTACATAACTATACCTAACCTAAGGGGGCAAGGAAACACAACCCTACTGGGCCTTGGTGAAGAAAGGGCCAGAATATTGATAAATAACCCTGGTAGCTGCTAAGAGGGAAATAGCCTTTAGAGAAGTATTCTGGGGAAGAGATTAGCATGTGAAAAGTCCCAGAGACAAGAGAAGGCAGAGTGTTCTAGGCTCAACTAGAAGTTCAGAATATCTAAAGTATGGGTTTCAAAGGAAGAACTTGTGAACAATAAAGCTTGAGAGTTAAGCCATGAGAAGATCACTTACAGTCTTGTAAGCTGTATTAAATAACTTGGATTATTTTTTGTCTTAAAACAACAAAGCTTTATTCTCCTGCTTCTTATCCACTGAGAGTTTTTGGAGGGCTCTGATCTCACAAAATCCTTAGACAGGAACCCAGAATGACAGAATGTCCAGAATCTGGAATTTTTTTCATGTTTATTGTATTTTTTTGATGTTTTTACTTTTTACAAAAAAATTCTTTAAAAAAAAAAACAACAGGATACATGTGCAGAACGTTCAGGTTTGTTATATAGGTATACATGTGCCATGGTGGTTTGCTGCACCTATTAATGTGTCCTCTAAGTTCCTTCCCCTCATCCCCTCACCCTCCAACAGGCCCTGGTGTGTGTAGTTCCCCTCTCTGTGTCCATGTGTTCTCAATGTTCCACTCCCACTTATAAGTGAGAACATGCAGTGATAACTTGGAATTTTACCCTAAAAGCAATGGGAAGCCATTGAAAGATTTAAAGGTTTGTAGCAATGCAATTAGACCAGTATTTGAGAAGATACCTCCTTGGTGAATATCCTGGAAGGAAACAAGAATAAATTCATTCATTCATCAAATACAGTAGTGTATATCAGGAATCAGATCCCCGACTTAGGGGCTTGAAATACAGTGGATTCAGGGAAAGCGTGAGGAAGCTGTTGATGGCTCATATCCAGGCAAGCAATGTGAGTGCTCTGGACTAAGATATTAAGCTATTGGAGATAGGGATAGAGGTAAGTGGGCATATTTGAGAAAAAGTTATTGGGTGTGGATGGTGAAGAAGGGGGAGAATTCCATAAAAATATTCTTGTTGTGATTTGGTCTGCAGGCTGAATGGTGATGTCATTTGCTGAGATGGGGAGCACTGTTAATGAATAGGTGTGGGCAGGCAGGAAGTTGGATGAGTTCCATGTTGGTGTAGTATTTGAGCTTGTAACAGTTCTTGTTTTCTATTTGTTTTTGTCAGTTGGATTTGATAATGTTTTTATTCAGTTGTTTAAAACATTACTTTTTGGCTAACCACTTGGATTTGGTGACAGGGCATTTAAAATTTTCTCTGGCTTGGACCCAGGGACTCTTCAGACTCAGTCTTTGTAGCCCCATCCTCCCCTCTTCTTCTTAGTTCCTGACTGTCAAGGGGAAAGATGGAGAAATTTGTAAGGCACTGGCCTCACCGCACTCGGGGTGGGAAGAAGCTCATTCAGATAACTTCATCTAGTGTTCATTTAGTTCAAAGGCCTTTATACCATCTCTATTATTCACAGGTATTTATATTCAATTGCATAGTATTAAAAAGCAAAAACCACATTGAAATTTCAATGGCTGTGAACAACCAAGTAATGGTGAAAATGTGGAGCAAACTTTTCTTCAGTGCTCTCAGGAGTTTAAATCACATACAGACCCTTCAATGTGGTTAATCCAATGTTTGGTATGTACCCTAGAGAAACTCATGCACATGTGTCCCAGGACCCATGAGCAGGAGTACATACTGAAGAATTCTTTGTCATATCTAAAATTGAAAAAATATCTAAATAACCAGAAAGAATAGACTGTATAAATAACTGTTGTCTATTCATAAAACAGTATATCTACAGTAATGATAATGACCAAATCATAGCCATGATTAACCTTATAGATGATTCTCACATGTAATGATGTAATGATGAATGAAATAAGGTTCAAAATAGGCAAAGCTGCCATATTATTTAGGAATGCATACATGGGTAACAAACCACATAGAAAATTAAAATATGATTATCAAAAAATTCAGCATAGTCATTAACTCTGGAAGAAAGGTTTGAGTTGGGACAAGGAAGAGGCACCCCAGGACTTGGAGCTCTTGGGGAGCTATCAATGCTCTGTTTCTTATGAATGGAATCGACTGTGATACTTTCAGGGCGAAGAATTAACCTAAATTTTGTTTTTGAACATTGATTCTAAACTCAAAGGTTAAATATTGCTTTAATGTGGGTCCTTTATACTGATCAAAAAAAAAAAGGTTTGCAGTGCTAGGTTTAGATGTAGAAAAGGGTACAAAGAAACGGGCTGGTGTTGGATCGCAGCAATTGGTGAGAAGACATTAATGCAGGAGGACTCTTTGACTAGCCTTGTTCTGGGGACTGACACCTCCTGCCCCTGAATCTGAGGGTAACATCCTTTTCTCACATTCTGCCTAGATGGGGCATCGTATTATTTCATTCTTTTAACTTGGTTCTCAGTCACAGTGGCTTTTAGGGGGGTTCTTCCTTTCATCAGGGAGTGGAACATGCCCCAGAGTCACCTTCCGCACTGTATTTATGTAGAGTGATGGCATCCTAAAAGTCTTTGTGTGGATTATGATGGCATACATTTCTTCTTTGTAAGTTTTTATTACATTTTTGTTTTCTGATAATTAATGTAATACACGAAATCTACATGCATTAACTTACAAAGGCCATAAAGACATCACATTGAATACAATAAAAGCAAGTTATAGATATGTACAGAATATCGTTTATTTTTTGGTGACGTATTTTTATGTGAGTGTATGCACATGCCAAAGCTGAGAAACAAGTCCTGGGAAGCTAGACACCAGGGGTTTTCAACTGGTGGTGATTTTGCCCCCCAGAGGACATTTAGCAATGCCTGGAGACATTTTTAGTTATCACAGCTAACAGGTGGGTGCCACTGGCGTCTAGTGGATAGAGACCAGAGATAAAACATCCTATAGTGTACAGAATGGCAATCCCCCATCCACTCCCCAAAAAAAGCGTTATCCTGCCCAACATGTCTATAGAGCCACTGTTGAGAAACCCAGCTACCCACCAAATTAGTAACCATGTTAGTCTCTGTGGTGGGGACTGAAAGTATAAGATATTTAGGAAGTATTTCAGCCCTATCTGTAGTGTTTGAGTTCAAATATGACAATTTTCTTATAATTTACAAAATATTAATAAACATAATAAAGTACAAAAACAATCTGTGTGTATTACAAAACAATGGTCAATACAGAAAAAGATGAAAATAAAATGAAAACTATCTAAAATCCACTATCGAGATATCTGGTAATTTAAAAATCATTTTTTCCTATATCTGTGCACATGCAGAATTATATTTCTAAAATGATGTTAATACTCTGCATTAGGTTTAACATTTTTTCATTCACATTATAAACATTTCCCCATGTCCCATGTTTATTTATGTCAACAAATATTTCTCAAATACAGAATTTTAAGTGGCTGTGAAACACTCAGTCTAAATGAATGCATCAGAGCTACATTTCTAAAATAAATTCAGAAATATTTCTAATAAGGCAATGTTTATATGTTTAGAATATATTAAAATGAAGACAAATTTC
The DNA here is from genome assembly GCF_000001405.40 of Homo sapiens. NCBI lineage: Eukaryota > Metazoa > Chordata > Mammalia > Primates > Hominidae > Homo > Homo sapiens. Next base: position 109,593,436 of record NC_000011.10, read on the forward strand.
TGAAGCAAAGATGTTTATGAGGAGAATAAGGCATATCACAAAATACCAGCTTCAGATTTTAGTCCTATAATAACCTTTCCATTTGCAATACTGAACAAAATTAACAGAAATTAATGGATAGCATACACATTTGAAAATAGAAATTTGAGAGCTGACTGCCAACTTTGAAAAGACATTACTTAATAATGCTGCTACAGCAAGAAGCCTCCTAAAATACAAGTAATTGCCACTTGTGGTTTAATTATTCCATTTTATCAAGAACATAGTTTGGAGCTCAAGTATGCATATTGGGTAGCGATTAACCTTCAGTAGTAACATAGAGGACATCAAATAGCTTGTTTAAGCATCTCTCTTCTTGAAATGCCACTAAAATGAATTAAATTCCAATTTCTATTCACGGATTAGAGCAAATTGCTCATTATGGTCAGGCAAATGGAGACCTTTTGACAAGTGGGAGGACTTGGAGTCAGAAGTGACTGCCAGTAAGAAGGTTTGTGACTGTGAAAAGATAGGAAGGTGAAAGAGCAAAAGCCCTTAGCAAGTGTGGGCTCCCCGCCTTCCCAGAGCTCAGCTTTCCTACACTTTGGCCACTGGCTCATTTAGCTCTGGGTGGTTTGAAAATGCTTCGAGGTCACCACCAGATTATCTTCTGCTCCATGCACTTGACTTTACATGTCTTCAGGATAATGAGAGGATTTAGTGGAACAGCTGGAGTTTGTTTCCTAAAGTCCCATTTATTCAGAAAACAAAGTGATGAGATGATTCTGTTGAGGTAAGGCAAAATTCTGGACAGCTAAGTTCCTCTGTGGTTAAAGATGGGGACTCTGGAATCATAATCTTCTCAGACTAGCTGGGTAACTTTGGAAAAGTCACCTAACCTCTCTGTACCTCAGATTCCTCTATCTGCCCAATGGTAATAGCATTAATTTCCATGTCTTGTGATTGCTTGAGGATGAATGAGTCTGTCTTAGTCTGTTTGTGTTGCTATAACAGAATATCACAAACTGGGTAATTTATAAAGAACAGAATTTTATTTCCTCTCATTTCTGGACACTGGGAAGTCCAAGATTAAGACACTGCAGATTCAGGTGTCTAGTGAGAACCTGGTCTCTGCTTCCAAGATGGCACTTTGAAACCTGCATCCTCCAGAGGGGAAGCTGTGTCCTCACATGACAGAAGGCAGAAGGGCAAGAAAGGGCAAACTCTCTCCCTCAAACCCTTTTGAAATGGCATGAATCCATTCAGGAGCAGGGATACTTCATAGCCTAATCCCTCTTAAAGGCCCACCTCTTAATACTATCATACTGCCAACACCTGAATTTTGGAGACGCACACTCACACTGTAGCAGACGAATATACAGAAAGCAGTGCCCTGGCCACCAGGGCATGCTCAGCCTTACAAGGTGTTATAGTTTTCTGTCTTTACTCCCTTTCTCCAAAAGTCTCAAACATCCAATTCTCCAAATGAGAAAGGGCTGTAATAAACTCAGAAGAGTGTTCTGAGATAGTGTAAAGAGAAGATCAAGGGCATTTGGGAAGGTTTCATGGAGAACACTCTTCTACCATGGCCTGTTAGCCTCTCTCTGCTCTGACCCATGCGTCTCTTGGTGGACTTGTTTTCAAGTGGCTTTTGCTCTCAGCATGGGTGAGATAAATAAATCTAGGTTGACTTGTCCTTTCCTTCTGATTTAGGGAGGGGACAAACAGCTTTCTAACTTAGTGCTTTTAGGGAAATTGCCATTTACACACTGATTCATTTATTCAATTGTTCAATAGAAAGCATGTCTGCTCTCTGTGGCAAACACAATATCAGTAGGGGAGTAAAACGAGACTCTATTCTGGGAAAGCTTGTAGTTTGTGGAAAGAGGGAGATATTTCAACAGATCTCAACAGAACAATGAAGACTATTAACAAGCAAAACAACAATAACAACAAAATCACTGACCCCTTTCTCTATATTGCCTTTCCCTGCTTCCCTTAAAAAACAAACAAACAAACAAACAAACAAAAACCTGCCTCTTCTCATAGCTGCCGGTAAAGAAACAGAACAACAACATTTCATATTTAAAAGTTGTGGCTTACATTCAAATTGTGGAACATCTAGCAGAAATTCCTTTTGGAATGTTTAATCAAGTAACTACTGCCCCAGTCTCTCAGAATGCAACTAGTATTCACTACTGTTGAGTCCTCTTCCCCTTTTTTGTGTTGAAAAAAAAAATATGTCAACATTAAAGAAAAAATTGAGCAGTTTGACTTTGCTACAATCTTAAGACTAAATCCAATGCTAGAAAGTATTTATTTCTGGATAAAATTCTCTATAAGTTTTTCATGATAAGTTTTCTAATTCTATTAAAGTTTTGACTATATTTTTGGTTGTCTGACCTATTTTGACTTAAGGCTGAGAGCTTTCCTAGTTGGTCTATTTGGGTTAAAATGATTCTCTTCTGGCTTATTCAGGGAGCTCTGATGTGAAGGCTGTGACTTGAAGTCTTGCCAGAAATGATAGACACTGGAATGGTACCTGGTCAAGTGTTGTGAACAAGCCCTACTCTGCTAAGATTCGTAGGCCATGGAGTGCCTCTCCTAACAATGTGAGACTCAGACTGAACCAGATATGGAAAATATCTTAAAGAATGTTATTTATTAGGCAAGAGCACCAATATACAGGCTTAAGGACAAAAGTCCTTTCCAAATATCTTTGTCCTGGAGTAAGTAATCTTCTGAGGGAACAATAAATACATGCACACTTCAGACTTGGGAATCTGTTACTGACTTGCCTCCCCAGCTTCCACGTAGATTTCTCACATGAATGATCCATGCACATTTACCTCTAGAGGCAGGCTAGTCAGATCCGTTTGTCCTTCTTAATAACTGAATTGTCTGAGAGGAGTAATGACTTCTGTAGTCCTTGTCCTCAAATCCCTCAAATTACTATAAATAGAGCCCTTTAGCATCCATCTGCAGGTCCAGCTTTGCTCTAGGCTCTAAAAGTATTTTTTTCCTGAATTTTGGGGGAATCCAAGGATTCCCAGGTTCTACATCATCTACTTTGCTCTGGCACCACTCTAGTCTTGTGCTACAGATAGAATGGCTGGGTTCTCACCTTGTTCTTGATCCCAAGACACTTGCAATACACATAGTTTCAGAAATTGGTTTGATAGGTTAGTATTTTGATCCAAACAGGTTTTTAGAGACTAGACTTCTCCCTTGCATTGCACAATCTTCCCAAGGA